>NC_000003.12:115826786-116129816 GCF_000001405.40 Homo sapiens | reverse complement strand
CTGGATTCATCCCCAAGGCCATTCGGGCAGAACCAGGAGCATTTCCATGGAAACATTGCATATGCTCCTATGTGCACATATCCACCTGGCATTCATTCTTCCACTGACCAAGCCAAATGAGCTGATTTGTGCTATGACCACTGGAAGCTGGGATTGCTTCATTAATGCCACATCTTGCTAGCAGGATTATAGGGGAAAAGGTGTTCATTTCCTTTAGAGAAAGTGCTTTTTTACTGGGTCCTTGCCAAAGGTCACACTGACAATGTTTTGAGACAAGCTGGGCCATACCCTTCACATAACTGTGGTGTGTTTTGTGGCCAGATTTCCTTTTTGTAAATAAAATCTAATATAAGCAGAGACCTACTTACCTTGGGAGAGGGGGATGCTATTTACCCAAGGTAGGAAATTGGCAGTATATTATCAGTGGGTATTTTCAGAGCAAATATTTAATCAGAACCTCTCCTATTTGTCTTTTTTGGCCCGAGGATGTTCTATGAAGTGCAATGCAGTGCCATTCTTATGTTTATGATTTACTCAGAGCTTTGCCACAAGCTGTTGTGTACGCAATAGAAAGTTCAGTATTTCTAATTACATTGTGCACCTAGTCTATTATCTGACACTCCTCTATATTACCAAATAAAAAGTTTTTATTAACACTCCTCATTGCGAATGATTCACATCAAGATCCTATGAATTCACGTTTTATGTTTTTCAAGGGGTATCATAAATTTAATGTAAATATAGTTAGTTCTACATACTCTTGTCATACCATGCACATCTATGAATCCACCAAATCCAGTCTATTTGTGATTTTATATTTTTCAATAGCCTGAACATTTATTTTTGAAAATAAAACCTTTCAGGGATGTTGTCACATCGCTGAAAGGTTTTTACTTAACTCAGGTAATATATGAATGGCATTGAGCAAAAATATTAGTGACACATTGTTTTAATGTTCTTTTTCTTTGCAGAGATCACATGAAAGTGAGAATTAATTTTTCCCTCTTTTTCTGCATTGTGTTCTTATTCTACTTCTTAATCGTAGCTGAAGAAGTACATTGGGTCTTTAAGTTTGCTTATCAAATAGTGAGAACAATGATTCATGCAATTGTAATGATGAAACAGATTTCAAGTATAGTGACAATGGTCACTTAAATGATTTCATTCTTTGGAATACTGAAGGGGTATCCCAATGTGCAATACAAGTGAGTGGCAGCACAGACATTTTCTAGATTTTGTCCATTCTATCATGTGATGCATACCACAATGCAATTATGGGAGCCATTACCAAGACAATTTGTTTTGAGGGTGAATGACATGATCAAACCCAGCTAACTTCTCACCCATGGATATAGTATGGGAATGTGTGTGTTTCTAAGCATAAAAGGGAGAAATTGTTCTACCAACTTCTAAGAACATCATTTAGTCAGGGAAAAGTATGGCTTCTGAAGTCAGACGCTCAGATACCATTACTACTTCTATCCAGCTATGAGAAATTGGCTAAATTATCTGATCATCTTCCTTGTTTTCTTGGAATAGATAAGTGAAGAGATTTCTGTAAAAAGGTTTGAGCATCATAGTTGTTCAATCAATATGATTCTTCTTCAACTATGTAATGCTCTTGCTAGGGCAACAATTATACCTTTACCACCAGTATTTCCAGGCCCTAGGACATTTCCTAAGACATGGAAACTATTCCATAAGTGTTAATTGAATTAATGAGCAAATGTTAAAATTTGACAATTACATCCAACCAGGCATTCAAATTAAAACAAGCCAATAAAAATACTCCAAGGGTCCCAATCACCTAATTTGGCCTAGTTGTGATAATGAAGGCAAAACTAAGACTTGAAGAACCTGATGAACAATTCATAGTAAAGATTTTAAAACTTCTACTAGAAATGCTAAGCAGTGTGATATATTAAGTTAATCTTTAAAAATAGTGGTTTCAGGGTAAATGTTGCTTAAAATTAACTCCCCTAATGAATAAAAGGCAGAAATATAGAAATGTCCCTTTTTTAATATTCCCATTATTAAAAAAAGGAAAGTCAAAGCATTTTTTGTACTATTTGCCTCGTGATCCAACAGGTCTACCAAAAAAAAAAAAAAAAAAAAAAAAAATGAACAAACACTGAAAACTTGCCGACTCAGCTTTCAGTCTTTGTAAAGATACTAATTTTCACTTTGAGAGAAGGTATATTTAAAAGGAACTTACTTTCTCAGCTTTTATTTTTAAATGTGAGTATTTTTGTACTTGTGAATTTGCACATCTTCTGAAAATGATTTAAAACTTGCAAATGTACTTTGATAGTATTATTTTGAAAATGTGTTTATCTTCTTTTTTCTGTCCTTTCTGTCACCTGTTGGGTATTCTTGCATTTCTCTAAAAATGTCTTTACTGCATTAAAGAAAGGACATTGGTTGAATCCTACTCTTTGATTAAGATGGGATGTATAGATGGGAAGAGTATATCCATATATTTTGACCAAGACATGTATGTGTCACTTGGATGTTATTGTCAATACCCATATAAAATTATTAAAACAATCAGATCAGTCACTACATAACGGAGAATATAAACCAAACTTTTCTGATATCCAAATTAATTAAAACTTCATATGGTAAATTAGATAATAAAACCCTATGCATTTGGCATTTTATTAGTAGGAAATTCCTAGAAAATCCTAGAGATTCCTACTCTATCACTTGGTTTATTCCCTGTAAATAAACCGCAGTAGATCAATCCAGGCATAAGAGAATTTTATAGACATAAATAATTAAAGTCTAAACCAGTAATTCTCATTCTCGTTAGATTTCTATTTCACAAAATGCCTTAAAGATTTTCAGAGCAAAAAAGAGTTAGGAACCAGATAAATAGCATGTGCAAGTACTAGAATTTATTAACATAATTTCCTCATCTCCCTAGCTGGATTCTTTTGTTTTTGTTTTTGTTTTGAGGTGGAGTTTTGCCCTGTCTCCCAGGCTGGAGTGCAGTGGCATGATCTCAGCTCACTGCAACCTTGGTCTCCTGGGGTTAAAGTGATTCTCCTGCCTCAGCCTCTGAGTAGCTGGGATTACAGGCATGCACCACCACACCCAGCTAATTTTTGTATTTTTAGTAGAGACAGGGTTTTGCCATGTTGGCCAGACTGGTCTCGACCTCCTGGCCTCAAGTGATCTGCCTGCCTTGGCCTCCCAAAGTGCTGGGATTACATGCATGAGCCACTGCCCCTGGCCCCTAGCTGGATTCTTAACCTCTTAAGGGATAAATCAAAATTCTATTCTTATCTGCAAGTAGGCAGCATAGTGCTCTGACTGTGGACATAGGTGCTCAAAAAACAAAAATGAGGGGTATAATTCATGGTAAATTTTTCTATCATTCATTAGGTCTCGAATCAACACTCCTTATTTCCAAGAGAAATTTGGCAAGGGAATTGATATACTTTGGGCATGGCCCATTTATAGCACCCTTGAGAGGGTCTTGTCTTCTGGCCTATCTGCTTCTATATACTCTCAACGCTCATCAGCTTCACTGTGGTACCTAGGGTGGTCATGTCTCATATTGATGTGGCCGAGATTCAGGTTGAGTTTACACATTGCCAACAGAAAATTCAGTGTGAGGTCCAGATGTTTTAGCTCCATGTTTGAGCTTTCCTGTTTGGTCATGATTTTTCTTTTCATGTAGACAAAAGTTTAGAAGCTTTGGATCAACATATTTAAAGTCCAAAACTATGTTTATTCCCATCTTCCAAAGTAAAAACCTTTCCCTTCATTCTTGAGGGCTGCAGAAGAATCCAGTCTGCAAATGGATATAAAATGCTGAAGCTTAGAAATGAAGACTGAGTCCAGATTTTATTATTTCTTTTTCCACAGTGATATATCTCTTAACGTGTGAAGGAAACTTATTTACCATGAAAGAGCAATGAGCCCAGGCACAACCACAAATCTTAATCTAACCCTTACTGTCTTTTCTCTTTTGGTTACTAATTATAAATCTTTTTCAGTTTTCATTGTTGCCAGAAAAAAATACCATCATGTACACTCTGCTGAGTCTTTTTCTCTATTTATTTATTGAACTGCCCTAATTTATAAAGCCTATTATGAGTAGTGGATTGAAGGTGAGGTCAGAACAAAATTTCTAGGAACCAGTTTACAAAGTGTTCTTCCATATCATTGTTTATCCAACTGAAATAGGGAGGCAAATAAGCAATCTGCAGAAAACCAATTCCTGTTGAGTTCAGGACAGTCAAGTTGAGGGAAGTCAAAGAAAAGAGTTGAGAGAGTGTTGGAAAAGGGGAAAAGACAGTTAAGATAGTGAAGGAGAATAAATGAAGGATACTGACACTGGATGAAACTCTCAACTAGGAAAGAAGGATCACAAGAAATGAACCAAGGAAAGATAAAGAAACACACTGAAAAAAAAA
Organism: Homo sapiens; assembly: GCF_000001405.40. Lineage (NCBI taxonomy): Eukaryota > Metazoa > Chordata > Mammalia > Primates > Hominidae > Homo > Homo sapiens. The sequence continues at coordinate 116,125,392 of NC_000003.12, read as the reverse complement.
ACAATGAAGGAAACTCGTGGCGGGGGTGGGGGAACTGCTATGAATAATAATAACTATGCAAGGGAAAGAAGTAGAGAAAGAGGAAGCTAACAAAATATCCCAAAGGAGACTCTTGATTTTGTCTGGGAAAAAATATGCACAAAGCAGATGAAGTCTTATTTTGTTCTTGTTAAAACTTCATTATATGTTGACATTTCAGAACTGGCTTTAGATATGAAAATGAATTTGTCACTGTCTTGTTCCCTATAAGAGAAGCCATTCTCTACTTTCAAGTAGGAGAGAGACAACAGGGCTAGGGCACCACATGCAATAGGAGCACATCAGGCAAAGCTAGAGGTCCCTGGGAAATAAAGAACCCCAAGTACTGCAGAGACGAATTTCTTCTCTTACTCTCCTTCCTTCCAAAACCCAAGATCTCGACATTCTTCCAAACACTGTTATCGGATTTATCCACCCAGAATCAGCAAAAATCAGTCAGTTATTTACTATGCAAAGATCAGAGTCGAAGTTTACAAATGAAAACAATACCCTTTGCATGTGTAAAATGAATATTTCTTATAAAACCTCCATGTATTTATGAGCCCAATTGTGTTTTCTCTTTGAGTGTGTATGACCATGTCCATGTCTACAGCAATCTGATTGCTGTAAACAGCTTCATTTCTTTAACTGGATCTTAATTCCACATATTCTGCAGTTTTAAAGTTTAATGGAGAATATTTATTCTTCTCCATATTTTTGCATTTTCATTTTGTGTTTTCAAATCTCTCCTGCCCAGAAACGTTTTCCCAAACTGTAATTTACTTTTAAAAACATGGTTGGTGATACAATCAGTCTTTAAAATGTTTTCAAAGTTATTTACATTTTAATGAATTTAAAATGCTTAAATGCTAAGGATATATATTTAGATTTGGTTTTTCCCAAATGACTTAATGCAAATCAACTTTTCAAAGTTTGAGACAAAGACCACACACTGAATAATTTTTCAAAGACTGGATCAGTGTCAGATAAGAATGTGATACTGTGGTATGATTCTGGAGCAACTCAGAGGCAGCCCACAGACAATTTTCATGAATGAGAAGCAGTGATGTATTTGGTTCCCTAAGGATATATGAATGGTAGGTCTTCTATTCAAACTAGGCAAATTTCAATGGAAAAAATTTTTACAACATTTGTGGGCCATCCACAACTCAAAAAATGAGAAGTACCTCAGGAACTCTATACAAGTTGCTGAGGTACTTCTCATATTTGCACATTTGTGGAAAATGCAGAGTGATTCCATTGTTCTTTCCAGATGAAAGGATTGTCTTTCCCAACACATATGAAAAGCATGTTGCATTTGTTGCTTCTCTGCCTAGAGAGTCAACCATACAAGATGGTAAGGAAGCCTTTGCCCCAAAATTATACTCTTATAGTTCCTGAGTGAACAGTCTTTTTATCCACATCATATCTTCATGGTAAGGAAGGCATATACTCTCTTATTTGAGAGTTGTATTCTTATAGTTTCTTAGTGAATAGTCTTTTCTCCAAATCATGCCTTATTATCTGGCACCCAATGAATTAAGTCATCTCAACATTTATGGGACATCGTACAGCATCAAAGTCAAGGCACTTAGCCTATACTCCAAAGATGGGTTGTATAAGTCTGATTAATATCTACCGTGTTAATAAAGTCTTAAAGCAGATAGTGACTTCTTAAATTTAAGATTTAGGATATCAAACCTAGCATCATGGATACCCTTATCCATTTAAAATAAAAAGATAACCCAAGGAAACATTTTTGATTCACAATGGTTTTAATGAAAGATGTAAAGGAAAGAGTGTAGCAATTAAAGCAGAATGGCTTTTGCTCTTCAAGTTCCATAGTCAATTTGTAATTGTTTTTCAACCCAAACTTCCTTCTACATCATCATGTTTTCCATATGGCATAATGTTGCCTATTGTTGGAATCTCATCTAAATTGAAAAACCTAGACTTTTGTTGCCATTTTTTTCATATGCATTGTGAGAAGCACAAGTTAAGTTCAGAATATATGCAGAGGATAAACTGTATCTCTAAACAAAAAATGTTCTGGCTGTGGCCCACGACTGGAGGAGGTGTCATGGCCTCCTCTGGTGGCCTTTGGCCACTTTCCCAAAACTTCTTTTAAGACACAGATCACACATACCCAGATGAGAAGGCAGCAGGCAGCTCACTCCACCCTTGGTTATATCTGTTTACATGTGGGTAGAGGAGACATGATCCAACACTAATAATTTACTGCTGGTTTCCTATTATTGATATTTTCATGAAAATTGTTTTTGTCATCTTTATGACAATTGTTTAAAACAAAATAATTTTTTTGACTTTTCTCGATCAGAAAGTAACTCAAAAAAAGCCAGTCTTTCCTCAGTGCCTACAGTTTATAGTACCTCTTTTGTATCTTTTATCACTATACAGCTATTTATTTAAAAGTCTTTCAAAGCCATTAGACATAACCTTCTAAGGGCAGGGAGCATCACTTCCATGTCTCTCATGGATACCATAGCTCTTGACCCAGTGTTTTACCCAAGGTTTCCAGTTACCTGTGATAATGTGAGTGAAAGTGAAGATGGAACAGAGGGAGAGAATCGAGGAGCTTCTTTTGGCTTCCTGTGAGGTTGAGATTTGCTGTGGTAAAATAATATACGTTAAATGTATGTTGAATCTTAGAGATATTTATTTTTAACACTCATTAACTCATTTATTTAATAAATATTTAAAGAGTACTCACACAACTTTCTAAGTAATGGTAATGCAAAAGTGAGTTAGACAGACAATCTTCACACTCATAGAGATTACTTGTAGATGAGATGGCTGAATGTGAAAAACATATTAAAAAGTACTAACAAATAATAAGTATTGAAGAATGGTAAGTACTTTACAGGAAGATAGAGTGATGGGGTCTCTTCTTCAGACAGGGGGTCAGGAAAGACCTTTTGATAAGGTGACATTTAAACTGAGCTCTAGAAAGCAAAAGGGAACCAGCTGTGTAAAGATCAGATCATTCTTGAGAAAATAAATAAATACAACCTATTTAAACATCACTTGGTAATTACCATCATCAACATATCCTTTGTGTGTGTGTTTCCATGTGCATATATGCATAAGTGGGTTTTACTATAGAATGTATTTGCTTTATTCATGTAGCAATATATTGTGAACATTTTACCAGCTTATTAAATATATTTCTAAATTAATGATGGCATAGAATTCCATTTATTGCAAATAATGTTATTTTGTTAGCCTTCCCCTATTGTTCTCACATTTACCTTATCTCCAATGCTTTGATGCCTTGATTTTTATTTTTGCGCAGTCATAGCCTCTGAAGAAAAAGAGTATAGTGAAATAATGAACAGCACAGACTCTAGAACAGGGGTGGCCAATCTTTTGGCTTCTCTGGGACATATTGGAAGAATAATTGTCTTGGGCCGCACATAAAATACACTAACACTACTGATAGCTGATGAGCTAAAAAAAAAAAAAAAAAAATCACAAAAAAATCTCATAATGTTTTAAGAAAGTTTATGAATTTGTTTTGGGCCACATTCAAAGCCATCTGGGGCTGCATGTGGCCTACAGGGTGCGGGTTGGACAAGCTTGCTCTAGAGCCAGTTTACCTGAGTCTTGACCTGGCTCTACCATTTACTATCAGTGTTACCTTAGGTGAATCCTTTATCTATCTGTGCTCCAATTTTGTCATCTCTAAAATGGGCATAATAGTAGTACCTATCTCATAAAATTGCTGGTAGGAAACTTCACCGAGTTAGTACTCGTATTGCCTAAAGAGGAATGTCTGCTGCCAACTGAGCATATTGATAAATGTGAGCTAAAAATTTCAGGTTCTAGAGAACTTGGGGGAGAATGAAATACATGTTCCCAAACCAACATTGCCAGTATCTTAATTACAGAAGAAGCTTATGATTTATTTTTAAAGATTTATAAGAAAGTTTCGATAAAGTTAAAATTGTGTAGATTAAAAAACATCCCACTATACTCCGCTAGGAACTTACTCAAGAATAAACACATTTTCAGGCCCTGTGAAGTTCATGGTTGTATTTTCTGGGAAGGTCAGAAATGTTGCAAACTTGTTTCTGGGCCTAATATTTGGATGTTGATAGCATGCTTATCTCCTGCTCACTGAGTCCTCAATGCTAAGCAAGAATGCAGTATTTTAGTTTTAGCTTTAGGTCTTTTAGTAAATAACTATTATTAGGTAGAAAGTTCTGCAGAAAGGCCAGTGAGTTCAAGTAATGAGAAAAGTGCACACAAATGAAATGTGATTGAGATGAAAAAACTGAAGATGTTGGGACCTTCTCAACTCTAAGCCATCACATTGCCCCTAGTCTGAGTGTTCTTAACCTGGAGTTCCTGTAATGGGTTTCACAGAGTTTGTCATCCACCTGAAATTGTTGACATTCTATAATCAGAAGGTCACTTGATGAGCATAGAATTAAAGTAAAGGGAGTTAGCAAGAATATCTAAATGGCTCCTAGCCTCCAGTTATGATGATAGCCTGATGCATCCATCAAGTTTGTTTTACTCAGGGTTTATGAAGAGCTTAGAAAGGTCTGTGATATCCTTAAAACTCTTAAACCAAACACAAACTTTGCATGTATTTATTATAAGGAGTTTTTCTAAGTAGAAGGTAAATAGCCTTGGTTATGTTTTCAAAGATACCTGGAAATCAAAGCAGGTTATGGACCACTCATCCAGCCTGCTTAACTGCTCCAGAACCTGGGACTAGCCCTAGCCTTATGTGATTTTTGCTCTGGGAACTGCCCTCACCTTGACACCCTAGAAGCTTGTTCCTCTGACTTCTACTGCAAGTAAAAAATAACTGGGCTCTTTTATTATCTGTGAGTACTGTCCCTCACCCATGAACTTCAGTCTCCCAGAGAAACTGTGTTCCACACATTCGTTGCCAAAATTCCCAGGCCCTTTCTTCCTTCCTCCTTCCCTCCCTCCTTCTTTCATTCCTTTTCTTCTACTGACCCCAATCCAGAGCCCACTTAGATTAAAATATTGTATTCTTACAGATTTTGGCACTATGTAATATTTGTTCAGCCACAGTTTTATGTCTTACGCCGTAAATTAGCTCACGCCTCCCACCACCACCATCATTTCCCTGGCTGAGCTGATTTCTTCCTCCTTTGGTCCATCAAGATACCTTTTACTTCTATTATAATATATCTTATTTGAAATTTCTTGGCTATGTATGTCCCTCCATATGACCGTGAGCTCCTTGAAAAAGTTTATATGTCTTTATCTCTCCATCATCAGCATCTAAATTCATGCCTGAACAAATGTGTATTTTCTGGCTGCCTTATAAAATTTTATCCTAAGATTGTCTTTGAAAATATTATGTGGAACATGACATGGCCTCCTCTTTATAAAGGTAAACTAAATAAATTTTCTTGGCCAGGCACGGTGGCTCACACCTGTAATCCCAGCACTTTGGGAGGCCAAGACAAATGGATCACGAGGTCCAGAGTTGAAGACCAGCCTGGCCAAGATGCTGAAACCCCATCTCTACTAAAAATACAAAAATTAGCTGGGTGTGGTGGCACACATCTACAATCCCAGCTACTCGGGAGGCTGAGGCAGGAGAATCTCACTTGAATCGGGGTGGCAAAGGTTGCAGTGAGCCGAGATCGCACCACTGTACTCCAGCCTGGGTAACAGAGCAAGACTCCTTCTCAAAAAAAAAAAAAAAGAAAAGAAAAAAGAAATTATCTCTTTAGCCTTAGTAACTTATATAAATGATTATGTATCCATTTTTGTGCTGAATGTCCAGTGCTCTATTTATAATATCCCTGCTATTAACTGTAGTATTCATGGTATATATTTTATGTACTAACCCCAGTATTTGTTTTATTTTATCTTTCTTATGATAATTTTCTCTTTGCTTTGATGTCCTTGTTTCCTTTAGTAAATATTATTTGCATGCAAAGTTAAATCATCTTAAATTAGTTTGGTACAATTTATGATGTAAACATACATATACATATATCTATATAGTCATGTAATATTTCCTATCCCAACCATTTCTGTAACAGATAACAATCTTATGGCTATCTAACAGAATCTAGTTGCCACTGGAAGAAGAAAGATACAATTTTTAAAAAGCATGTTTTACTCTCACTTTTCTCCCTACATCTGTAATTAACTTTTAGGTTGACCTGAGTCCTTTTTCTGGCTCCCTTTCTCTGGAATGAGGCAATGTGTTGCTATCCAAGCCCTGACAAAGTTGTTATGCAAATAGTACCTCTGTAATAGAAATAAAATGTGAAATGGCATTTTATAATGTCAGAATATATAGTGCTATAAATCTATTACTAAACATTTTGCTATACAAATTTGTGGTCCTCAAACTAGCAGTCTCAACCTCACCCAGACTTACTGAATTGGAATCTGCATTTTAAACGATCCCCAGGGCATTTGTATGCACATACAAAATTTGAAAAGCACTGATCTGCATGATCACATGGATGATAAATTTCATTTTAAATGTTAAAAATACAAACTTTATAATAGATGAGGGGTGGAAGTTTAGTGTAATGTAAAAAATAAAAATTAAATTTGGATTTGTATTTGAGTCCTGACTTGGCTTCCTATTTTCATTTATACCAGACTCAATTAATATTTACCTCCTACTCTTTATCAGGCATGTGTGTGGGTGTTGTGTATACAAAGATGAGCAGATAGAGCCTCTGGTCTCACGGAGCTAACTCTGTAATCCTGAGCAAATCTGTGGAAAGACGATGGATCAAACACACATCCAATTTTGCTCCCTCTCACCCACCCCCTGCAAACTCTACTAAATTTGCTGTAAAGGGATTTGTTTTTCCTAAAGACAAATATACAAGAATGGTGAGAACAAGACAGAAGAGCACAGCAAAAACAATTTTGGAAGCTGTAGGGCAGATGGATGAGTAAAACTGACTTAGCAGATGTGAAAATGCTGAAGCGTAAGCCAGTAATGGGAAAAGCTGAGAACCAAAGCAATCATCCCACAGACAGTTCAGGAATTGACAGCACCAAATACTACTGGAAATAGGGGGAAGGAAGGAAGGTTGGGGTTGGGATGGGGAGCAATTAAAATAAGAGAAATTATTTGAATGACATTTAAGAGTGAGAGAAATCCATAGATACTGTCCCCTTCCCATGCCTGTGGCTGACTCTCCCTAATTTAGGTTCATTCTCTGGAGAGGGAAAACAAGGTCTCTGTACTGGGGGACCCCAGATATAGTTAAAGGTATGATATGTGACATATGCATATTAAATACTAAGACCCTACCCACACCCAATCTCAGCCTTAATTTTCCACTGAGACTCCATAGTATTGGCAGCCAGCATTTTCCCTCTCTACAGAGTATTGTAAGACTCTTTCTTGAGAAATATAAATGACTCAAAAGAAAAACAATCTTAAAAAAAAAAGATATACGAAATAAATATTCTTGAGTCCATACCAATCGTAACTTCACAGTGGACAAAACTGACAAACACTACCTCAGGCAGGTCATCCAGGTCAGAGTCAATAGTGACAAGTTATGTTGAGAGTATATACCCTTCTTAATAGAAATAATTAAAATGACACTTTACCTCTGTGGTTTCCTCCCAAAGACACATAGCCCTAGTCTAATCATGAAAAAAAATTAGACAAATATCATTAAATAGACATGCCACAAAATACTTGACCACATCTCCTCAAAACTATCAAAGTTATCAAAAACATAAAAAGACTGAGAAGCTATCACAGCCAAGAGAAGCCTAAAAAGACAGAATAACTAATGTGGCACACTGGATGGGGTCCTGGAATGAAAAAAGGACCTTAGGTAAAATATTATGAAAATGTAAATAAGGTATGAATGTTACTTAATACGAATGTATCAGTATTAGCCTATCAGTTATGGGAAATGTACCATACTAATGTAAGATGCTAATAATAGGGAGAAATTGGCATGGGGTTTATGGGGAACCCTGTGCTGCTAGTAGTTTTTCAGTAAATCTAAAACTGTTCTAAAATAGTTTATTTTAAAAATAATATATAAAGAAAGAATAGGGGGGGAATGACAGACATGAGGGGCTCCTGCAATAAACAGCATAGCCAGGTCACCCTGCAGTGGAGCCTTTAGCCAAGGAGTCCCACCCACACACTCAGAGTTTCCAATCATCATTTTAAAAATAATTATATAAGTTGCATTTTATCTTACCATATCAGTATTTTAGATATCACTTTTCTGTGATAGTCCATATAAGTCGAATGTTTTGATTATCCCTTGCTGCATAAAAAATTACTCAAATCTTAGTGGCTTAAGACAACCACCATTTTGTTATATCTCAAGATTCAGAAATTTGGACAGGACTTAACTAGGTGATTCTTTTATTTGACGTGGTGTTGACTGAGGTTGCTCCATGCTGTTCAGCCCATGGTGGGCTGGTTCTGGAGGGTCCAGGTGGGCTTCACTCACTTGTCTGGAAGCTTGATAGGGCTGGTTAGAAGGCTGGACTGTTGGCCAGAGAACCTATGCATGGCCTCTGTAGTACAGCGGCCTCACCGTAGTCAAACTTTTGACGTGGCTCCTGGAGAGTCTTCCAAGAACCCACTTACATTTTATTCCTCATTTTATTATTATTATTATTATTATCATTATTATTTGAGATGGAATCTCGCTCTGTTGCCAGACTGGAGTGCAGTGGCGCGATCTCAGCTCACTGCAACCTCCACTTCCCAGGTGCAAGCGTTTCTCCTGCCTCAGCCTCCTGAGTAGCTGGGAATACAGGCATGCACCACCACGCCCAGCTAGTTTTTTGTATTTTGTATTTTTTTTTTTTTTTTTTTAGTAGAGATGGGGTTTCACCGTGTTAGCCAGGATGGTCTTAATCTCCTGACCTCATGACCCGCCTGCCTCGGCCTCCCAAAGTGCTGGGATTACAGGTGTGAGCCACTGTGCCCAGCCTTTGTTACTCATTTTAAATATGAATTGCATATGAAGAGTTCCAGAGACCTAAGGAATGCCTCTAACATGAAAGAAACCAAATAAACAAATGATAATGACAACTTGCAGAAAAAGAAGGATTTGAGCAGAAGAAAATTTTTAAAGATTATTAGTATTCTTAGACAAGAGAAGATATTGTACCCGTGAAATGAGAGATGCTGGAAATTACAAACATGACGGTAGTAATAAAAAACCCAATAGACATAATGATATAAAAGCTGAGAAAATGTCTCACGAAATGGAGCCAAAAGAAAAAAAAAAAGGAAAATAGAAGAAAAAAATATATTATAGGACCAGTCCAGGAGGTCTACCATCCAATTAATAATAAATACAGAAGAAAAAAAAAGAAAAAAAAAATGAGAGGAAATTAACAATGTAATAGTTCAATAAAACTTTCCTGAACTGAATATAAGTTTCCAGGTTGAAAGGATTGAAAGGGGTGGAAGCCGCCCTACGGACATTTAAGTATAAAATTTCAGAATAATGGGATAAGGAGAAGAACCAAGAAAAATCCAAGTAGGAAAAAAAGAAACAAAAAACAACAACAAAAAAAGTCATACTCAAAGGACCAGAAATCATTTTGGACTTCTCAATAGCAATACTGGAATTTAGAAGTTAATGGGAAAATGTCTTCAAAATTCTATAGGAAAATGCTTTTTAATTTAGGGTTCTCGACTCAACAAAGTTTTTTTTGTTTTGTTTTTTGTTTTTTGCCTTCACTTTTAATTGATAGATACAAAATTCATAAAATAATTTCTATCTCACAAATCTTAAGAAGTCACTGGAGGATGTTTTCTACCAAAATAATTAAATAAACAGAAAAAGAAAAAGAAATGGACAAGAGAAGAAAGGAGACTGAACACAGGACAGAGGTAAAGAGAGGTTCCAGGATTATAGCCCTATGCAGATGTAAGAGCAAACAGTTCAGGACAGACTAGATTCCATTCTCAGTGCTACCATTTATTGACTAGAATTCCTTGAGCAAATAATTGACCGGTGACTCACTTTTCTTTTCTGAAAAATGGGGATCATTAGGGTACCTACATTACATAGGCTGTTGTGAGAATTAAACCTGACAACACATGTAAATATATTTGAGCTGTGCTGGCACAAAATAGACGCTCAACAAATTCTGGCCTTTACCCTTTATTATTAAAGCCCCTTTCAGCTTTGCTGTCTTCATTCTGCATTGAAAGTAATGCAAATGTATTGGCTTATTTCAAGAAAAAATAAATTCCCCAAATGTAAGCCATATTTAGTTTTCATTTTATAATTTCATAAAACCTGAGCTAGACTAAAAATTCCATTTTAAGTGTTTCCAAAAACCTACAAAACCTGCAAACAATTATAAAAAGGTGAATAACATGCAAAACAATTCCACTTCATAAAATCCTATTGAAAAGCATCTACATTTGCAAATTATTCTAGATTCTAAGAGCTGCCATACTCAACTGTTAACCCAGTGGCATAAAATAAATGGAAAACATTGTAAAATGTAGGGGACTTTGCATCCCACTGACATAATAGCTGAACTAAATAGATAAGGAATGTGAAATTCCTAACTTTATGACTTACATGGAGGAATGATCCAAAGTGTAGGCAGACCTATTAGAGTCTACAATCTACCCAAGGGATTCACTTTCAGTGCTTTCATTGTGAGATTTATTTAGTGGATATCACAAGATTATAAATGTTAAGAATACTACTGTGTTTTATAAAAGCAACGTTAGTATTTCTCTTAAATATGTGAGTGTAAAAAGTAGTACTACTGCTTTCTTAAGTGTCTGGTTTTATTACATCTCAGGATTTTATTATACCCAAGGCTCTCTGGTTTTCTAATAGCTGTCCCTAAGTCCCCAGGGGAAAAAAAAAAAGCATTTCTGGAATGCATACATTTTGTGAAATAAGGGATAATGTAATGAACAGACCTTGTTCCTTATACAACACAAATAAGAATAAAAACTTCCCTTTCTTTCTTCTTCCTTCCAACCCATGTACTGCCTAGGATTGCTCTGGACACTGCTCCCAGCCCATTGTTCCACAGGGTAAGCTAGCACAGAGAGCTTTGAGATACAGGATGTGAAAAACCGAAGGCACCAGATAGTTACCAAAATGTTCTTACTCAGGCTCTTGCAATAAGGATATTCATTAGTGAAGAATACCTCAGGAAAGAAGGGAGCATGGGGTGCTATAGGTATAGGGAGTCTTTGGAGTCTATAGGAATGATGAGGAAGGATTGAGACATGTTATGTGAGGACGCTGGGGTCCTTTGGTTGGTTAGCCATTTTCTGGAACACAAAAGGGTGGGGGATTTCTTAGCAATCCTTGGTTCCTGGAAGCACAGGGCTTAAATAAAGTTCAACATTTTCAACATAGTCTTCTATTTCCATGTCTCCCATTTAGAAGTTAAATTCAGTAAATCATGCTTCAATCAGTGTTTTAATCCTCCGAGTATTCCTGAGACTCTCCTCATTGCTCTTTGTAGCTTGCAATTATTGATCCACTCTTTTCAGAAAAAACAGTCTCATATCCATTCTTTGTCATTTTGTTTTTGTGAGTAGTAAATATAATAATATCAGTAATAATAAAAACAATAGCAATGACAGTATCAACAACAGTGTGTAACAAGTATCATAAAATATAGGGCAAAGGGCCGGGCGCGGTGGCTCACGCCTGTAATCCCAGCACTTTGGGAGGCCGAGGCGGGCGGATCACAAGGCCAGGAGATCGAGACCATCCTGGCTAAAACAGTGAAACCCCGTCTCTACTAAAAATACAAAAAATTAGCCGGGCGTAGTGGCGGGCGCCTGTAGTCCCAGCTACTTGGGAGGCTGAGGCAGGAGAATGGCGTGAACCCGGGAGGCGGAGCTTGCAGTGAGCCGAGATCCCGCCACTGCACTCCAGCCTGGGCGACAGAGCGAGACTCCATCTCAAAAAAAAAAAAAAAAAAAAAAATATATATATATATATATATAGGGCAAACATATTTCTAAAATTTCTAAACTTCTCTACCGAACATCATTTGCCTATCCCCTCAAGTTTGTTGTTTTACAGAGGATGAATGGTAGGGTGTGACTTGGGATAAAGAGAGAGAATGACTTAACATGGCCAAATACAAACATTCTTATTCTTTTTTTCTAAATCTCCTACTTAAAAAAAAAATTCTGAATGTCTATTAGAGAATTTTCTTTGGCTTTTCTTATCATCTCTTTTTATCTGATTCTTTAGTAGGTGCTCTGTAGCCACACTGTTACTCTCTCTCTTCACTTCTCACTGTTTCTCACAGAGTTTGTGTATGCATCCTTCTCTCTGCCTCATATTTCTCTTATGCTTTCCTTACTTATTATTTGTTGTAGATACATTTCTGTCTTTTTCCATCTGCCTGAATCTACTAAAAAAAAAAAAATGAGTACTGGAATTCCAAAAGCTTGAACTCATTAGTACTTAAGAGAATATTTTGCAATCTCCTGTCAGAGCCACAGAATTTTCAGGGATTATGTCTGCAACACTGAGATTCAAAATGTAAAAAGGGCAAATTCATGGCAGATAACAGTATTGTTGGGTAGGGTAGCCAACGCATTTGTGAGAAGTTTCCCTGGGGAGACAGTGTAGTTAATTCACCTAATTTTATTTTCATACCAAACTCGTTCCCCACTTCCTTATCCAGTTATTGTTAATTCTCAGGAGATCCTAAACCTGCCTGTGGATGCCACCAGATCCACTCTTTCCAATTGCACACTTCCTAGGCTGGTTCCTATGCTACCAAATTCTTTAAGATGTGTGTGAGCCATGGACCAAAAGAGCCATCTATTAAAATACTGAAGGACTGAGTAGGGATTGTAACATCTGATTGTTAAATGAATGATTCTTTTTCAGATTGTGAGTGATACTAATTTATAGATCATTTATTAGTTTTATTATCATAGTCATTCGCAAGCTCATTGCCCATCTCCACACCCTTCCTTTGAGTTCTAGAAAAAGGATGTACTAGCTGGCTATGTTAAACTGTGTAGCCAGGCTGAATTCTGTTCTCTCCCCTCCTGCCCTGTATCATACTTATGCGTCCTTTTATTGAGGTGCACACAATCATACTCTTTATTATTAAAAACATGATTGGTTTTGATTAGTTGCAGTCCCAAGACACACATTTCTAAGGAGAATCCCTGTACTAATCTTGAACTTCCACACAAAAAGCATTTTTAGGACTCTAATTTCTCTGTTATAGCTATTTAGCATTCCAGGTTAAAATAAAACTTTCAATTTTGTTATTCAGCTAAGAAGCTTTACCCTTGAAAGAAAGCAGGCCTCATCAAGAACACATGGCTTCTGTCCAGGTTAATCCCATTGAGTAATTATCTTTACATGCTGGAGAAGGAGCTGTCCTACCTACCTAAACCTTCTATTGTCTCCCTACCTTTGCCTCTGAAAATTCAGTGCAGGCTAGCAGAAGCAGAGTGGTTTTCACATGCCTCCACCTTGTGGCTAGGGTCCCCTTGATTTTGTTCCAACATCTATTACAGGGACCATCTTAACCTTGTTGAGAACATTTCAAAACAGCTAGCTAATATATCTCTTTCATTAGAAAACTTTTGTCAGAAGAGTAGTAAAAACGGAATAAGTGTCATTAGCCAAATTAAATGATAAATTAGCAGAATTAATGAAACGGAAAAGAAACATGGTCTTGCAAATCTGTGCAATAATATACTAAACAAATTTTTCATAACCTATGGCAAAAAATGAGTGTTAAAAGGGGGAGAAGAAAGGAAAAGGAAAAAAAGACTACTAAGGTGATAAACCATATCACTTTATGAAAATCTACTTTTGCAGAGGATAAGTCTAAGCTTCAAAAATGAAGATATTTTGAAATTAACATTTATTAAGTGATTCTAAATAAACCTTTGAACACTCTAATGCCATTGATGGAAATGAGGTATTAACTCATGTCTCAGTGAAAATTTATGAGCTCAGAAGTATCTGGAAATACCTTCTGTTAGGCACAAATCAGAGAGAATAAAACTTACTGTCGATCAAAGGAAGATATTTACTACCTGTCCTACCATTTCTCAGTGACAGTGCCTGTTTGATTCTGGCAGTCCGGAGCCAACTGTCCTATAGTCAACTCCAAAACTGTTTCTATTGACAGTGACTGTCAGGCCTCTGAGCCCAAGCCAAGCCATCGCATCCCCTGTGACTTGCACGTATATGCCCAGATGGCCTGAAGTAACTGAAGAATCACAAAAGAAGTGAAAAGGCCCTGCCCCGCCTTAACTGATGACATTCCACCATTGTGATTTGTTCCTGCCCCACCTTAACTGAGTGATTAACCCTGTGAATTTCCTTCTTCTGGCTCAGAAGCTCCCCCACTGAGCACCTTGTGACCCCCCGCCCCTGCCCACCAGAGAACCCCTTTTGACTGTAATTTTCCATTACCTTCCTAAATCCTATAAAACGGCCCCACCCCTACCTCCCTTCGCTGACTCTTTTCCGACTCAGCCCACCTGCACCCAGGTGAAATAAACAGCCATGTTGCTTACACAAAGCCTGTTTGGTGGTCTCTTCACACGGACGCGCATGAAATTTGGTGCCATGACTCGGATCGGGGGACCTCCCTTGGGAGATCAATCCCCTGTTCTCCTGCTCTTTGCTCCGTGAGAAAGATCCACCTATGACCTCAGGTCCTCAGACCGACCAGCCCAAGAAATATCTCACCAATTTCAAATCTGGTAAGCGGCCTCTTTTTACACTCTTCTCCAACCTCCCTCACTATCCCTCAACCTCTTTCTCCTTTCAATCTTGGCGCCACACTTCAATCTCTCCCTTCTCTTAATTTCAATTCCTTTCATTTTCTGGTAGAGACAAAGGAGACACGTTTTATCCGTGGACCCAAAACTCCGGCGCCGGTCACAGACTGGGAAGGCAGCCTTCCCTTGGTGTTTAATCAATGCAGGGAAGCCTCTCTGATTATTCACCCATGTTTCAAGGGTGTCAGACCACGCAGGGATGCCTGCCTTGGTCCTTCACCCTTAGCGGCAAGACCTGCTTTTCTGGGGAAGGGGCAAGTACTCCAACCCCTTCTCTCCTTGTCTCTACCCCTTCTCTGCTTTTCTGGGGAAAGGGCAAGTACCCCAACCCCTTCTCTCCTTGTCTCTACCCCTTCTCTGCTTTTCTGGGGAAAGGGCAAGTACCCCAACCCCTTCTCTCCTTGTCTCTACCCCTTCTCTGCTTTTCTGGGGGAGGAGCAAGTACCCCTCAACCCCTTCTCCTTCACCCTTAGCAGCAAGTCCCACTTTTCTAGGGGGCAAGAACCCCCAATTCCTTATTTCCACACCCCGACCTCTTATCTCTGTGCCCCAATCCCTTATTTCCTCACCCCTACCTCTTATCTCTGTGCCCCAATCCTTTATTTCCACACCCCGACCTCTTATCTCTGTGCCCCAATCCCTTATTTCCGCACCCCATCCTCTTATCTCTGTGCCCCAATCCCTTATTTCCATGCCCCGACCCCCCTTCCCGCTTTTCTGGAGGGTAAGAACCCCCGAACCCCTTCCCTCCGTGTCTCTATGCTCTCTTTTCTCTAGGTTTGCCTCCTTCACTATGGGCAACCTTCCACCCTCCATTCCTCCTCCTTCTCCCTCAGCCTGTGTTCTCAAGAACTTAAAACCTCTTCAACTCACACCTGACCTAAAACCCAAATGCCTTATTTTCTTCTGCAATGCTGCTTGACCCCAATACAAACTAGACAGTAGTTCCAAATAGCCAGAAAACGGCACTTTCAATTTTTCCATCCTACAAGATCTAAATATTTCTTGTTGTAAAATGAGCAAATGGTCTGAGGTGCCTGACGTCCAGGCATTCTTTTACACATCAGTCCCTTCCTAGTCTCTGTGCCCAGTGCAACTCGTCCCAAATCTTCCTTCTTTCCCTCCCGCCTGTCGCCTCAGTCCCAACCCCAAGCGTTGCTGAGTCTTTCTAATCTTCCTTTTCTACAGACCTATCTGACCTCTCCCCTCCTCGCCAGGCCAAGCTAGGTCCCAATTCTTCCTCAGCCTCTGCTCCTCCACCCTATAATCTTTTTATTGCCTCCCCTCCTCACACCTGGTCCGGCTTACAGTTTCGTTCGGTGACTAGCCCTCCCCCACCTGCCCAGCAATTTACTCTTAAAAAGGTGGCTGGAGCCAAAGGCATAGTCAAGGTTAATGCTCCTTTTTGTTTATCCCAAATCAGATAGTGTTTAGGCTCTTTTTCATCAAATATAAAAACCCAGCCCAGTTCATGACTCGTTTGGCAGCAACCCTGAGATGCTTTACAGCCCTAGACCCTAAAAGGTCAAAAGGCCGTCTTATTCTCAATATACATTTTATTACCCAATCTGCTCCCGACATTAAATAAAACTCCAAAAATTGGAATCTGGCCCTCAAACCCCACAACAGGACTTAATTAACCTCACCTTCAAGGTGTACAATAACAGAAAAAAGTTGCAATTCCTTGCCTCCACTGTGAGACAAACCCCAGCCACATCTCCAGCACACAAGAACTTCCAAATGCCTGAACCGCAGCGGCCAGGCGTTCCTCCAGAACCTCCTCCCCCAGGAGCTTGCTACAAGTGCCAGAAATCTGACCACCAGGCCAAGGAATGCCTGCAGCCCAGGATTTCTCCTAAGCCACGTCCCATCTCTGCGGGACCCCACTAGAAATCGGACTGTTCAACTCACCTGGCAGCCACTCCCATAGCTTCTGGAACTCTGGCCCAAGGCTCTCTGACTCCTTCCCAGATCTTCTTGGCTTAGCGGCTGAAGACTGATGCTGCCTAATTGCCTCGGAAACACCGTAGACCATCACGGACGCCGAGCTTCAGGTAACTCTCACAGTGGAAGGTAAGTCCTTCCCCTTCTTAATCAATATGGAGGCTACCCACTCCACATTACCTTCTTGTCAAGGGCCTGTTTCCCTTGCTTCCATAACTGTTGTGGGTATTGACGGCCAGGCTTCTAAACCTCTTAAAACTCCCCAACTGTGGAGCCAACTTAGACAGTACTCTTTTAAGCACTCCTTTTTAGTTATCCCCACCTGCCCAGTTCCCTTATTAGGCCGAGATACTTTAACTAAATTATCTGCTTCCCTGACTATTCCTGGATTACAGCTGCATCTCATTGCTGCCCTTCTTCCCAATCCAAAGCCTCCTTTGCATCCTCCTCTTGTATTCCCCCACCTTAATCCATAAGTATAAGATATCTCTACTCCCTCCTTGGCGACCGATCATGCACCCCTTACCATCTCATTAAAACCTAATCACCCTTACCCCGCTCAATGCCAATATCCCATCCCACAGCATGCTTTGAAAGGATTAAAGCCTGTTATCACTCGCCTGCTACAGCATGGCCTTTTAAAGCCTATAAACTCTCCTTACAATTCCCCCATTTTACCTGTCCTAAAACCAGACAAGCCATACAAGTTAGTTCAGGATCTATGCCTTATCAACCAAATTGTTTTGCCTATCCACCCCATGGTGCCAAACCCATATACTCTCCTATCCTCAATACCTCCCTCCACAATCCATTATTCTGTTCTGCAGCTCAAACGTGCTTTCTTTACTATTCCTTTGCACCCTTAATCCCAGCCTCTCTTCGCTTTCACTTGGACTGACCCTGACACCCATCAGGCTCAGCAAATTACCTGGGCTGTACTGCCGCAAGGCTTCACAGACAGACCCCATTACTTCAGTCAAGCCCAAATTTCATTCTCATCTGTTACATATCTCGGCATAATTCTCTTAAAAACACACATGCTCGCCCTGCTGATCCTGTCCGATTAATCTCCCAAACCTCAATCCCTTACAAAACAACAACTCCTTTCCTTCCTAGGCATGGTTAGTGCAGTCAGAATTCTTACACAAGAGCCAGGACCGCACCCTGTAGCCTTTCTGTCCAAACAACTTGACCTTACTGTTTTAGCCTAGCCCTCATGTCTGCGTGCAGCGGCTGCCACTGCTTTAATACTTTTAGAGGCCCTCAAAATCACAAACTATGTTCAACTCACTCTACATTTTTCATAACTTCCAAAATCTATTTTCTTCCTCATACCTGACGCATATACTTTTCTGCTCCCCGGCTCCTTCAGCTGTACTCACTCTTCCTTAAGTCCCACAATTACCATTGTTCCTGGCCCGGACTTCAATCCAGCCTCCCACATTATTCCAGATACCACACCTGACCTTCATGACTGTATCTCTCTGATCCGCCTGATATTCACCCCATTTCCCCATATTTCCTTCTTTCCTGTTCCTCACCCTGATCACACTTGATTTATCAATGGCAGTTCCACCAGGCCTAATAACCACACACCAGCAAAGGCAGGCTATGCTATAGTATAAGCCACTAGCCCACCTCTTAGAACCTCTCATTTCCTTTCCATTGTGGAAATCTATCCTCAAGGAAATAACTTCTCAGTGTTCTATCTGCTATTCTACTACTCCTCAAGGATTATTCAGGCCCCCTCCCTTCCCTACACATCAAGCTCGAGGATTTGCCCCCACCCAGGACTGGCAAATTAGCTTTATTCAACATGCCCTGAGTAACAAAAACTAAAATACCTCTTAGTCTAGGTAGACACTTTCACTAGATAGGTAGAGGCCTTTCCTACACGGTCTGAGAAGGCCACCGCAGTCATTTATTCCCTTCTGTCAGACATAATTCCTCAGTTTAGCCTTCCCACCTCTATACAGTCTGATAACAGACCAGCCTTTATTAGTCAAATCAGCCAAGCATTTTCTCAGGTTCTTAGTATTCAGTGACAGACTAATGGTCTATTAAAAACACACCTCACCAAGCTCAGCCACCAACTTAAAAAGGACTGGACAATACTTTTACCACTTTCCCTTCTCAGAAGTCAGACCTGTCCTCAGAATGCTACAAGGTACAGCCCATTTGAGCTGCTGTATAGACACTCCTTTTTATTAGGCCCCAGTCTCATTCCAGACACCAGACCAACTTAGACTGTACCCCCAAAAAAAACTTGTCATCCCTACTATCTTCTGTCTAGTCATACTCCTATTCACCATTCTCAACTACTCACACATGCCCTGCTCTTGTTTACACTGCCGGTTTACACTGTTTCTCCAAGCCATTACAGCTGATATCTCCTGGTGCTATCCCCAAACTGCTACTCTAAACTCTTGAAGTAAATAAATAATCTTTGCTGGCAGGACTATGCTGAATCTCCTTAGGCACTCTCTAATCAGATATCCTGAGTCGTCCCAATTCTTAGACCTTTTATACCTGTTTTTCTCTTTCTCTTATTCCATTTAGTTTCTCAATTCATCCAAAACCGTATCCAGGCCATCACCAATCATCATTCTATACGACAAATGTTTCTTCTAACATCCCCACAATATCACCCCTTACCACAAGACCTCCCTTCAGCTTAATCTCTCCCACTCTAGGTTCCCACGCCGCCCCTAATCCCGCTTGAAACAGCCCTGAGAAACATCGCCCATTCTCTCTCCATACCACCCCCCAAAAATTTTTGCCGCCCCAACACTTCAACACTATTTTGTTTTATTTTTCTTATTAATATAAGAAGGCAGGAATGTCAGGCCTCTGAGCCCAAGCCAAGCCATCGCATCCCCTGTGACTTGCACGTATATGCCCAGATGGCCTGAAGTAACTGAAGAATCACAAAAGAAGTGAAAAGGCCCTGCCCCGCCTTAACTGATGACATTCCACCATTGTGATTTGTTCCTGCCCCACTTTAACTGAGTGATTAACCCTGTGAATTTCCTTCTCCTGGCTCAGAAGCTCCCCCACTGAGCACCTTGTGACCCCCGCCCCTGCCCACCAGAGAACAACCCCCTTTGACTGTAATTTTCCATTACCTTTCCAAATCCTATAAAACGGCCCCACCCCTACCTCCCTTCGCTGACTCTGCTTTCGGACTCAGCCCACCTGCACCCAGGTGAAATAAACAGCCATGTTGCTCACACAAAGCCTGTTTGGTGGTCTTTTCACACGGACGCGCATGAAAGTGACCATATCTGGCAGTCAGTAGACTGCTGGAGAAGCTGGAAGGTCTTTGCGGCAGTTAGTCCTCTCACATCATGCTTCTACTGTGTGGCTAGAACAGAGTCTCAAAGAATTGCCTGGCAGTATTTGTTTCTTTATCCCAGACTGTATATCACCAGCTGTGGCAGTTTTTTTTTTTTTCCCCCTAGTCAAACTGAAAAATATCTCTTCTGTAGCCAAGAGTTCTATGAATGCCTTCATCATGCTAACTATCCTATACCCAAGTCAAACTTTCAAAATCTTTTAGAGTATAGCTGGCTCTTCCAGGCTAGTGCTTGCTGATGGTCAAACACATTTTCTGCCCTATATTTGACACGGGTGCCTGCTATGAAAGTGCCAAAGCAATAGTTCTCTTCCACCGCTGTGCTCCTGCCATGGCTGTATGTTTTATGAGGATGACAGGTAAAAGTGTGTGTGATAAGTCTAGAAAAATTCTGGTTTACAATATATCCTTATTAACTTTTCATCTGACAGAGAAGGAATGTCTGTAAGGTCTTTTTGTGTAGATTTAGGTCCCAGATGAGCACCACCTCTTAAAAAGGTAGAGTGAGCAGACTTAGTATTATGAAGTAACGTAAGAGAAATTGCATTTCTCAATTTTGGAGAGACGTGAGGTAGTTCACTTGCGAGTGGATGGCAAAGAATGATACTGTAAGAAATATATTATTTTCTACACTATCTTAGTCCTGTGCAACTCCAGTATCTGACCTTTTATGTTGTTTTAAAATGGATGATTTCGGCAAAAATGATATAATAGAAAGGGTCAGTTAATATTTGGTGCAAGGTTGTTAATCTCTTCAAATCTTTCTTTATCATATTAGATTTCTCCCCGATGAACAAAGCCTGGGTGAGCTGCATGGAAGAACATGAGGTGCAAGCCTAGTTTTCTTTGTTGGGTGGTTGATTTTTTTTTTTTTTTTAACATTGCCTTGGGCAGGGTTGCATCTAACAACATTAGCCTCCCAGAAACACTTTACTACACAATGGAGAGTGTTCTTCACTTATTCCTTGCTTGGGGCTAACAGGCTACACTGTTTCGCATTGAATATGTATCTTTTGATCTTGCTTTATGTTCCTCTTACCATTTTGTTGCTGTTAAGAGCTGGTGATTAGGATAAATCAGTAAGTGAAAACTGCCAGAAAGGTTTTGAAATTATGAGACTGGACTCTCTGGCCAGTGTTCATACTGAGTTCTGGGTGGGCCACGGAGGCCCTGTGTAGAACTCAGTGATGGGGAAAGAAATCTACGTGGGCTCACTTAGAGAAAGCTTTCTACTTAATAAACAATGCATTCTTTGATCACTTCCACTCTGATTCTGTCCTCTCAGGGCATATTTCATAAAGTTCCTATTTTCTTACCCTCTGTCACAGTATTCTGTGATTCAGGTATTATACAAAGGTACAATGATAAATCAGAAATTTTATTTTTGAAATTATCTTTATTGTTACAGAATTTTTTATTGAATACCCGTAGGATTTTTGTGCACTCAAATCATTACTGCACTGATACACTTAGAAAAAATAAATTAGGGACTCTGACTTCCTTAATTTTACAGTCTAGCAGAGGTATAATTTTAATGTGAAGCATCGTGTGACATGGCACAAGGTCTTATTTAGACAGAAGAATGTTCATAAAGATTAAGGGACTTTAAGGGACTCACACTGCATAAGAGCAAAAAGGGAAGGATATATAAATAAGCCATTTTCTTACATTGACTCATGTCCTCAAAGCAAAGAATATAGCCAAAAAAAAAAAAAAAAGATGGAATGAGAGGAAGTGACACAGAAAGAACACATGAACAAAAATATATGATATGTACACTGTCTTTCTTTTTTTTTTTTTTTTTTTTTTTTGAGAAGGAGTCTCACTCTGTCACCCAGGCTGGAGTGCAGTGGCATAATCTCAGCTCACTGCAACCTCTGCCTCCCAGGTTCAAGCGATTCTGTATCTCAATCTCTAAGTATCAGGGACTATAATCATGTGACACTATGCCTGGCTAATTTTTGTATTTTTAGTACAGACAGGGGTTTTGCCATGTTGCCCAGGCTGGTCTCAAATTCCTGGCCTCAAGTGATCTGCCCACCTGGGCCTCCCAAAATGCTGGGATTATAGGTGTGAGCCACTGTGCCCAGTCTACACTGTCTATTATATCAGTATATTCTAGTCTCAGGACAGAATACAATGATTAATATAGTAAAGAAACTAGATAATCCACCTCTGACTAAAGCTATACACACCAATATTCTTTAAATATAAGGACATATGTTGATGAGCTACAGCAGCAACTTCCTTTAGTAAAGTTTTTTTTGGGGGGGTGGGTAATACTGTGATTGAGGATAAGAGAATAAGGACTTTAAGAAATATCTTCTTAGAGTGTGATAAAGAGCAAGGTATAAAAGACAATAATGTATTATTATTCATTTGATTGAGCTAAGCTCAGCTTACTTAAAATATTTTGTTAAAACTTACTGTATTAGTCTGATTTCTTCAGAGAAACAAAACCCATAGAAGATAGACAGACAGACAGACAGATAGATAGATAGATAGATAAAATTTTAAAATGGCTCACATGATTATGGAAGCTGAGAAGTCTCAAAATCTACAGCCAATAAGCTGAAGACTCAGGAAAGCTGATAGTGTGAAAGTAATTTCAGTCCAAGTCCAAGTGTGAAGGCAGGAGAAAACTAATGTCCTAGCTTGAAGGCAGGTAATGAGAGATAATTCTTTCTTACTTAGCCTTTTATTCTATTCAGGCCTTCAATGGATTAGGTGAGGCCTACCCACATTTGGGAAGATCAATCTGCTTTCTCAGTCTACCAATTCAAATGTTAATCTCATCCAGAAACACCCTCACAGACACATCCAGGAATAATGTTTAAACAACTGTCTAAGCACCACTTAGCCCAGTCAGTTAGACAAATAAAATTAATCTCATTCTAAGTTTTTTCTTTTGCTTAATTCAGATTGCAGATTCAGATGTGATATACAGAATTCTGAGATTGTGTTTTATAATAATCCAAGAAAATAAATATAGGATGGTATTTACCAAAATTAAGGAATGAAACATAGTTTTATCTGAATAACTACAGTGCCTCCTGTTGACTGAAAGAATCTGGACTGCCTAAATTTTAGTTGCCTTCCAGACAAAGGATCAGTGGAGAAAATTCTACTGTACATATCTCTTTATCAGCCTTCCTGTTTTTCTTCTTGATCATATTATTACCTTACAGGAAAAAATAATTGCTAATTTCACAGTGAAATGAAGTAGAGAAAGAAAAAATTTTAAAGTTCTGTGAGACCAAATTAACCTGCTTCAATAGATCAGTGAGAAAACTGATTATGATCTAATCACAATCCCTCTATAAACTCATAGGTGGTTAGTCCTCAGTATGACATTGAGTATGGATTAAAAAATATTTATTGGGATCCTTAAATATAAGCCTCTAAGTCAAGAGACACTAACAAAAGATAATACAAATGTTCATATTTAAGTCTACCAAATACAGAAAGGGCATCAATATATTCGAAATCAGTTTTTGTTTTCACTCTTAAGCATATTTTTAGAATTTGAGTTATGCAGTTTCCCCTGCATATTGTATTTATTTTTTAATTTACTGTTTGGATGATAAGAGATTTGTTAAAGAATACAAAACTACAGCTAGATAAGGGAAATAAGTTCTAATGCATTCTGTACCAAGATAGGATGACTAGAGTTAACAATAATATATAATTTCAAATAGCTAAAAGTAGGTTATTGAACCTTCTCAACACAAAGAAATGACAAATGTTTGAGATGATGTATATGTTGATTGCCCTGATCTGATCACTATACATTATATGTATTGAAACATCACATGTAATGAATATGCACAATTATTACATGTCAATTTAAAACAATTTAAAAGAGTGACAAAAAATTTAGTTTCACATATCTATTATAGTATAACGTAGATGTATCATAGATATCATCATTTTTCTAGACCTAGAGGAGTAGAGAAAATGATAGAAGCAAATATAGGGAAATAAGATACCTGGTTTAGATTAGAAAAACACTTCTTGTCCTGTCACAACTTCTCCGCTTTCAACACCACTTGGAATAGTAAGTTTCTTCCACCTTCAAGGTACATCAGAGTGGGGACACTCTTATAAATGTGAGATGAGAGGCAAAAGACTCCCATGTATTCATTCATCCATTGAGTAATTATCTAGAAACTTCTTTGTGTAAGGAACTTTGATAGGCAATAGAGATGCAAAAGTTGAGAAGACATGGTTTGGGCCCACTCTTAAAATAGTGATGAAAAGCAGAAAAACAAAGACTTAAAATGCTAGCATAAGCTGAGAATCAACTAGGGAAATTGGAGAGAATGAATCACAGAGAAGGGCACATCTGAGATAGATTTTGTATAGTAAGCAGGAGCTTGCCAAACAAGACATTTTAAATAAAAAGGAAAAACCAGATCTAGAAAGGGTGAGATTGAAGTCTGAATAAAGCATAAAATTCATAGCAAAAGGAGTGTAATGTCAAGAGATCGGGGTTGGAAAGCTAGGTTAAGTGAACTGATGTTTTACTAATCTATTTGGATTTTTACAGGTAAAAAGACCACGAACATTTAAATAAGATGAGTACATGATCAACTTTATGTATGTACATTCTGTTCACTATGAAAGACAGATGGAATAGCTGTGGGTAAGGGGATACAATATCGCAGACCAAAACACCAGTTGGAAATCTACGTAGTGATGCTGGTAACAAATGACAAGGCACTGAACAAAGGCAGTGGAAGTGACGATGGAGAGTAGAGGTCAATTTATGAGAATAACAAAGGTGGTGTGTGCTAAAAATTTGTTTAAATAATTTTTTAAAAATTAGAAAAAATGTAAAATAATATATGACTACATAAGACACATGAAGAAAAAGAAGGAAATAAGAATAACTTTGGCTGGGGGTGGTGGCTTACGTTTGTAATCCCAGCACTTTGGGAGGCTGAGGCAAGCAGATCACTTGAGGTCAGGAGTTTGAGACCAGCCTAGCCAACATGTTGAAACCGTGTCTCCTAAAAATGCAAAAATTAGCCAGGTGTGGTGGCATGCACCTGTATTCCCAGCTACTCAGGAGACTGAGCTGGGAGGATTGCTTGAACCTGGGAGGCAGAGGTTACAGTGAGCCAAGATTGTGCCATTGCAAGCCAGCCTGAGCAACAGAGTGAGACTCTGTACCCCACCCCCCACCCCCCCAAAAATAATAATTCTGTGGATACTAGCTTAAATTTATAGATGAATTAGAGTTCCATTAACTGATAACAGGGAATTTAGAAGAAGAACCAAAGTAAAGTGGAAGATGATGAGTTTCAGCTCAGGACATGTTGAATTTGAGGTACCCTCAAATATCTACATGGAGCAGCTGAGTATACCATTTCAGATTTCAATTATATTAAATGTAAATAAAACCAACACTGTATTAGGAGTGCTCTGTGAGATCAGGAGAAAAGTACAATCCTGGAGAAAAACAATGTATAAAAGTGTGCATGGAGAAAGAGGAGACAATTATGGAAATTGAGAAATTGTGAGAGAGTTAGGAAGAGAAACAAGAAAATGAAAACTGGGTGGTGACTGGCGCTGAAAGCTTTGAAGAGGTTACATAGGACAAATACTTCAGATAAATTCATTGGATGTGACAATCAGTGGACCATCACCATCATTCTAAGAGTGGCCATGATAGAGCCAGACAGAGGTGACTTATCCTTGAGGGAGACTGGACATTATTAATTAGTCAATATAATTCCTGCTGGTAGTCAGGTCAGTTTCCTGCAGAATATTAAGATTTCAACAAAATTTCTGGTGCTGTGTCAGGAAGTCGTGACTAAATGGCGATAATTAACCCAGGAAAAATAAAGGAACAATTTCAAAACAACACTTTATTAATCTCCACTTAGATTCAGCTCTTTCCCTCCCTCTACCTGTTCTTTCACTTAATAGTCATATTTTGGGAGTCTTTGTGAGGGAAAATGCCTCTTCTTTAACATAATTTCAAAGCCATACTAGCCCAGGGACAGAGCAAGTGAGAAGGTGGTATACAACTGCTCTGAGGCTAAAGAGATGGTACTTTTGAATCATAGGGCTCTTCGTAGAATTCAGAGTGTGACCTTCATCCTGAAGCATCTGCAGCTGTCTCTTTAATTCAGATTGGCTGTGAAATTTCCGAAGGAACTTACATGGTGAATGCAGTAGTACAAGGGGGTGATGGCCTTTGACTTCTCTCTTCCAAATCCAGATACCAGTTACCTCCCTTCACTTTCATCACCTTACCAGCGTTAGTGCTTTATGTAGGTTGGAGATTGCAGCTGCAATCATTCTTCAGCTTTCTTTGTACAGTTTGAGTAGGCTGAGTTCATTAGAAGAGCTCTCCCAGATGGGCTTTCATTTCAAACTCATCAGCTCTTGCTTTTATTCCCATTTTTCTAAAGTTCTTTTTGATCATCCGGCTCCAACTCCCATTTACGACCTGATTGTTGATCTGTTCAAGAGAAAGAGACAGGCCTCCAGCAAAAGGGAGGAAAAAAAAATGCTTTGGTGAGAGAAAGAAGAAAAACACACACACAGGGTGTTACACAAGGATGAAGTCCTCCTCACACCATTGTCCTTTGGAAGACAAAGCTGAAGAAAATAATTCTGGAAATAGAAAAAAATAGGAGGTGAGGTGGGGGAAAGTGTGTGATGGAAAAGCAAACATGGAAGTCATAAAAAAATTCTTATGATTATAATTCTCCATTTGAGAAGTGTCCTTGTGATTTATTTATATTTATTTATGTATTTATTTATTTTTGAGACGGAGTTTTGCTCTTGTTGCCAAGGCTGCAATGGCGCAATCTTGGCTTACTGCAACCACAGCCTCCTGGGTTCAAGTGATTCCCCTGCCTCAGCCTCCTGAGTAGCTGGGATTACAGGCATGCGCCACCACGCCCGGCTAATTTTGAATTTTTAACTAGAGATGGGGTTTCTCCCTGTTGGTCAAGCTGGTCTTGAACTCCTGATCTCAGGTGATCCTCCTGCCTCGGCCTCCCAAAGTGCTGGGATTACAGACGTGAGCCACTGCGCCCGGGCTCCTTGTGATTTATACGCATCCATCGTGATCTACTGGCTTCTTGTCATCTGGGAGAGGAGACCACTACATTTCCTTTGCCTGTGATAGATCTGTTTGATTATATCTCCTTCAGTTTGCAGCTACTGGAGTCCCCTATTTCACATTTGTTTCCACAAAATATATTTCAAAAATAAAGACTTCTGGCCAGGTGTGGTGGCTCATGCCTGTAATCCCAGCACTTTGGGAGGCCAAGGTGGGTGGATCACCTGAGGTCAAGAGTTTGAGACCAGCCTGACCAACATAGTGAAACCCCATCTTACCTAAAAATACAAAATTAGCCAGGTATGGTGGTGCATGCCTGTAACACCAGCTACTTGTGAGGCTGAGGCAGGAGAATTGCTTGAACCCAGGAGGCCGAGGTTGCAGTGGGCTGAGATCACACCATTGCACTCCAGCCTTGGCAGCAAGAGCAAAACTGTGTCTAAAAGAAAAAAAAAAAAAGACTTCTTTTGCTCTTCATATGCACCTGCCTTTATCTTTGTCTCTTTTACCTCTACCTCTACCAGGGAAGGCAAACCAGACAGTAGAGCCATTTTCTAATGGTAGTCCTGAAGACAGTCTCATTACTTACTTATTTACTCATGGGCTTACATACTTATTATGTGTTAACTTCGTTATAGCATACATGTTGTATCTATTAATTGTCATGTCTTGGCATAATTTGATCTGAATTATGTCTCAATGCATGTAATGTAATGATGAGTCATATTATAATGTGGTTCTGCTCCAATGATAACATTTACATAATGGCATATATGACAAGACTATAAAGTAAGGGGCTGGGTTTTCAAGTGAGCCTTGTGGAAAACAGTCTTCTAACTTTACAGCCATGCCTTATACATCAGAATGCTCATCCTAAGTGCATTGTGGATTGTGGTTTATTGCGAGCATTTCTTTCTCCCTACTGCTGGAATGAGATAAAGAATAAACCCTACATGGAAAAGACCATATTTTTTTTCCATCTAGAACTTAGCAATGCTTTTGGTATCTGTAATGATGCAGAAGTATCACAATTTTCTTCAAATAGCTGTGGAATTGTTTTTAATTGCATAGTGAGTGAAGTTTTTAACTACAAATCTGAGCCAGAATTCCAAGACTAATTTTACTGTTTCAAAGGTACAACCAAAGGCAGTTTTTTCTCTTTCCAAATGAGAGGTATTTTTCACAGAGAACAAAGGCTCATAGGGAGAATCAAAACAAAAGCAAAATTTAAAGTTGTTTCTCATCCTCTCTCAACTGTATACGGAGGAAAGAGGAGAATTTCTAGTTCAAAGGAGAGAAAAAAGTTGTAGATTCTTGCTAGTTTAGTGAGCGTATAATTGCCACTCAGTCACTGAGGAGACAGAATAGGCCTTGTTGTTGCAACCTGAGAGTCCTCAAAGCATAGGGTATGCTTCATCCAATTCAGGTGGAACTCCAATTCAGCCAGCAGATCTCAGGGGATCACAAAGCACAGCATGGGCCTCTATTTCAGCTATCCTAGAGAGACAGCCATGTATGAGTTCTGCCCTTTATGAAACTAAGTGGATCTGGTTGAAAGTGGTGAGACAATTAAGTCCTATGCTGCCTATGCACAGGTATCCCAAAAATCCTTTAAAAGTGTTCCAGAGATGGCATTAGAGCCTCAATTTACACCATTGCACTATAACCATGCTGCATCATCCTGCTCTTGATTTAAATTCTGTGGGCTAGAAGAGGCCAATTGCTAACCAGAGGGGACCAAGGGGCTATCAGATGCAAGACAGCTCAAGCCCCTAAAAGGGGGTTTCCCTGAAAATGCCTATTAATAAGCAAAGATTGGATTGAGCCACAATATCTGGGAGTTGCTGGATTGATCCCAAAAATGGGTTTTCTACATAATGAATGACCAAGATTTGAATTATGGAAGGATATGGAAATAAAAATGTATCAGGATCTTCCAGAGCTCACTGTGTACTCCAAATATATCCTGTTTAATAGTTACAACAATCTGAGGAAGTACCTACTACTCCTGTGTTGCAGAAGAAAAACCCTGAAGCTCTTCGAAAATATTGGACACATTAGATCCAGGCATTGCTCTATATGTTTTTTTAAAACCCTTTTAAACATTACGAGTGCCAAACAAGGTAGATACTATGATCATCTTCGTTTTATAGCTTAGGAAACACATGCACAGAGAGGATAAACAAATGTCCCAAAACCACAGAGCAAGTATGTGATGAAGCTAGAATTTAGAGCAGAAAATTGGCTTTGTAGCCTAAACCTATCGCCACCCCACCACGCTGCCTTTCTCTGCTAAGTAACTTGCCTAAAGCTACTAAACTACTGAACCCATAACTTTTCCACTTCACCACTTACAAAATAAGGAAGAATTTTGAGTTGAGATGTGATTAAGAAGAGAATGATTTATTTTTCTGACGTGATCCAGACTCTTGGAAAGATCCTAGAAGAGCTCTTTCCAATCACTAATAAATGTTCCTGGGATTGACTCTAACTCCAGCTGTGACTGGGATAGAAATCGGTTCTCTCCTGGTCTCAGTCTCAATACTTATCTCTTTTTAGAATTTGTGTCTTATTTTTTCCCATTTATTTCTTCTATGTGAATGTAGAGATGGCACAGTTGATGTGACAACAATAGGAATACAGATGGTGCCGGAAGGGAGTTTGTTGAGACACATTCAGGACTTAATTGGGTGGTCCTGTTTCTTTTCCATCCACTCTTCTCTTAACCTCTACCATCTGCATGGATATGCATCTGTGCTTCTTCAAAAAGATGATTCTGAAATGTAGTCATGCATGTATCATATATAACAATGCATATATGACTGGACAAGGTGTTCTTTAGTGATAGTAAGAGACAAAAAGCATGTCTATGGAGGCCTTTTCATTGCTCCAGAAATTGCGCAGCTTGTCTGGGTTTTGCCATTTGCCATGTGAACTTTTGCACTTTCAGGTGATGATCATTGTAATAAGTGGTAGCCTAATCACAGAAAGGGTGCTTTCACAGTAGAGCACATGTGAATAACTAATAAAAGTTGAGCATTTAGAGAAATACATGATTGATCTGAGAGTCTGGGTAATAATACATGTTTAGTGGGTTTCATCACACTGCAAAATATAAAGAGGTTAACTTTTTGAATGTGATTAGAGAAATCAATGTTTTTCCTTTAGTTATCTCTCTTATATGACTGTTTTCTTTTTATCTACTATCCTTTACAATGAGAGACTATGAATATAAGCATATATATTGCTTTGTTTTATGAAATGTTTCTATGTACGTCACCTCATTTGATTTAAAGAACTATGCTGAGAATGGTTCTAAGAGGTTGAACAGGTATCGTTAGCCCCATTTTACTTAAGAAGAAACTAAGATTCAGAAAAGTTAAAAGACTTATCTGTGTTCCAATAGTAAATAGGCTGCAAGGCCAGAACTAAAATGAGCCTCTTCAGGATCTAAACTGTTTGTTTTTTACACTAGCACTCCATCAGCAGTACACAGTACACAGATTTCTGAATCATGTGGTAATATATTTACATGAATTCAGTTCCTGTGGGTTTACCACCTCTGTGTTCTACTACCTCGGTGTTCTTACCCTGCCCTGAACATCCATTTCTACTTCTGTGTGTGCATGTAGCCATTTGTATATGAATGTGTGCAAAGAAGCAAGGGTGAGGGGAGATAATCTGATCATGTAGATGCTGTCATAGTGTTAACTGGTCTACAATTTGGTATGAATCCAGAGAAGTCAACCATTACCAAACTAAGATTAGGGTCTGGGTCAAGGGAATGAAGATGAGGAGAACAGACATGCACAAGAGCAAGAGAATGACACCAAGATAGCAGACAGGGGTCCAACCAGAGGTCAGGTGTGAAAAGAACTAAAGCTAGGAGCAAGGAAGGTAAGGAGCTGAAGCTTTTAGTTGCAGCAAAGGCTAACAGGGCTCCTGAGTGTCAGCAGTGAATTCCCACAGTTCTTTTTTTATTTCTAATTGAGTCTAATCTTAGAAAATGGTAATGAAGCAAAGATGCTTCAAAATGATTGATGATTTAAAATTCCTTAAATTTGGTTTTTAACTAACTTGGTATTTATTTTTTTGATGTGTTTGCATAGTTGTTGGAATTCATTATACTTAAAATAATGTTATAAAACCAGACTAAGGACTTCTGACTCAGGAGAATCTGGGATATTTTCATGCTTTATTCCATTCTCTGCTTAGAATTTTTCTGATTCCACATTTTAATGCTGGGAATATATAGCATCACTTCCCAGACCAATTATCTTTCCTTCTAGAGTGAAATGATTCTATGATAGTTTTGCTGATTCACTAAGGGTTTTATTTGTAGGATTGAAGTTACAAGGCAAACAGCATCAAAATAACATTCTTGAAGACATCCTTCCCATCCACATCTTGAATCTTTCCATATCTTACAAAAGAGGGAGATTCACAAATGTGAAAAATAATAAAGGTCAATGAAAAAGTTTTCTGATGAACAAAGACTAATTTTCTTAAAAAAAATCAATTTTTCTCCAAATGATTCTCCTTTACCTATCCTGGGTGTTATGAAATGATTACATCATTTTACGATTATGAAACTAAAGTAAAACAACAAAAGGGGCATGATTAACTACTAACTTATAATCATTAACTATCGACTTACAACCAGAGCCTCACTAGGCCTCATTGCTGTGCCTTTGTCATGAACTTTGCTGCTGACAATTAAGTAGGTATAAATTAAAAAGCATAAGCCTATGAAAACACACTACTGCACTTTAGATGTTTGTCCTATGCTTCTGGATGTGTAAACCAAGAGACAGACATCTATATCTGGGTATTTCAACCTCGATCCTGTCAACATTTTGGATAAGATACATCTTTGTGATTGGGGGCTGTCCACGGCATTGTAGGATGTTTAGCAACACCCCTGGCCTCTCCCTACTAGAAACCAATAGCAACACCCCCTCCCTAGTTGTGACAACCAAAAAATGTCTCCAGATATTGTCAGTGTCATCTAGGGGCACAGATTGCCTTCACTTGGGACCACTTATCTAACTGTTCTTTCTTAAGAAACAAATAGATTTCTCTTACCCATCCAGTTACACTGCTCCCAGCCTCTGCAATGTATAAATATGAGTATAGATAACTGGTGCGGATTACATAAAATATATTTATTTGTTATCAGTGAATAAATACCAGATTATACTCTTGAGAAAAGAAGGAAATTTATGCAAGGCTAAGTCTGGACAAATTTGAATCCTAAGTTGGTATGTTTTTTAACAGCCATTAATGCTTGTTAAATATGAAATGTGTCCAGCAGCAATTGAACAGGCTTAATATTTGGTAGATATGTATCAATTACATCATAGATATCTTGTCAGTACATATGCTATTAAGTAATCTGTTGGTACAAACTGATTTTAGCATTTCTTTTCTACCTCCAGTTATATTCATTTTTTAAGCAGTATAACCCCCACTCTTGTGCAATGTTACTAGAATTGTCAATGTACCTGTTTGTATAAGTCTGCATAATAGACTTGATGTAAAGTGTTTGAAGAAATTCAATGCTTAAGATTTGTATGGGTGCATTGATTTTTTGTGACAGTTTTATGGAATCAAATATACTAAACAGGGAAGATAAAAATTTGTGTGCTTACCTTTCCTAATTTTTTTAAGAGATGATTTTTTAAAAATCATAGATTTGCAGTTCCAGTAGGTAACCCATCTAATATTTGAGGGTTCATGATTAACGTGAGCAACCTCCTAATCACTTATTTAGGATGTTATACTTTTTTTTCACAGTTTTTCACATGCAATATAGATCATTTAGTTCCTAGAGATGATATTTCTTCATAGTGGACACAGGAACACATTTTTTCTCTCCTTTACTTTCATTTTAATACCACACTCAATAATTCTCTTTAAATTTCCCTTTATACCTAATAACTTTAATTATTTCTTAAGAAATATTAAAATAGTTATCCATCTTTACTGTACCTATTAGATAATTAATGAATATTTTATAATTGACCTAATGCAATTTGTTAAATTAAATTCAGCTTGTTTATTCCACATTTCAGCAAGTATCTACTATGCACATGGTATTTATGCACATGGTATTTAGGCTCAGTGAGGGCTCCAGAGGTGAATTACAAGAAGGTCACTGTCTTAATAAGCTTATGAGAAAAGATGAGTGCAAATAACTCTAATGCAATGTGGAGTATGATAAGGTCATAAAAAGGAAGTTTTAAGAAGGTTACACTGACGAGAGAAGATTTTCTGAAGAGGTGGCACTTTATAGCATACGTCCATGTCCTCAGCTGCCTTCCATAAAACCCACCCAAAGCGGAAGGATATTCTCTGATCCTCTCCTCGTGGCACTAACACCCATTGTCATTAGGGTCCGGTTCTTTCTAAACCTGGGAATTATTTGCAACATCATGTGTTCCTCAAGACAACATTCTATTAAAACAACACATAACACTAACAGGTTTTTGAAATACATCTTTTTATCTTCCTGCTTTAGCCCAGGTTGATTCTAGAGATAAAATTGTTGCGGGAAGTCAGGGACCCCAAACGGAGGGACCGGCTGAAGCCATGACAGAAGAACGTGGATTGTGAAGATTTTATGGACATTTATTAGTTCCCCAAATTAATACTTTTGTAATTTCTTATGCCTGTCTTTACTGCAATCTCTAAACATAAATTGCGAAGAGTTCATGGACACTTCTCACTTCCCCAATCAATACCCTTGTGATTTCCTATGCCTGTCTTTACTTTAGTCTCTTAGTCCTGTCAGCCGAGAAGGATGTATGTCACCTCAGGACCCTGTAATAATTGCATTAACTGCACAAATTGTACAGCATGTGTGTTTGAGCAATATGAAATGTGGGCACCTTGAAAAAAGAACAGGATAACAGCAATTGTTCAGGGAATATGAGAGATAACCTTAAACTCTGGCCGCCGGTGAGCCGGGCAGAACAGAGCCATATTTCTCTTCTTTCAAAAGCAAATGGGAGAAATATCACTGAATTCTTTTTCTCAGCATGGAACGTCCCTGAGAAAGAGAATGCGCACCTGGGGGTAGGTCTCTGAACTGGCCCCCCAGGGGCGTACCTGTCTCTTATGGTCGAGATTGCAGAGGTGAGATAGTCTCCAGTCTCCCATAGCGCTCCCAGGCTTATTAGGAAGAGGAAATTCCCACCTAATAAATTTTGGTCAGACGGTTGATCTCAAAACCCCGTCTCCTGATAAGATGTTATCAATGACAATGGTGCCCGAAACTTCATTAGCAATTTTAATTTCACATCGGTCCTGTGGTCCTGTGATCTCGCCCTGCCTCCACTTGCCTTATGATATTCTATTACTCTGTTAAGTACTTGATGTCTGTCACCCACACCTATTCACACATTCCCTCCCCTTTTGAAAATCCCTAATAAAAACTTGCTGGTTTTTGTGGCTTGTGGGGCATCACGGATCCTACCAACGTGTGATGTCTCCCCTGGACACCCAGCTTTAAAATTTCTCTCTTTTGTACTCTGTCCTTTTATTTCTCAAGCCAGCCGACGCTTAGGAAAATAGAAAAGAACCTACGTGATTTTCCGGGGCAGGTCCCCCGAAACAAAATCATTAAGTATAAAGTTTAGAACTAAATTGCAGCAACATTCTAGGTAGGTGATAATTCATTATTATCATATTATAATGGCATGGCCCGAGAATTCTCATTTACTCCACAAGCCTGCCTAATGCACAGTTGAGCCAGCAGACCTCAGAGATGCAAGCCCATGATGCTTATTGGTGATTCAGTGAATGCTGGGAACCTGGGTCTGTATTTATATCAGCATTTCTTATTTCCAGATAGCCAGGTGGTCTGTCAGTACACTGTATGACTAGTTATTATCTCTTAATAAACGTAGACCTCTACAAATTGAAACTACTGATTCTGGTTTACTATATTTTCTTTTCTTTCTCTTTCTTTTTTTTTTTTTTTAGACAAGGTCTCACTCTGGCCAGGCTGGAGTGCAGTGATGTGATCATAGCTCACTGTAGCCTTGAACTCCTGAGTTCAAGTGATTTTCCTGCCTCCAGCCTCCCAAAGAGCTGGGATTACAGGCATGCGCCACCGTGCCTGGTCCTACCATTTTTTTTCATGTGTACTTTTTATGATTAAAAAAAATAGGTGCCACCTTAAATTAAGATTCTAAAATTAAGAAAATATTTAGTTCTGAAATTGCATTATTCCTTTACTCATTTTTTATTAAGAAAGTTTTAGTCACATTGTAGAAGGATTATTTTCCAGTTTATAGAGCTAATAGATTTATTTTGCAACTACTGAGTACATAAAAAGGAACCCTGAAAGATCTGGAGAAGTGGTTTCCTTTTTATTTTATTTTTATTTATTTATTTTTTTTCCATTGAGATATATTTATTTTAAACAAATTTCTCCTTGAAATGGTTTCCTTTTTAAAAACACTATACTGTATTGTGTTCTGGTGCTTGGAGTTTGGCTAACCATCTGAGTTAGGAAAAAGTATGTGTATTCTAGGCCGGGCACGGTGGCTCACGCCTGTAATCCCAGCACTTTGGGAGACCGAGGTGGGCGGATCACGAGGTCAGGAGATTGAGACCATCCTGGCTAACACGCTGAAACCCCGTCTCTGCTAAAAATACAAAAAATTAGGCGGGCGTGGTGGCAGGCGCCTGTAGTGCCAGCTACTCGGGAGGCAGAGGCAGGAGAATGGCGTGAACCTGGGAGGCAGAGCTTGCAGTGAGCTGAGATTGCACCACTGCACTCTAGCCTGGGCGACGGAGCGAGACTCCATCTCAAAAACAAAACAAAACAAAAAAAAGTATATGTGTATTCTAATATACTATTCACTTGTTTGTCAGTAAAAGACGAATTTTAAAAATAAATACGGATAAAACCCAGATCAAAAACAAGGTGCTATGTAAATTGTCATAACAAAATTTCCACATAATACATTGTTTCATTAGATGCACTTTTATGCATCTGGCAATTTTGCTGAAATGGTCAATTACTTCTTTAGGTAAGATAGAGCTGAACACCCTCAAAGAATAATTTGGAATAATGATCCGTATGACTTTAACTTTTCCATGAATGAAATTTGCTAAAATGTCAAAGGACCATAAAGACCCGACTTATAAACTTTACCTTATATTGTTAAGGAAATCTGTCCAATTTATTTGTGGGTGCTATAGGACTTGGGATGGGGACGTGGAATATAGGTTACCAAATGTCCTGTATCTGCATGTGTGACCCAGTTAGTTCACAGGACAGGCATTTATCAAATGCCTGTTTTATCCTAGATTAGTTATTGGTGGTATCCAAATGAATAAGGTAAAAATTTGCTGTTTTTATTGGATTCACAGGCCATATTTAGGTAAGCTATATTACGTGGTATTTTTTCTTTTAAAGTGAAGAGATTGGAGCCATATTTGGTGCTAAGAGGCATTCAGAATACATCTATAATGTAGCAAATCTGACCATTCTTGTGTTACGCTGTGCAGGTGAGAAACATGCACAGGGAAAAATGATAGAAGATTTAAAACACATTTACACAGGTAAATTTCTATCCTTCTTACTAGAATAGAAAAAACATGGTAAATCTACATTCAACAATTTCATAATGGTCTAGAGTAAGACACCAAACATCCTATTAATTAATTCATCAATGATTTTAAATTCAGAGATGCGGCAAACATCACCAAGAACAGAGAAATGATGCCACAAGAGAGGAGAACAGCAAAAGTAAAACTGAGTCTGGAATGAGGCAGCAAGCATTCATGAAGTTAGCTTGGTGCTCATGATAAAAGGCCTCTAAATTATTAAACACATAAATTATACTCAATAATATATGCATGGCAGAGAAGCACATACTGGGAAATGGAGATGTTAAATGATACCTAAATCTAGTTATGTTTATGAAAACAAATAGGTAAAGAAGAAAAGTAAGACCTGTGTATCTTGGCACCCAACTTATTAAGTCAAATTCTTACTCTAGGGTCAGGCATGGTGGCTCATGACTATAATCCCAGTGCTTAGGGAGGCCAAGTTGGGAAGATCACTTGAGGCTAGCCTGGACAACACAGCAAGACCCCATCTCTAATTTTTTTTTTAAATTAGCTAGTCCTGGTGGCATGCACCTATCATCCTAGCTACTTAGGAGGCTGAGGCAGGAGGATTGCTTGAGCTCAGTAGTTTGAGGCTGCAGTGAGCTATGATCAGGCCACTGCTCCCCAGTCTTGGTGACCGAACAAGATCTGTCTCAAAAAAAAAAAAAAAAATCTCCCTCTAAATAACATATACAATTCGTTTAAAATTAATAGGATAAGGAGGTCTTTGTATTATACCATAAATGGAGTATTTAAAAAGACTTAGCTGTTATCTTTCTTGTAAGAGACACAGTTGGCCTTTATATTCCATGTGGGACAGCCTATGGGTTATGCATCAATTTTCTGTCTATGTTTAGTTGTTTTGACCTGAGATAAAAACTGGATTTTACTTGGCTTAGAAAATACAGGGGAACAGGGTGTCTTAATAGTCCTGCTGTGGTGCTCGTGGCTCTTTCTGTTCATTCCCTCCTGCTCCAGAGTGTTGAGCAGCTGGCTTTGCAGCTGTGAACAGGGTTTGGGACATCTCCCTATGGGGCAGACATAAATCTTGCCACAGGGATGCAGACAGAAGGTTTTTTTGTTTTTGTTTTCTGCTAGATTTTTCCATTGCAAGACTCTTGCTGGAACTGAAGGAGAAAACCATACTCACCAAAAAGTATTTACCCCTCCTTCACTAATGCATGTTCTTTGCCCCTTTCAAATTTCAGAAAGAGACCCTTTTAAGTTTTTTAAAGCAGTAATTCAATTAAGCGTTATTCCTTTACCCTTTTTGATCTATTGGTCTATAAACTACAAAATTGGCTTCTTCATCTTTGTTAAAGATTGCCTGCATTTAGTGTGACTAGAAATGCTGGTAGCAACCTAACTTGCCACCAAACAAGCTTCTGCCTTCAGCAGCTGGAACCAAACTTATGCCAGATGATGTTTGCTTTGATTTCCTTGTCATAACACCTATCCCCTTATGCTTGGATCTGCTCACACAATTTTTACTCCTGGAAGTGGCATCCCAAACTTGTAAAGATTAGAAGTAAACTCAGAAGTCTAGTCTAATTCCTATAATGGTGGAGTATAACTTTAATCTATCATTACACAATACTATAGGAAATACTTATAAAAGAGTAAACACAGTTCAAGATGGAGTAAAAGTGCTATGATATCAATTGTATAATTCTCAAAATTACTTAAACAGACGGAGTTCTGAGTGAGTGGCCTTTTCCTAAACAAGAAGAAGATAATGGGAAGTCAATACTAATTTAACTTTGCCTTCATTACTCATACTCAGATTGTTTATTGCTGAACTGAGTCTAATATAATGACATCCATCCACTGGATGGTAATTAGATCTTAAATGAAATAGTGAAAATTCTAAGGACTCCAAGAATGGCATGGCAATAATTCATTCTGCATATAATTATTTTCCTTGTTTAGACTTGTTGAGTCTGATCACCTAGAGAAGAAACGCAGAAATAGTTGTTGTTAAGGCACTAATATTGTTACTCTGCTCTGTCAGGTGCGTTGTAGAAGACAAGAACTCAAAGGTGGCCTGGTTGAACCGTTCTGGCATCATTTTTGCTGGACATGACAAGTGGTCTCTGGACCCACGGGTTGAGCTGGAGAAACGCCATTCTCTGGAATACAGCCTCCGAATCCAGAAGGTGGATGTCTATGATGAGGGTTCCTACACTTGCTCAGTTCAGACACAGCATGAGCCCAAGACCTCCCAAGTTTACTTGATCGTACAAGGTAAGGAAAGTGTGGGATAGAAGGGTGGTAAGAAAGAGGTGGGAGTTGCAGAATAATAATGTACAAAATATTTGCAGAATCCTTCCTGAAAAGAAATATTCCCAAAGATATTATTGGACTTAAGTATCGATTTTCTGTCTAAAAAGACACTTAAAATGAGAGGACCCAAAACAATATAGAGAGTGTACTCCTGTTACTGAGAGCCAGTAACATTGGTGAGAATGTTTTCACCTAGCCCTGAGTGTGAAAACACACGGCAAAAGCCACAGCTGTTGGAACAATGTAAATCAGGGATACCAGAACACACAGAATGCCTAGGGCCATATGAAGTACACTTTTCCACCCTGTTAGGTACCAGATGCTTTGCTGAGTTTAAGAAAGTTTGGGTTTATCTGTCCTCACCCTGAAGATTAGCACTAATTATCTTTTTTGTGATAGCAAAGTTCTTCTGAAAAAATAAAATTTTCCAGAGGACTTTTTATTTTTTCAGCTGTTCAGGTTTCTATGTAGTTTGTATCTCTACTTAATGACAAGTTACTGGTGATGAAATCCAGTGACAAAGATCTGCAAAGTAATTGGGGACAATTTGCTTCTAGATTGGGGGATCTAAGGGCACATCTGAGTCATCGTTTTACAGGATAAAAACCTTAAATGGCACTCACATACCCCCAAACTGTTGCTCAATTGGGTTTCTTTCGCCATAATTGCAGAATGAGAACAAAGCTGATCAGCTGCACAATTTTATTGCAAGTGAAGCCCAACCACCAGCAGTTTCAATGTATCTATCAGGAAAGATCTAAGCACTAACAAACATTAGGGCTGTGTTCATGTATTCTTGATTTATAATTCTATGTAAATTTAATGCAAATTAGGCATGGCCCTAGGGCTCCTGTCAAGGTTCCAATGCAGTCAGTGGTGTGGAAAAGTTTAACTGTAGCTTCTATTAATGTGTTATGGAATTGATTATTGTAGTGTTTAAATTATTGCTCTCCCAACTCCTCTGATTAATAGATTGAAACTGGAATAAAATACATCAGAGACTGCCTGGTGCAGGGGTGCTTTAGTCGTGTGGCCTCTATTTTGGTCCATTTGCAATGGCTGACAGCTTCATTTTATTGCTTGTAAAGGCATGTCTACTAGCTTGCAAAGTTCCAATCACAGTCAAAGCATAGGATGTTTTTCTTGTAGCTTAGTAGAGCGTACTTAAGCTCCATTACAAGAAAGACACCAGGGTATGGATCTTAGGCAACCTATTTAAATTTGTAAACATAACTAGAAATATGTAAATATGCCAATGGGTTAATTTACCAACTCCCTCAAAACAAATACAAGCACACATTTATTCACAAACACACACACACACACACATCAAAACATAAGAAAAAATTCTACTAAATTCAATGGCAGAAGGAGGAGAGATAACTAGTTTACTTAGGATCACTTAGAACAGATTTTACCTACTGACCAGTTATTCAGATTATCTCGTGATTTTTCTTCTTTGATTTCTGATGTAAGATTGTTTATTCATATATTTCTTTATAATGGGTTATGCTTGAAAAAAACTGATTGATTATATTGTGATATTTCTACACAATTTTAGTAGCTTTATGGACTTTGATGTCACTAAAAAGCCACTAGAGACCGTAACTAGAAATTGTGTATTATCCTATACTGAATAAATTTGACAATCTGAGCACTATATCCCTTGGTTTCTAGATGAGCAAATAGAAGTTCATTAAATTTAGGTTACTTGCTCAAAGTCACAAGACAGTTCAGGGAATAGTTGAGTGCCAAGCAGATCTGTAAATCTAAAGCACTTTCCACTGGAATGGAGTTTTTTGGTTTTTTTTGGTTTTTTTTTTTTTTTTGCCATGATTTTAAAGACTAATTTAAGGATTCATAGTTAAGAATTTATATTTAAGTCTGAGCTCTTAGCACCAAATGCCCAATGTTCCTCTTTTTTTTTTCTTATTTACCTTTGTACTCTTAAGCTACAAACATGACCATCTCACAAGGGTTAGAACTAAAATTATGTTAGATACTGCATGTACCTTCCTGACATGGCAGTGCAAATGAAATTAAATTTAACTTAAGGGATGGAGAAGTGCCAAGTCCTGTTTATCTACTATCTCATTTAATTCTAATAATATTACTTTTAGGTAGATGTTTCTCACTTTATTTTATATATATGCAAAAGCTTGAAGTTCAGAGACAGGAAGGAGTCTGCCAAAGGCTTTCTGTAGGCTTAGGACAGGGTTTCAAACCCATGTTTGTCTGATTCAGGATACTATTGTATTTGTTTTGACAGAAAAAAATCAACAACAAAGCTTGTACTTACAAGGGGGATAAAGAAAGCATGGTATCCTCCTTGAGCCTGAGTCGCCAAGGGGAATTTTTGGACAATTACGTACATATTAGATAATTTGATCTCAAGCACCAGATGGCTGAATCACTTCCCCTTGGGGCATTCAGCCTTGTGCCCCTCAGAGGTTCCATCCATTCACACTGTTCCCATTTATTTCTATTCCATTCTTCAGCTCTCTATTGTTTTCACCACATCAAAGATACTAACTCTAGGAATGGCTGACATCTCCCTTTTTCCTAACCTCACAGCACCTTTCTTTAGACTCTAAGACACTTTTGATTTTTTATGTCCTGCCATGATCATCCGCCATGGTTTCTGCAAATTCAGTTCAACTAATCATTATGTAAATACTGTATTCCTTTTCCTTACACAATGGTGAGGCCAACCTGAGCTCAAAGGTGCTATGAGATATCACCAAAGAATAGCAGTTTAGAAGGTGGGCTCTGCAGAGTTGCATTGCTTGATTCAAATCTGTTTTCATTCTTGCTGTTTAAATACACTTTGGGGGTAAACCACTTAATTTCTCTAAGGCTCAGTTTTGTCATATGAAAAATATACATAAAACTAATATTTTAAGTCCTCCTAAATTTATTGTAAGGATTAGATGATCTATGTAAACCTCTAGTCCAGTGTCTGGAGATCATGTTTTCTCACCCAGTAGGTTGATGATGATGTTGATAACAATGCTGTTGATGATGATGACAAATACCATGATGTTGCTGGTGCTCCAGTATTTCCATAAAACTCACTCCTGTCCTAAGGTGCTACCCAGAATCTAACAGACGCTTTCACTCGTTGCCTATTATCTTTGCAGTAG
The DNA here is from genome assembly GCF_000001405.40 of Homo sapiens. NCBI lineage: Eukaryota > Metazoa > Chordata > Mammalia > Primates > Hominidae > Homo > Homo sapiens. The sequence continues at coordinate 116,083,141 of NC_000003.12, read as the reverse complement.
GCTCCTTCCGTTTTTATTTTGGGTCCCTCTAGCCCATTTTTTTCAGCTGTCCTTTTCCTTAACATCTAGTCTTCAGCTTTACTTCCTTAGGATTCTAGAGAGCTTCTTTTTTAAAAAAATTATTTTAGGTTTGGAGGTACATAGCTAAACACGTCAGAGGGGTTTGTTGTACATAGGGTTACATCACTCAGGTATTAAGCTTAGTACCCAGTAGTTATCTTTGCTTATCCTCTCTCTCCTCCCACCCTCCACCCTCAAATAAACCCCAGTGTCTGTTGTTTCCTTCTTTGTGTTCATAAGTTCTTATCATTTATCTCCCACTTATAAGTGAGAACCTGTGGTATTTGGTTTTCTGTTCCTGCATTAGTTTACTAGGGATGATAGCCTACAGCCCCACCTACGTTCCTGCAAAAGACATGATCTTGTTCTTTTTTATGGCTGCATAATATTTCATGGTGTATATATACCACATTTTCTTTATCCAGTCTGTCATTGATAGGCACTTAGGTTGATTCCATGTTTTTGCTATTCTGAACAGTGCCGCAACGAACATTTGCAGAATTCTACCATAGAGAGCTTCTTAAACTAGCATTTCTAGATGTGATTCTTGTATAGGCTGAAGCAAAGTCAACATTTTGGCTTACTATGCTTGTCAAAATGCAGATTCCAGAGAACCACATCCAGAACAATGGAATCAGAATTTATAAAAATGGGAACTAAACTTCTGAATCATTGTGCTCTGCAGGTGATTCAGATGCACACACACAAAAATCAAGAGCTACTACTCTAAGGATCTAAGCAATCAGAGAGGGATTTACTCTCCCTGCTTGTTCGTTTTCTTGTATGACATTGAATCAAATTATATATAAAACTCTACAGAGCAGGTACTAGAGCCTTATAATAGTAAATCATATAAAATATCTGTAGACTCATCAAAAACATAGATTAATCTCATGTGCTTGAGCCCTGGGAATACTGGCTCCAAAAACTAGGGTATTTGTTTTAAATGTTACATTAAAAACCTTCATGTGTGTATGAATACAAAGGAAATCCTCACATGACAACATTTTTAAAACGAGAATCTTATTTTTAAATATCCCATTCACCATATTTTACAACGCATCTTTTATCATATTTTCAATTTACGTACTGCCTAATTGTTAAGTTGGTACCAATAATAGAGTGGTCATTTTTATGTTGAATCTTTTGCTCCCATTTTTATGCTATTCTTATTTGGCTAATGTTGTTTTCAAAATGGCCTAATCTGCAAATACTAAAATTGGAGATAATTTTTTTTAACATTTTGAAGTTTTAAAATGTATTTCTAAATAAAGATTTAAATTTCACTATCGTACTAAATAGAATCCCATACATTTTTCTCAGCACTGTGATTCAAATCACACACATGGCTTGTCGGACTTTATCCATTAGTTGCCAGGATTGCATAATTATGTTATATAAAATAATATAATTGTGAAAAAATATGAGAGTGGGACTCCTTATAAGACCAACATGTTTGGTGTGTGTTTTTAAAATCTCCACATTTAAAAAGCCTCATTTCCTATATCTCATTAATCCTAGAATATATATAAATCTAAAATGGCTTAAAATTATAATGTCTCTAGATGCCCTTTAAATTTAATAATTGAAAACTTAAATATTAGGAAACCCAACCTCTTTTTTTTTTTTGAGACAGAGTCTTGCTCTGTCGCCAGGCTGGAGTGCAGTGGCACCGTCTTGGCTCACTGCAACCTCTGCTTCCCAGGTTCAAGCAATTCTCCTGCCTCAGCCTCCCAAGTAGCTGGGACTACAGGCGCGTGCCATCATGCCTGCCTAATTTTTAGTAGAGATGAGGTTTCATCATGTTGGCCAGGATGGTCTCCATCTCTTGACCTTGTGATCCACCCGCCTCAGCCTCCCAAAGTGCTGGGAATACAGGCATGAGCCACCTCGCCGGCCCCCAATTTACATTTTTAGTGATTAGTCTAGAGCTTATTGTTTCTAGGATTTAAATTTTTAGAAGCAAGTTTTGCAATTCTGTTAACCATTCCAAATGCTGACCAAAATCTGTTACCCAGAACTCCAAGACGGTATCTCATTTTTCTCTCAGAATCGCTCTCCTTTCCTTCTGTTACTTTCTTCTTTCTTCCTTCACTCCCATCCTTCTTCCTTCCCTTTCTTAATAAACTCATGTTGCATTGATTATTCTTTCAACAATTATACATTGCCTATAAAATTTTATTCAAAAGTTTAGCCTATAGCTCCTTTTTAAATTTTAAGGCATTCTAATAAAATAAGAATTGGAAGTTAGATTTGTTCTTAGTGTGAATTTTGTTGATTATTGAGAATCTTAGTGATTAACTGGAATTTTCTCATTTGAATTTTATATGCTGAAGTCTACTAATTTTTCTACTCTTCAGCTTAATTTTTCAGACAATAGCCTCTTGATTGGCTGTTAATAGGTCAGGTTCAGACTTGAAAGACTTCACTATTCACATCAGCAACCAGACAGCTAATGAAAGGGAAGAACTGAAACTTTTTAGTTAAGATGGTTAGCAATATTGCCTCATGCAGTTTTAACCTGATATTCTTCCCTGTAGAAAGGATTTCAAGTTTTATCTAAACCAATCCCATCCAAGCATAATTAATTACTATCTCCAAACCCTTTTTATATACCTGTAGTCCATCTTTTAGTTATTAAATTATATAACCTATATACATCCACATACTTTCTAATCTAAACTGCTTTTGTCCTTCCTTCTTCAAAGGAGAGAAAATAAGGGAAAAGAGAAAAAGTTATCTTAGTACCAATAGTGGCACAAGAGTTGGCTCAGTATGAAAATATAGACTTCATGAAAGAAAAAGAAAGTTACTTGAAGACAGAGATTAACTAATATTCACCTATACTTAAATCTTGAATCATTGAATCTATGAAGATTTTAATGCCTTATGGGGAGAATTTTGAGAGTTATTAGGAAGATGTGGAGGTAGAGATTTATTTCTTATTGTATCTGCCTCTGCTAAATATTGTAACTACATCCGGTCTATGGCAAGTTATTTTTACTTGGATTTACGCAATATCATATGTGGCTATTCACACATGATCTGGTTGTTACACAGATATTTAATCTTAGGTATTAAAATAAGGATATCTACCCTTTCAAATATGTTTAAATAGTACCATAAGCCACTATAAATTATCATTAACTGTAGCATTTGTGTTTTCTACACATTACCTTAAAAATGTACTCTTAAAAATATTAAAGGCAATTTTTTGAATTTATGTATTTAAAAAGTCAAGAAAGATGGCATATATATATTTAATATATAGTTATTTCTATTGTTTTCAGTTTGCTACAAATAGGCAACTTTTTTTTTGACAAAACTCTTCTGTATGACATGGGTTGTCTTTATAATGTTTCCAGTCCTAGGTCTGCCTGAGTGAAAAACAATTTAAGTATACAAAATACAATAAGGCTTCTTTCATTCTTTTTTTTTTTTTTTTTTTTTGAGACAGAGTCTCACTCTGCTGCCCAGGCTGGAGCGCAGTGGCCTGATTCTCCAGGGTTCCAGTGATTCTCCTGCCTCAGCCTCCCGAGTAGCTGGGACTACAGGCGTGCGCCACCATGCCCAGCTAATTTTCGTATTTTTAGTAGAGACAGGGGTTTCACTATGTTTGCCAGTGACCAACTACTGACCTCGTGATCTGCCTGCCTCGGCCTCCCATTGTGCTGGGATTACAGGCGTAAGCCACCGCACTTAGCCAGCTTCTTTCATTCTTATTAGTTAAAAAGCTATTAGACAGGCTGAAGTGTTGTGGAAGAGCAGCCCAATCTGTACCAAGGCCTGAAGAAGAAAGGATTCTGAGTGAGGAGGCATCTCCGAAGGGCCAGGCCCACCCAAGAGAGCAGCTGAAGGGAAAAACATCTGGGAAAGTTGGGACCTTGGCTACATTGAAGAGAATTGAGGAAGTAAATAAAAATATTGCGGATAATGATAAAAAGTTTCTTATTGTTGGAGAAGATAGTATAAATGTGGACAGGGAGAAAGCTAAAATGAACCTTGTGATGTTGGATGAAATTGAAGTTATTAATGATTATTAATAAGTTTTAATAGAAGAGAGAGAGAATTGTGTACATATATTTCCTAACCCTGCCCTTCCCCACTAAGAGGCCCTGGAGCACAGACACCCCAGTAGCAATTCATATACCTAATACTTAGCATCTTCATGTTGGTTTTAAAATATAACTATTCACTAAAAGGAAGGGTTACTTGGAGAAACAGCTGGTACCAGGACTGGGGCAAGGAAGGAACAATATAACTTGGAGCATCTCTTGGGCCAGGAAGTAAGAATGTACTCAAAAAAATGACGAGTCATGCCAAAAGTACACGGAAGCCAGCTTGAGAGAGACTTTCACGAGCCAAGTATAGGACAATTTGGGTATTGAAAGAAATAATTACAATATATTACAATTCTGATATAAATTAGGCACTATTTATTAAGTAAAGAGGATAGGGCCGGGTGCAGTGGCTCACGCCTGTAATCCCAGCACTCTGGGAGGCCGAGGCGGGTGGATCACAAGGTCAGGAGATCAAGACCATCCTGGCTAACACGGTGAAACCCCATCTCTACTAAAAATACAAAAAACTTAGCTGGGTGTTGGTGGCGGGCACCTGTAGTCCCAGCTACTCGGGAGGCTGAGGCAGGATAATGGAGTGAACCCGGGAGGCGGAGCTTGCAGTGAGCCCAGATCAGGCCACTGCGCTCCAGCCTGGGCAACAGAGCGAGACTCCTTCTCAAAAAAAATAAATAAATAAAATAAAATAAAATAAAGTAAAATAAATAAATAAATAAATAAATAAAGAGGATATAAAGCCCTTTTGTATTATAGAATGCTAACTAATAGAAGGAATGATGGAATTTTAAAAATATTATTTGGCAACCATCACAGAAATAATTAATTCCAGCAAGAAATATCAATGGATACTAAAACTTGCAAGTGGAAATGAAATAAGGAATAATGTTAAAGTAGCTGCCCACAAATATTTGTTAAATACGAAGAGAGAAAAGACTAATTAAAAAAGTAGTACAACCTAACTGACACAATATTAATCAAGTGATCAAAGTTAACACTACTAGTAACGGGACAAATTGGCATCATTTGCCAAAAGATAAGAGGCAATGAGCTAAACACACATCACTTCTGTGAAATATTTCCTAGAACCTGAGTCTAATAATAGGACGACATTGGGCACACACAAATTAAAGGACATTCTATAGAAAGACTGGCCTCTAATCTTCATAAATGTCTAGGTTATAAAAGTCAAGAGAGACTGAAGAACTGCCCAAGAGTGAAGGAGATAAGAGAGAAATGACAACTGGGTATACTATGTGACCTTTTTCTAGACAAGGCATGACGCAGCAATTGACAAAACTTAAGTAGAGTCTGGGTGAAGGATACATGGGAACTATTTGTATTATTCTTATAACTTTTCATTAAACTTGAAATTATTTCAAAGTGAAAGTGAAATACAATAATACTGAAGGCAATAATACTTAAGGCAGATATTAAGATTAAAACCTGTGAATAAAGTAAAAAATTATATTAAATATTAAATACAGCATAATTAAGCAGGTTTTTTCAAGCATAATCCATTATAAAGAAATGTATGAATAAAATATACTTCATTACAAAGTCAACAGACAAAAATCATGAGATAATCCCATGAGGAACAAAATACATAGGATATAGTTTAACTTCTATTCTTGATGTATTTAAAATACTCTGGAATTTAGTGAGCTAAGTATAGATGATTTATTTCTTAACATGAAAAAGATGGGTAATTAAAGTCAGGACTAATGCAAGCATACCAACAATCATTATTATTACGTAACATTAGTTTAGGGGCTATAGTCAATGCAATGAAACAAGATAATAAAATACAATGGTTTAAATATGGGAAAGGAGGAAATAAATTTATCAATATTTCCAGCTAATATGATTAACTAGAAAAACACTTATAAATTAATAAGCAAATATATTAACAATATTTAACAATACAAATATATTAACAATACTAACAAATATATTAATTTGTATTAATATACAGTATATTAAGAATACTAACAATAGTTTGGTAACTTGTGCATTTATCTGAAGAAATATATTAAATCAATAGTTTCTATATATAGTTATAACAAACACATAAAATATACTAAAAATGGTCATTCACAAAGCTGCAAAAATATAAGAACATTTAAGAATAAATTAAATAAACAATGGAGAGAACATAAATGCAAAAATTGAAAGGATGAAAGAACTGGCTTTTTTGTTTGTTTGCTTGTTTGGGTATTTTTTGCTGTTGTTTTACAATAGAACGAAATAATTCTTGAATGGCAACACAAATATCATTAAAGATGTAAAGATGTTTAAAATGAAAATATAATGATCCCCAAGGTAAATTGAATTTTTTATGTATCTAAAAATTACTTTGGAGCTTTTGAAACTGAAATTACACCAAATTTATCAAATTAATTATGAAGAATGGACAGGCATAAATAACCAACTTTAAAAAATAATTATTGGCCGGGTGTGGTGGCTCATGCCTGTAATCCCAGCACTTTGGGAGGCTGAGGTGGGCAGATCATGAGGTCATGAGATTGAGACCATCCTGGCTAACACAGTGAAACCCCATCTCTACTAAAAATACAAAAAATTAGCTGGGCGTGGTGGCGGGCTCCTATAGTCCCAGCTACTCGGGAGGCTGAGGCAGGAGAATGGTGTGAACCCGGGAGGTGGAGGTTGCAGTGAGCCAAGACCGCGCCACTGCACTCCAGCCTGGGTGACAGAGCGAGACTCCGTCTCAAATTAAAAAAAAAAAAGTTATTATTTTATTGGGAAGAAAGACTTCTACAGCTAGAAAACTACATCTGCAAAACATATTTAAAAACCATCAAGTCAGTGGATCTAAATGAAAGGCTCAAAAGTCTACCACATATGGTCATGTCACATATGATGCAGGTTTAACATAACGGAGAAAGTGTCATTATTCAACAAATGGTTTTGAATGAATTAATTTTTTAAAAAATTGTATTTTTACTAAACAGCCATGTATGAAAATTAACACCAGATCTCTTAAAGATTTAAAAGTAAAAAGTAAAGAAAAAGACTAGAAAGAATTATCAATAAATGTCTCTCCAATGGAGTGTGGAAGGCTGTCTTAGCATAAAAGTAAATGAAAGGTATAGAAAACAAATTTGGCTAAACATATGTAAATATATAAAATTAAAAGACTCTAGAGGCTGGACACGGTGGCTCACACTTGTAATCCCAACACTTTGGGAGGCTGAGGTGAGCGGATCACCTGAGGTCAGGAGTTCGAGACCAGCCTGGCCAACATGGTGAAACCCCATCTCTACTAAAAATACAAAAATTAGCCGGGTGTGGTGGCGTGGGCCTGTAGTCCCAGCTACTTGGGAAGCTGAGGCAGGAGATCACTTGAACCCAGAAAGCGGAGGTTGCAGTGAGCCGAGATTGTGCCACTGCACTCCAGCCTGGGTGACAGAGCGAGACTCCATCTAAAAAAAAAAAAAAACGATAAAGTGATTTAAAAACAAAATAAAAAAGCAGATAAAGCTTTAATGCCATTGGCATATGAATAGATTACAACAGATTAATGAAGACAATTTTTAAGAAATGAAAAAAGGCCAGGTGCTGTGGCTCACGCCTGTAATCCCAGCACTTTGGGAGGCTGAGGCGGGCGGATCACGAGGTCAGGAAATCAAGACCAGCCTGGCCAACATAGTGAAACCCTGTCTCTACTAAAAATACAAGAAATTAGCCAAGAGTGGTGGCACGTGCCTGTAGTCCCAGCTACTTGGGAGGCTGACGCAAGAGAATTGCTTGAACCCTAGAGGTGGAGGTTGCAGTGAGCTGAGATTGGCCACTGCACTCCAGCCTGGGCAACAGAGCAAGACTCTCTCTCAAAAAAAAAAAAAAAAATGGCTGGGTGCAGTGACTCATACCTGTAATCCCAGCACTTTGAGAGGCCAAGATGGGCAGATCACCAGAGGTCGGGATTTCAAGACCAGCTTGACCAACATGGAGAAACCCCATGTCTCTATTAAAAATACAAAATTTGCCAGAGGTGGTGGCACATGTCTGTAATTCCAGCTACTCGGGAGGCTGAGAATCACTTGAACCCGGGTGGCGGAGGTTGCGGTGAGCCGAGATCGCACCATTGCACTCCAGCCTGGGCAACAAGAGTGAAACTCATCTCAAAAAAAAAAAAAAAAAGAATAAAGAAAATATGACTAAACTTTGTCAAAGACATAAATTGCCAATTTACAAAAGGACACATGGAAATGGCAAACATGGAAAATTATTAAAACCTCACTAATAATCAAGGAAATGCAAAGTAAAACAGCAATAAATTGTTAATTTTAAAACTAGTGATACTAGGAAAGGGTTAACAAAATGAGGATAGCCAGAGTTGACAAGTTAGTAGGAAAACTGACACTTTTATATCTCCCTGTTGAGAGTGTAAATTAATGGAAACTTTCCCTGGGGTAATGTAGGGATATCTATCAAAGTTTTAAAATATATTTGTATCATTTGACTCAGTAATTCCATTTCTGTGTGTATAGAAATAAAACAATCTGAAATACAAATGGTTTTGGGCAAAGTGGTCATTACAGAATTATTTTTTTAAAAAAATTATGGAAAGTGTCATAAATATTCAGACTAAGGAATTGGATAGTTAAGTTAAGGTCATTTCATGAGAAATACTATTATAATGAACATTATAGTGGCTGCCCAGCATTCAAACCTCTTCCCTGTTTTGGGGGATTTTCCTCCTTGTCAATATGGTTGGGAGGCAGACATTACCACCCAGTATAAATGCTGAAATAAAATCCAGGCATCCTCAAAACTGAGGCTTCAGCATGAGATCCAGGCTTTAAGATTCCAGTGCACCTACCTTAGAATTAGAATTTTTAATAGATATTGTTGATACAAGGAACTCAAAACCAAGGAGAATCTATTCAGGTAATTGGTGGCACTTGTACCAGTGAGCTTATATGGAAGTGGTTGTATCATTGATGTTTCAGTAAGGCCTGGATCCAGGGCCACGTTGTTGGTGGTGAGAGCTATGGCATTCTTGTTCAGATTCAACAGCAGTCATGCCCTTTTTATATGATTTTTGGCATAATTCTTATTTTAGAGTCTTCCCAGTGATGTGGGTTGCAATGATTTCCTTTTCTACATAAGACAGCCAAATCTTATTTTTTCTATTTTTTCCAAATAAAAACACTGAGTTATACAACTAAGCATACATTAACTATCATGTTTTATGAAACATTTTAATAAATGATGAAAAATATTTGCAATATATGGTTAAATGAAGTAGTAGCATGGTCTCAGTCCAAAAGCTTCTTAAGCTGATTAGCAACTTCAGTAAAGTCTCAGGATACAAAATTGATATGCAAAAGTCACTAGCATTCCAACAAGGGAAGTGAAGGACCTCTTCAAGGAGAACTACAAAACACTGCTCAAGGAAATCAGAGAGGACACAAACAAATGGAAAAGTATTCCATGTTCGTGGATAGAATCAATATTGTGAAAATGGCCACACTGCCCAAAGTAATTTATAGATTAAATGCTATTCCCGTTAAACTATCATTGACATTCTTCACAGAATTAGAAAAAAACTATTTTAAAATTCATATGGAACCAAAAAAAGAGCCCAAATAGCCAAGACAATCCTAAGCAAAAAGGATAAAGCTGGAGGCATCACACCATCCAACCTATCCAACTTCAAACTATAGTACAAAGCCACAGTAACAACAACAGCACGGTAATGGTACAAAAACAGACACATAGACCAATGGAACAGAAAAAGAACTCGGAAATAGGACCACACACCTACAACCATCTGATCTTTGACAAACCTGACAAAAACAAGCAATGGAGAAAGGATTCCCTATTTAATAAATCGTTCTAGGAGAACTGGTTAGCCATATGCAGAAAATTGAAATTGGACCACTTCCTTAAAGTTTATAAAAAAATTAACTCAGGATGGATTGAAGACTAAAATGTGAAACCCACAATTATGAAAACTCTAGAAGAAAAGCAAGGCAATACCATTTCAGGACATAGGCAGAAGCAAAGATTTTATGATGAAAATGCCAAAAGCAATTGCAACAAGAGCAAGCATTGACAAATAGGATCTAATTAAACTAAAGTGCTTCTGCACAGAAAAAGAAACTATCATCAGAGTAAACAGACAATCTACAGAATGGGATGAAAATCTTGCAATCTATCCATTTGACAAAGGTCTAATATTCAGAGTCTACAAGGAACTTAATTTTACAAAAAAAAAAAAAAAAAACCACAAACAACCCCTTCAAAAAGTAAGCAAATAGCAATAACAGATACTTCTCAAAAGAAAACATTTATGCAGTCAACAAACATGAAAAAAAAGCTCAATATTGCTGATCATTAGATAAATACAAATCAAAACCACAATGAAATACCGTCTCACACCAGTCAAAATGGCAATTATTAAGGTTAAGAAACTTAACAGATGCTAGGGAGGTTGTAGAGGAAAAGGAAAACTTTTACACTGTTGGGGTGAGTATAAATCAGTCCAATCACTGTGAAAGTGTGGCAATTCCTCAAAGATCTAGAAGCAGAAATATCATTCGACCCAGCAATCTCATTACTGGGTATATACCTGAAGGAATATAAATCATTCTATTATAAAGATACATGCACTCATATGTTCATTGCAAGACTATTCACAATAGGAAAGACATAGAATCAACCCAAATGCCCATCAGTGATAGACTGGATAAAGAAAATATGCTGGCGGGGCGCGGTGGCTCACGCCTGTAATCCCAGCACTTTGGGAGGCCGAGGTGGGTGGATCACAAGGTCAAGAGATCGAGACCATCCTGGCTAACACGGTGAAACCCCATCTCTACTGAAAATACAAAAAATTAGCTGGGCGTGGTGGCAGGTGCCTGTAGTCCCAGCTACTCAGGAGGCTGAGGAAGGAGAATGGCATGAACCCGGGAGGCAGAGCTTGCAGTGAGCCGAGATCGCACCACTGCACTCCAGCCTGGGTGACAGAGCAAGACTCCATCTCAAAAAAAAAAAAAAAAAAAGCTACATATACACCATGGAATACTATGCAGCCACAAAAAGGAATGAGATCATGTCTTTTGCAGGGATATGAATGGACCTGGAAGCTGTTATCCTCAGCAAACTAATGCAGTAACAGAAAACCATACACTGCATGTTCTCACTTGTAAGTGGGAGCTGAATGATGAAAACATATGGACACTTGAGGGGGAACAACACACACTGGGGCCTGTTAGTTGGGGTCAGGGAGAAGGAGAGCATCAGAAAGAATAGCTAATGGATGCTGAGCTTAATACCTTGGTGATGGGTTGATCTGTGCAGCAAATCACCATGGCACTCGTTTACCTATGTAACAAAACTGCACATCCTGCCAGTGTACCCTAGAACTTAAAATAAAAGTTGAAGAAAAAAATGAAGTGGTAGTTTACAAAACAGTGAAATATGTAACCTCAATTTTATCAACAATGGTCAATATATCATATGTACTCATACCTCCACTGGAAAAAAAGAATAAAATATAACAAAATATTTTTTACAGTTTTTTGGGGAGAAGGGTGTTGGCTTTACAGGTAGAAATTTATATTATTTAGTTTATAAACTTGTGTGTGTTTGTGTGTTGTACCTGAAGAACAGCTCAAGAAGAATTGTTAAAAAAAAAAAAACCCTCATGATTATTAAGAGGATAACCTTTCAGAAAACTTTTCAGAGAGTGAAAGTTGTTGTGATGCCCTTTTCCCCCTTTTATATTTCTTTTTATTTTTTCTTCTTTAGCCCTCCATCATTTCTTCACCTGAGTGTTCATACTCTTCTTTTTTTTCTTTATGCAAACTCACAAAATCATCTATGCTAGAGTGATTAGGCCCCAAGTTTTTAAGTTATTACACCTCATGTAGGTACATTATTTTATTTATTTATTTATTTATTTATTTATTTATTTATTTATTATTTATTTATTTTGAGATGGAGTTTCATTCTTGTTGCCCAGGCTGGAGTGCAATGGTGCAATCTCGGCTCACTGCAACCTCCACCTCCAGGGTTCAAGCGATTCTCCTGCCTCAGCCTCCCTAGTAGCTGGGATTACAGGCGTGTGACACCACGCCCAGCTAATTTTGTATTTTTAGTAGAGATGGGGTTTCTCCATGTTGGTCAAGCTGGTCTCGAACTCCCCACCTCAGGTGATCCGCCCACCTTGGCCTCCCAAAGTTTTGGGATTACAGGCATGAGCCACCGTGCCCGGCAGGTACATTATTTTTAAAAGAGATATCATAAAGATAATGCTGCCTGCACAGTCACACACAAGTCTCAGGGAGGAGGAACAAAGGCAAAGATTTTGTGTGGGTAGGACCTTGTCAATCTCCTCAACTCAAGTAAAATTGCAGAATAAACAATTTCCTGCATAAAATTTCTAATTTAAATTTTAAAAAAGAACACTTAAATCAGGACCTCCTGGATGCTCCTTTAACCATTTACTGACATAATTTGCCTGTCTAGCCAAGCTAGAGCTTATAGTCTGACATTTCAGTGTCCACTTTACTGGTATCCAGAATTCTTATTCGATCTTATCTTGTTTTGATCTCTTCTGTCTCTAACCACGAGCAACTCTAATAATTCTCTTTTCCCCTTTATTTAAAGGGTGTTAAATATTCCTAGAAAATTGGATATAATAACATTTTGCTGTGTACCCTATAAAGTCCTGCTAATCTCAGTTGAGTAAGCTTTCAGTAAGTCTCTCCACTCATCACTTGCTAATTTTTAACTCAGTTGCCTATCTTATTGTGTTCCATATCCTCTACTTTAGCCTCCCAGTGTCCCTCCCTTTTTAAAGAGCCAGCCTTCTTATGTCATTCTCTTTGACCTCTATTTAAGCACACTATGAATAATTCCCTTTTTTTGCAATTCCTTTTCTCTTTATTTCCTGAAATAATGCAATATTCTCATGTTCCTTCCATTTCACAGATTGTGTCAACTTGATCTCCTTTAGTTGTGTGATCTTCATATTCCTATATGTTTCATCAGAGCTGTCCTTGCTTTGCTGTCCTTGCTTCTCCTTCCCTTTCCGATTTTGTCCATTGATGACTTCATCTTTAATGGTAACATCTATATAGTTTGATTCCAAGTCTTCATTGCCAGCGTTTCCCTTTATTTTTCTGAATTCTAGCCCAGAAATACCTTATAAGCATTTCTGTCTATCTATCAGCCACTTCACTTTTATTATACTAAAAATAAATTAATCTTTGCCTCCAAAATATCTCTTGTTTCTTTCTGATGTCCCTATTTCTGATAATGGCACAATTGATCTCCCTGAAAGCAGAGTTATTTCTAACATCTCCATTCCATTTATCTCTTCTTTTCAGTCAGTGATAACATGTTTGTGAACTGTGCCTCCTTACCTTCTCTAACATAGACCCTCATTACCTCTTTCCCACATTTTTTTTTTTCTGAGGAAAGTGGTATCTCTCACACCCACCTTTCTGTATTCTAAACTGTCCTAAACATTCCTACAAGATATTTATGACATATAGCTCTGTCATTTTCATTTCCTGTCTTAAAAATCTTTCGGCTGCTAACAATAGTGATAGCCTGCTCATACATAAGAGTCTGACCCGGAATGAGTCCAAACGTTGTTCCAAATTTACTTCTTTGTATGTGCATAATTTATATCCTTGATAATCAAAGTCTTCCCCCAAATTGTGAAGGTAGAGTTAGCCACACATGGAGTGTGAGAAGGATTGCAGGCAGAACTAGGACATGTGGAAAGGGCCTGGCCAGTGAGCTGAAACGTGCTAAGAAGGGGCAGATAGAAAACAAGAGGAGGCTGATGAGGTACCCAGAACCTTGCAGGCCTGTTAGGGTCCGTGTTTTGTGTTTTTTCTTTTTTGGTGTGTGTGGATATTCTAAGTGTAATAGAAACTGACTGAAGGTTTTATGCAGAGGAGTAACAATGAGTTCCTATTGAAGTTTTAAACATATCACCAAGCATAGTTTATGTAAAGTGATATCTTGATCATGGCTTACTTGATCTTGCTATCCACAAGCAAGTTCTTTCTCTGTAATATGGGAAGCAAATTTACCTCTCTCTTAAAACACATCACATTCCACTTTATAACATAGCTGTTTCATTACACACCTTATTTCCTCTACTAGTGCAAGCTCCCAGAGTGTACAGAATGTGCATTGTTTCTCTTTGAAACCACACAGAACTTCACAAAATACTTGGTAATGAATGAATATCTTATTTTCTAACATTAACATTCAAGTTCACAGGAGAGGATGCAATCATATATAGAATGTTGAGATAGTTGATGAAAATCTTAGTCTTTATTCATTATGATTCTTCATCACTCTACCTTTGTGTAGATGAAGCAAATCTTTGTAATTATCTAGATATTGTTCACTCTATCTTTGAAACAGCAATAAATCTTATCGACCCATTTACAAGGCTGTAATAAACATTGCCCAACTGATAATCATTGAGTACTTTTTCTAAAGAAAATACATCAGTTTTCTCTCCTAGTATTTGTTATATTAAATTTGAGAAATAACTTATTTTTTTTTTACCACATATCCAGTCAGAAGACCCAAAGCAGGCCTACAGGTTAGCAAAAAATGAGAGCATTTTAAATTGTTCCAAGGAAGAAGAATAGGAATGGATATAACTTTTCTGAATGCAGATTGGTTGTTGAACAGATAATGATTTATAGCACATTTAAAATTACTCTTCTGGATGGAATGGTTTATAGAGGGGGGAAATGGGATTGTTCTTTAATATCCTGAAGCATGTGAAAACCTATGCAACTTTCATTGATCTGCTCTCTGCTGGATAACACTGCTATTTAAAATCGATGACATATTTACTTCTCTCAGAATGCTTCCATGGTTATAAACCATTATTTGTTGTTTGTTGAGAAGTAAATTTCTTATTCATCCCCTCGTTAAATTGGAGTTTCCATAGACTTTGGGGTACCTTAGGTTTGTCAGTATTCAGCTTATTTTTTCATACTCCTTCCCATTCCATTTCCATTTCATAACCATTTGTGATAACTTGAGGGTCAATAGTTTTCAATCGTGTCTGAAAAACAAATTAACAAACTGTTAAATTCTGCACACTGCTCATCAAGCATGTATCGGCAAAACCTTTCATAATAATTATTTAATAAAGATAAATATAACATTAATTTGATGCTTTTGTTTTGGGGGATGCAGACTTTTAAAAAAAAACAACAGCAAGATACAGAAAGGTGTACATCAAGAGATGAACTCTCCTGTATCAGACAGTCATATCAAGTTTTACAGGAGCTTATTACATCACCTTAAAATAATGTTCTTTAACGGAGTTAAAAAGGGGAGAAAACCTGTTCAAGAATGCCGCCCGGCCAAATGGCCCATGATTGATGGGGCAGCAACAACCAGGGGGTATTTGCCAGTTCACCAGTGCCAAGTCCTCAGAGTGAGTTTGCTGCTTGTGACAGCTGGTGTTCTCTACTGGAAGGCTGTTTCTGTATACATCTATGATTTGCATATTTATATACCTCGGCTGCTGTATGAGGTCCACATTTCACAGCAGTGTGTATAAGCTGTGCAGCCTTACTGCTTGAGTGCCTCTAGGCATGAGATGGTAGAATTGGTTTGAGTAAAATGAGAATTTTAGGTTTTTGTGTTTTGCAGAGTAGCCAGTAATGCCACATTTTTGTTCATCTCTCTCTTCATCAACTTCAGTAATATTTTTGAGTCATCTATATGCATGGGCTACCATTTGAAGCAGACACATTATATGCTCTCTAGGAGGGTACAAGCTCAGACACTAAGGCATCATAGGAATATAGAAAGGAAGACATTAAAGGAATATATTTAGTCAAGTTGAAGCCTGAAGTGAGGATTGTGGGATTTGCACATTGAAGGGAGTTACTGATGTTTTTCCTTAAGTTGGGGAGAACTTAAGAAGGTAAGAACTGCTCTGCTAAGTCAGATAAATGAACTTCTAAGCTGAGGCTTCTCTTTCTAAATAGTAATATCACAGGGATTCTGTAACAAATGAGATTTCCACAGTTGTTTGAAATATCAAATATAGAATACTTATTTGCAAAAAAAAATGGGGGCAGGCACATTGGATAAAAAGAACATGAAGAATGTAGCTTAAAGGAAATAGGAGTTGGATAAATAAACAATAAATATTTGGAAATAAAGTGGTCTTAGGAACAGTGACAGTGGTTGGTGAACAGGAAGAGATCTATTAGGGTGGAGCTATCATATAAAGAACTTAGAGGTGGTTGAGAATCTTAGCCTTTATTTGCTGTGAGATTGCAAATTTCTTAAGGTCAACTGAGGATGTTAATTTAGTAAATATGATGGGTGGGGTCTTCAAATGGAAAACATAATCTGAAGCAAGATGTTTGCAAAGGCAGTTTCCAGAAAGTGGCGGTATCAGAAAAAAAGGTAACCAGGTTAGAATTCTAATGAGTGAAGAGGATGGGGTAATTTTTCAACAAATGAAGACAATAATATCTGACAGAAATATTTCAGTTTTGTGTGAAGAACAATAAAGAGTTTACAAGTGAAGTGAAGACATCTTCTGTACCTCATTATTCTGTCATGACCTGGAGCATCAGGTGGTTGCTGATGCAGCAGCTCCTATCCTGAAGAACATTCTTGTCATAGACTGAATGTTTATGTCCTTGCTAAATTCAGTTTAGAACTTTATCCCAGTGTGATACTATTTGGAAATGTGGTATTTGGGAAGTGATTAGGCTCGACCCTCACTTATGGGATTAGTGCCTCTGTAAAATAGGCCCCAGAGAGGTCCCTTTCCCCTTCCATACTCTGTGAGGACAAAGTGAAAAGTCAGCCATCTATGAACCAGGAAGTGGGTCCTCATCAGACACCAAACCTGTTGGCACCTTGATCTTTGACTTCTCGGTCTCCAGAATTGTGAGAAATAAGTTTCTGTTGTATAAGTCACTGTCTATGGTATTTTGTTATAGCAGCCTGCATAAAGACACTACTGTATGTTCCAAACACTCATATTCATTATCTATAAACCTTATATAAACACATGAGTGTATATTATCATCCCTAGTATAGATAAAATAATGGAAACAGAAAATAATAAATAACTATCCAAGTTCATACAACTGATATGTGCCAGTGTCATGATTTGAGCTCAGGTCTGTTGGATTCCACAAGTTATTTTAGTTTATTTGCTTGTTTGCCCGTTTTGCTAACATGCTGCTTCCTTAGACAGAGGAGGAATATAAACAAAAGGTAGTAAACAGTTCTCTTGGGCATATTTAATTTGAGTTGGCAAGGAAATAGCCATCTGGAGAAACTGCTGAGACAAAATACTTGCTGGGTTTGCTCCATGCATACCTGTGAAATGTGTGGTGTTAGATATTACAGTCCCTATTTTATAATTTAAGATCTTAAGAAATGGAGTGGATTATGATAACAAAACTAGTTTATGCTAAAAGTGCAGAAAGTAAAGATGATCCACATGACTAGTCTGTATTTATTCCAAGTATAGCCCTCTAGTACAGTACAGATCACTGGAAAAGCATTTTGAGTGTCTAGACAGCAAACAATAATTTTTCACAGATATCAACCAAATATAAAAACTAAAATATTATATATAGCTGCAAAAAACTAGACATTGTCTTTGAGGCATTACTGTCTGATGAAATGATAAATATCATGAATGATATATAAATCTAACTGTTTTAAAATTACCCATTTCTCTTCTTATTTCACTTGGCATAAGCATGGTTCAGACCCACCTTCAGCATACTGCTCATACAGTCGGAGTAAACAGCTATTCGTAGAACCCTTTGCTAGCTCAGTCACAAATCCAAACTAAACGTTATCCATATGTTTACAGGAGACTTTTTTTGGGATATGTTGTCTTCTAAGTAATATTTGACAAAGTGGCTACTGTTAAATTCCATTCACATGCATCAGGTAAATGTCCATCTGACAAAATCAATTCATACATGGTAAATAATTTTAAAAATATGATTATTATTATTTTATATTGCATTGAACTTCACATTTAGAGCTTCAGACTATGGACTTGCCAAAATGCCATATCTAGCCTTAATGTTTAGTACGTAGTGGCTTAAGACCATAGGTTCTAAGGTCAGACCATATGAATTACATTCCAGTCTGACTCATTTACTAGTTGTGTGATACCATGCAAGTTATATTACCTTTTGTGCTGGAGTTTCCTTTTCTATAAAGAATGCAACAATAACAATCATAGTTGTTTGTATGTCTCTGTGTGTGTATGTAACCATTAAGAGAAACTGTAATCTAAAGTCTTTACCAGACTGCCTGATATAGTAGGTGCTCAATTTTTTATTAGGTATTATTGTTGTTTTCATTTTAATTGTATCTGTTAATACTTTAAAAACATGTTAGTCACATATGGGCTATGCTTTACTGCTTTTTCACACTAAGAAAATTATTTTCAATAACTCATCAGACTGACTTTTTTTTTTTTTTTTTTGAGACGGAGTCTCGCTCTGGAATGCAGTGGTGCGATCTTGGCTTACTGCAACTTCTGCTTCCCAGGTTCAAGTGATTCTCCTGCCTCAGCCTCCCGAGTAGCTGGGATTACAGGCATCCACCACTATGCTTGTATTTTTAGTAGAGACGGGGTTTCACCATGTTGGTCAGGCTGGTCTCGAACTCCTGACCTTAGGTGATATGCCTGCCTTGGCCTCCTAAAATGTTGGGATTACAGGCGTGAGCCACCATGCCTGGCCTCAGACTGACTTTCCATAGAGAAGAAAAACGGTACAAAATCATTTTCTGTGTTTCTGAAAGCTTTTATATTTATCTTGCATAGGAAACTCCAAATGCTTATGATGTTAAAGAGGAAGAGGTTATACCTTTGAAGACTATTAATAAGATTTGCTCTAGTAAATTACTGAGTTTCATTAGAACTCTCTTCTGAGACCAAACCCCTAAAAGGGGAAAATAATCTATTAATTCATTACTCTATGTTACCACCCACTTTATCGTGTTTATTCAGAATTTGGACAAAAGACAACAAAAAGAAAAGCAAGTAACAGTGGTTTAAAGTATGCTCAAAATGAAGAGAAAAAATTAGATGTTGGAAGGAAACTGGTTTAGACGCAACATAATAGATTTGATAGGGTTCCATGCTTTTTGAAGATTTGGTTTTTTTGTAGTTTTTTTTGCAATAGATACCTACTTTACAGTCTATACTAAACTTAATCTTTATTTTTGATAAACTGTCATTATTTTAAAATGTTTTATTTCCTAGTTTATTTTTATTTCATAATAATTTCTAATAATCTTTGTACCTCATCATGATCAAGTAGTTAACAATTTTAAATACACATAAATGCCTTGGAACAGTTTTCAGTATTCAAAATTATATTGGTAAATATCTCTCAAAATGAAACATTTATTCTTAACTTTTAATGTAACAACATTCTCCAATTTATTTGTTTTGCATTCATGTTTTCAATGCAACGTTGGGCTTTCTGAAAGTAGGATATACAGCTATTCTGTTTATTTTTCCTGTAGGACTGATAAGCCTATTCTTGGAATCATAATATAAATTGAGGTGCCTTTGACAATGGATGAGAATAAATCTCTTTTTCCCATTAGTAACAAAAGGCTTAGGCTGGATTTTGTTCTTCAGGGTGTACCAACAAGCTTAACTGTTAAAGTACTATAAGAATTGTATTGTGTGTAATTCAGAAGGAGTTCTAAAAACTGTAGCAATTTCTATTGTAAAATATTTAATGAGGTTTGTCAAATGCAAAGATCAAGACACCATAAATAGATATCCAGATTTGGTCTTCAAATTAAATTAGATAAGAAAATTTACTCTCCCTGAATCCAAGGTATTTATGTATAGACACACACAGACACACACACACACACAATATGTATGTACATAAGGAGTGGTAATATATAATAAAACCAATTTATAAGCAGTATAAGAATTGTTTATAAAATTCAAATAAGTTTAATTCCTCAAAATAATTCACACGACTTGAATGGAATACTCTTCTCATGTTGTAGTCCTTTCACCCTTCTGGAGAATTTCTCATTTACTGATAAATTTATGAACAATAAGAAATACAGTTTTACAGTTTTATGAAAGTTTGTTTCACTGAACACAGTGTTACCCAACTTAATTACACAATTTAATTATTAATATCTGGAGTTGGGCTCTGTGAGTAAATATTTGTTGTGTTGGTACCAAGATATCAAGGTCTTTGAAGTCAATTTCAGAAATAAATTCCAGGAATAATTTGAACAATAATTACATTATTGAAATAAGAACATATTTTTGAAAAATAAATTTTCTGAAAAGCTCGCAGAAGACTGTTACATAACTGGCACAGATCCCGTCTATGTCTGAAGAAGGAAAAGAAAGGGAGAGAGAGAGAGAGACCCTCCTGCACTTTGGATTTCACACTGAGTATATACTTTTTAATTTTTAATTTTTTTTTGAGAGGGAGTCTCGCTCTGTCGCCCAAGTTGGAGTGCAGTGGCACAATCCCGGCTCACCGCAACCTCCGCCTCCTGAGTTCAAGCGATTCTCGATTCTCCTGCCTCAGCCTCCTGAGTAGCTGGGATTACAGTTGTGCACCACCACGCCCGGCTAATTTTTGTATCTTCAGTAGAGACAGGGTTTTACCATGTTGGCCAAGCTGGTCTCGAACTCTTGACCTCAAGTGATCTGCCTGCCTTGGTGTCCCAAAGTGCTGGGATTACAGGCATAGGCCACCATGCCCGGCCTGGATTTCACACTGAGTATAAATCAGTGGCCATCTATCATTAAGGGGAGGGCAGGAGAGCTGAGACCCAGTAAAGTAATGAAGCTGATTCCATTTCATTGGCTTATTAGTACTTATTTTGTTTTTATTTTATAAGTAGTTTATGAACATGTTTTTTAAATATAAAATATTCAAACACCACAGATAGATTGGAAGCTCCATTTTCCACAATTTCTAGTCCAATTCCTCAGGAAAAAAATGTTGTAATTATTTGGAGTAAGTGCCCCTATTTCACAGAGTCACATTGTCTTTCAAGAAGAACAAATAAAATAGATTATGGAAATAGCAATAATATCCTTGAATTCCTTCTACTTATACCTTGCTGCCTAAAAATTACTAACGATTTATACATTCAACGAATGTTTGTTTAATATCTATTTGCCTCCTAGATGCTGGGGATAGAGCAGTGAATATAAATAATTAAGATAACATAACAAAAAAACAAAAACTGTCCCTTTATGAAGCTTAGATTCCAGACCAGGAGGTAATTAATAAAGAAGATAAACAAAAATCCACAATATATCTGATGGTGATAGGTGATAGTGCTATGGAGAAAAGGAAGGAAGGAGAATACTGGAGGTGTTGGAACTTAGGGGCAGGGGCTGCTGCAATCTTCAATGGTGTGACATAGAAATCCTCCCTGGTAAGGTGACATTTGAGTAAAGACCTGAAGGAAGTGAAGATGAACACAATTTGCTTACCACCACCACCACCTACCATGCCTCTCACCACATCTGATTGGGCTGTATCACCATGCCCATGCATGGAGGATAATTAAGGCCCGGCCATGACAGGCTATTCCCTCAGCCCCCTAAGGAGAAAGAACCTAAGCAGCTTTTCATAGTTAATTGCTTAAATTTATTTAAAATCATATTCCATTAAGTGAATTATGGACAGTTCTCTTTCCTGTGTGGTATGCCAGAAAGAGCATGAGCTTTGGAGCAGAGAGACCTGGATTCAAATGCTGACTCTGCTAATGACTAGCTATTTACTTGATACAGAAAAGCTTCTGTTTGCTTATTTGCAAAATAAAAATATTAATATTAAAATATTGTGAGAATTGAACAGGTGCTACTAAATGAAATGTGATTAAAGTATGTTAGATGTCCCAGCGGTCTCCTAGTCCCTGATTCCATTCTATATGTTTACATTTCCCTGGCAACTTGAGGATGATATTCTCATGTCTTCTGATAGATTTCTGTCTACTAGAAAGTAAACTGCAAAATGTTAAAAATTAATTTTATTTATTTATATTTATTTTATTTTATTTTATTTTATTTATTTCTCATTGTGGTATTTTATTTTTTATTTGAGTATCTCTCAAAGTCAAGTTCCTCAGGTATTGTAGGTGCAAAATTTTGCGAAATGAATGAATATGTTTTTGTGGGTTTTTGTTCTTGTTGTTGTTGTTTTGTTTGTTTGTTTTTTGAGATGGAGTTTCACTCTTGTTGCCCAGGCTGGAGTACGATGGCACTATCTCAGCTCACTGCAACCTCTGCCTCCCAGATTCAAGCGATTCTCCTGCCTCAGCCTCCCAAGGAGCTGGGATTACAGGCATGTGCCACCATGTCCGGCTAATTTTGTATTTTTAGTAGAGATGGGGTTTCTCCATGTTGGTCAGGCTGGTCTCGAACTCCCGACCTCAGATGATCCACCCGCCTCAGCCTCCCAAAGTGTTGGGATTACAGGCGTGAGCCACGGCACCCAGACAAATGAATACATTTTATGTCTATGTGTGTGTGTGTGTGTGTTTTAAAAGTAATCCCTCCTTTTTAGAGATTCCATCTCAGATTTTGAAACTACCTATTCATTAGCACTTGGGTTTTCTTAGCTATAAAATTTCACCGAATAGTTGGTTTACCTCTTTAAGGTATATTTGATGTATTTGTGAGTTTTTTCAACTTTCTACTTTGACTTGCGAGAAATAAAGAACTCATACTCAGAATTTATTTGGCTACCTTTACAATGCTGCTAGTAAAAAAAAAAAAAACTATGTTGCTTTAAAGACTTAGGCAAGAGAGGGGGAAGAGGAGAAATGAAGGAAGGGGAGGTTAGGAAAGCAGAAAGGCGGGAAAGAGACAAAAGGGAAGGGAAGAGAGAAGAAAGGAAAAGGAAATCCCAAAGAAAGCCTTTGCCTTTTCCTAATCCCCCATAGCAAGCAATTATTATCAGCATTTTCTGCCTGGAGGCATTGGTATGTAACATAAATCACAGAATGGCTGTACTCAGCCAGGAACTGAGTGACTCAGGGAGAACTCCAAGTGGTGGGGACAAGCCAGCCCTACCTCCAGCAGGAGGGCTGCATACACAGCTGGATCCCTGAGTGTTCCTTATTACACTTCCTGGTGACTCAGACAAGCACTCACATGCTAGGGCAAGGGGTATTTCATTAGAGAGCGTTCAGGTGATTTTTCATCCTCTAAAGCTGAGATGGAGCTGAGTCAGCCAATATAAATCCAGATACCTAATTAAAAGAGCTCATTTGTATCTGCTTGGCTGCTTGTGTGTGAAGGCTCATAGATTGTCTAAGCTGAAGTTTCTATGAAAACTCCTGTGTTAGGATACACTAGCTCTACCTGCTGAAAAAGACTCAGCCCCTTGGCTCCTTTGGTGGAACTGTGCTGCACCTTTATCCAGGTGAACCATGGTGTTTGGTGTGGAAAATGTTGGCAGAAAAAGGAAGATAGCTCAGAAAAGTAGAACGAAGGTGATAATTATTTCATCTTCAGAATTTTCAGGAGCTAGATATCTTCTGCCACAACTCTTCCAACTTGATAAGCAAAATACCAAGGGGGTTCCAAAAGAAGCAGAGCTAAAGGAACACATCTTCTCCTGATTATATTTTCTTGCATTAATCTGTTCAAAAATATGAGTAGTTGAAAAGAGTTGCATAAGGCAAAAAGCTTTGATACTTTATCTCTGCAAGATGCAAAACATCCTCTAATAAAAATAATTTACCTCTCTAATCCACCAAGAAGTAAAATAAGATTCCAGGGTGAAACATAAATCATTTGTAATTTCAGCCAGCCAGGTTCTAAATGAGTTACCCTCTTATTTGGACATAGAAATTTTAATCTCTGGAGATTTATCATTTGCAACTTTGCAGCTATAATTATGTTTAAGGCACATGTCTGTTCTTAACTAGATAGGGAATGTGTCACAGCCCTTTATGTATCGAAGGCATCTGCCATGATGTCTAGCACAGCATAAGCATGGAGTCAGTGTTGATTGGAAATGATAAAAAAAAAAACGAACAAACAAAACCCTTGTACTAGTTTATGAATATTATTCATCTTTGCTTGGTTCCTTTCCTAATGGCTAAGAAGCTGAAGACCTGTATGTGTCTTAGAAACACGTGAGTCTTTATCACTCTTCTCAGTTTAACATTTATGTCCCAATGATATAAATAGGGTTTGTGCTTTTTCTATTCCTAAAGTGTTCTGAATTTGAGTATCTAAAATATGAACTTGAACACCCAAACTAAATTTTCTTAACTTTTATGCAGCATACTTCACAAAAGTAAAGACTCTGAATGTTCAAATGTGACCAACAGGCTTGGATTAAGTAAAAGCAATTACAGAAGATGACTATTTTCTGTGAGTAAATTACTATATTTCTAGTAGAAACTTTGACTTGGGGATTAACTTCAAAGAGTGTTAAAACTAAAAAGGACTTAGGAATTATCAAGCCCCATTTTTAAAAAACTTTTTAATTTTTTTTTTTTTTTCAAAATTTTATACTACAGAAACCCTTGGAAACTGACATTCAAGCTTTGTAGATAGAGCAAATATGTTAAGTGTTCCTCTGGTTTAGAAAACAGGTTGGATATCTCACATTCCATCTCATATTCCACCTCTCATATTCCACTTCTTGTGGTGTTACATGAAACATCTAGGGATCACAAGAGTCTAGTGGGAGACCCACTGCTCTTTACTTTACAAAGGAGGAAACTGAGGATTAAAATGTTACAATGACTTGCCTATACCAAAGAGCTAGCTTGTATCAGAAGTGAAGATAAAACCCAGACCTTCCCTGTTTTGCTTCCATAATAAAGCTGCCTTCACTCCTTTCTTTATTTAAAAAGTAAAATATATTCATTGTAGATAATACCACATTAAATGTATGGCATCTAACTCCCAGTAGAATTTTCTTTCCACTGTACCATGCTGCTGCACTCTAGGTTCACTAGAATAAATACCATTCACTCTGTGTGTGTGTGTGTGTGTGTGTGGGTGTGTGTGTGTGTGTGTGTGTGTAGCTACTATATAGTGCCAAACTTCAAGCTGAAGGGAATTCAAACCACAAGTCATGGTCTTTTAATTTTTTGGAGTGAATGATTCAATGGCAAAAATGTATAAAAATAAGTTAAGTAGAAAGGGGAAAGTATGCCCCCATGTAACTGGAAAACACAAGGGTGTTTAATTTCAGGCATGATTGAATCTGGAAGTTCAAATGACGTCATAAGAATTATGTTTTTCTCTCTACCTAAGTGCTTCTGCATACAATGGGAAAGATGACCCTGGAAATTCCAGACTAGATAATATATGAGATCTCAGAAGAAAAAAGAGCCAACCTCTCTCCTCTGTCTTTCCCCCTTTCCTTCTCTCTTCCTCTTTTTTCAGCCATTTCAGTTTGTTGAAAGAAATAATCTGACTGGCTCTGATTTAGTCAATGCTCACTCATTAGCCAAGTACTCTTTCTAAGGGACATAGTAATCTGATTGACTAGTTTGATGACCAATGCCATATCAAGGGAGGTCAAGTTGTATGACAAAAAGCCACACCAAGTGACTACAATTCTTTGAAGAAAAGATGCTACGCAGATAAAAGTGAAAGACAACTCTACATGAAGATAATTTCCAGATGTATGTATGGCTAAAAATGCCAAAATAGGATTTTACCTACTATAGTTCTTTTTACCTATAATCTAATACCTGGTTGATCAGTCTTGTTTCTCTCCTGTTTCATCTTTACTTTTTTGGTAAATGTGCCACTAAGCAAAGCAATATCCAAAGTGAGAGTTTTTAGGAACCAGTGGCTCCACAACAACCACAAATAGGATAGTTTGTCAAAGGATCTTGACATTCAGTGGAAAAGCTGTTAAGAAGAGGTCACAGCAGTTGCCACAGACAAGGTCAGGCTTTGGGTAAATGATATATGCAAACCTCATAAAGGATCCACCCACAATTCTTCATAGCTTAATTTTACTATACATTCCTTTG
Organism: Homo sapiens; assembly: GCF_000001405.40. Taxonomy (NCBI): domain Eukaryota; kingdom Metazoa; phylum Chordata; class Mammalia; order Primates; family Hominidae; genus Homo; species Homo sapiens. The sequence goes on along the minus strand of NC_000003.12, from coordinate 116,056,967 downwards.
TATTGCACACCAGGCCATTTTTTTTGTGTCATTCTCTTTATGAATGCCACATCTGAGATACCACTCAGTACATACTAGCTAGTCACTAAAAATTTACTTAGTGAATCTGCAAATCAATGAATAATAACTTCTCAGATGGTATTGTATCTAGATCCCACTGTCTTGATGAGGATTTGTTTCTTGGTTACTTTTTCTCCCATAACAGGAAAGAAAGGTTTATTGTGAGCACTAGGTATCTCTGGGGGATGAAGAAGACATTAACAGCAAAGAAAACACAGAAAATGGAGAGAAGTGTTGCTAAAATCATATTTCATGAAGTTGCCTCTCTAAACTTAAAGATGCCTTTGTTATTAAAAATAAGCGTTATGCTCAGAGAGTTAATTAGAACTAGTCTTTTTCCCAGAATGTGTTTCTGACTATATGGTTGTATAATATTCTGTGCTTTCTACTTTCTACTAATAATAAGTACCATTATGACATATCTGGGTTACTTAGGCCAATTTCTCTGTCCGAATCATATATTTAGTTTTGGTTTCTATTCCTAAATTAGCTAGGTAGGTCTGTACCAGATTTCACTTTAGCCCAGACTAGTTCAACATTTATATTTGATCACAGAAGAGAATGGACAGGAGTGTGGATAACTTAGTTTGATTCATCCCTAATATGAGAAAGATGTGGCCTAGTGACAATAGTTCAGGAAAGCAGACCATCTTTGTGTTAGTATCCAGAACATTATGCATACTAACTGTTATGACATGGTAATTCTGTTCCCGAGTTTATAGTCTTTCATGTAGCAGATATACATTCTAGGATGAAAGTAAATAAATAAATAAATAATACATGAATAAATAAAATTAATATCAGAGTGGGGACTGAAACCCATGTCTTTCCTTATTATCATGGCATTAGAAACTTGCCTTTATTTTATAAGAGGCAAGCCTCCAGGCTTAATGAAGCTGCTCCCTCAATAGTCGTGTGAATCAGAAGAGCTGGGGGAAAAAAAAAGCAGGGATCCTTTTCCATCTTTTGCTTAGTTATAATGCTAGTTATACTCCAAGTGCAAACTCTTTGAAAATAGTGATGATGTAGGAACAGGCAGAATTTTAGAACCCACATGGAATTTGCAACCTTAGCTTGAAAAATCCTCTCTTGACATATAGACTATGCAGATTTGCTATATAAGTGATTTACAAAGAAAGCATATGGAATTCACTGTCACTTTTCTCCAATCACTCTTCACTTCTTCCACATATATTTGAAGGATTACGAAAATGACTGATCCTGGAATAGGTCCCAGGGTGAGCCAGGACCAGGAAACATGGTTTGCAATGAGTTCCAAAGAGCCTTATTCTTCTCCATTAGGTTACTTGTGAGTAGAGGGCATTGTCAAATGTAGTCATTTTCATTTTTGTGTGAGGCAGGGCAGTGTCTTCCAAAGGCTGGGCAGGGGGACCTAACCCTTCAAGTCTTACTTCTAGAGAAAACTTACCTACGTCATTCTAAATAGACTCCTCAAATCCTCACATTCATTTCTAATTATTAAACTACCAAATAAGGTTAAATATGCACACAGTTTATGTGTTTCTGTTATGGCAATGACCACAACTCACTGTGCTTGTTTCCAGGTCACTCTTGCCCACTTTTGGCTTCAGGTGGCATGTTACTATCACGGTATCCCTAGTGTACCACTGTGCATGACAAATAGCGCATGTCAGTAACCATGCAGTAACCACCATCAGTTTTGAATTTTATTCAAAGGGCTTTCACATAGGCAATCTCTTTTTATAACACATTTCCATAGCATATCAAGAGCCAATTTTTTAAATCTCTGAGTAACACACAGAAAAATTGAGGTGTGATAATGTGTATTTGCACAGCAAATCAGGGACAAAATAGGGTGTTTGCCTGAATTCCAAGCCCAACATCTTTGTACTACTTTCTTATGTCACCTATACTCAGACTTCAGAATAGATGTGCTACATTCTTATATCAGCTGTATTCAGACTTCAGAATACATTTTCATGTACCTGGAACATGGAAAATAGAATAGAGAATAAGAAAAAAGACAAACTTTCCAAAACACCAAACCCTAGAAATGAGTACCCCAAACACAGGGCACTTTTGTTCTTCAATCTTGCAGCAGAACATAACCACGTGGTGATAAATGTGACTGTAAATGTCAGACCGTGTTGCTAATTTTTCAGTCAAGGATAGAAAAATGATTTTAGTCTTCCAAATATTTAATACATTTTTTTGCAAAAATTATGTTTTTACTTTTTATATTTAGTGCATGTAATCATTTGTATATTTATTAAATCTTTATTCTATTCAGTGTTGATTATAAGTAATATAAAATGGCTTGAAGGTGTTGGTGGAGGAGTGAAGCCCTTTTCTCTCGGGCTACTTTGATTCACCTGTGAGAGACCATGAATAGGACCAATTTCACTGGCTGAAACCTAGAAGATGTCTGTAGGAGCCCATGCTTAGATCTTCACATTTCACCCCTGCTTTATTCTCTGGGCTAAGTATGTCTGAGGTAGGCAGAATAATGCCCCCACGCTGGAGATGTTTACTCCTTATCCTGGGAATCTGTGACTATGTTACCTTGAAAGGCAAAAAGGGCTCCACAGATATGATTAAATTAACGACTTGAGATGAAGAGATTATCCTGGATTATCTAAATTGGCCCAGTGTAATCACAAGGATCCTTAAAAGAATCAGAGAAGGAGAAGTGATGACAAAAACATAGCTTCAGAGTCAAAATCAAAAAGAGATTATTGATGCTGCACTGCTGGCTTTGAAGATGGAAGGTGGCCAGGAGCTCAGGAATGCAGAGAGCCTTTAAACTGGAGAAGGCAAGGAATTGATTCCTTCTTCAGCCTCAAGAAGGACCATAGCCATGCCACGACTTTGCTTTTAGCCCAGTGAGGCCCATTTTGGACATCTGATCTCTAAAACTGTAAGATAATATGTTTGAGCTGCCTTAAATTTCCAAGTTTGAGTTAATTGACTATAACTGAAATAGGAAAGTAATATGGTATTTAAAAACAAAGTGTTAAATGTATAGAACTAAAAGGAAAACAGATTTACCAATTTCCTGTATTCTAAAATCCTCCAGTCCACCTATCACCTCATTATTAGAGCTGCCTTTCAAAGACACAGCACTGACTATTACTCTCCCACGCAAAAAGACTTGAATGGCTCAACATTACCTACTGAATATAATACCACACTTCAGCCTGACATTCATCTTTCCCACGAACTTCCTTACATTCTGTCTCTCATTTACTTACATTTTTCATGTTTCAGTCGTATCAAACTACTTGTCAATCTCTGAAAACTCATTTAAGTTTGCCACCTTTGAACCTGTGCCCAAAGCATTCCTTAGCCTACAATTTCCTCTTCACCCCTTCTATACATTTTCATTCAACTTACTTGTCCCTAAGGTCCAGTATAATGCTATATCCTCAAAGAGACGTTTGCACAATTCATAAATTACCTTTCCTTCCTCAAAACTCTTTTAGCTTGTTGTTTTTATTCCATGGTGTCACCCATTTCATTGTGCCATGGTTGCCTATATTCCTGTCTCACTTCCTGGATTGTAAGAACACTGAGGGCAGGAAAGAAGGATGAGGAAATTGCCTGTTTTTCCCTGAAGTACCTTGAGCTAGAAGCTCAATAACCATGATTTAATTGAATTGAAAAGCTGACACTAAGCATTCATTGCTGACACTAAGCATTCATTTCTGACACTAAGCAGAGAGGATTTTATTCATAATCATCATCTATCAGTCACAGCATCCTTGTAGTCAGGGCTGTGGATCTGAGATATGGTTCTCAGTTTTACTGTTGAGATCCATATTTCCATATTTCAAGTGTGAAATAAGAATTTCTACTTTGGGTGACAGTAAACATCAGGTGATGGCTGGTGCCACTGGGCTTAAGAGTGAACATCCTCTCTTCCTCCCCACTAAGAGCAGGCTGACTTATAAATAGAGACATTTTACCCAGATTTTATTTCCAGTGGTTTCACTCTGCATTCCACTATGCACCATTTAATGAAACCAAGTTTTGCTTCAGAACTGGTTGATTCTCTGCACCAGGTTAGAGAGTCCAGGGAGCATGTACAATCAAATTCCGTCCAACTAAGCAATGAGATGTGAAATTGGTCTGGGAGCACACGAGCACCTTGAACGATGTCACACTGACTTGTTTGCTACCAGAATGGATGAGTGCAGGCCCTCTCTGAAAGAAGTTTCCTGGGTAATTGAGCCCAAATGCCTGGGAACTAGTAGCTAGCAGGTAAATAATTTCTTCTCAACAGAGGTTAAACACAAGAATGCTTTGTCTTGTTTGGCCCATCATCCTTTAAATTTGAACTTCTTAGCCTCACGGGGACGGTGCTTACCTACCAGAGACCTAGAGGCATTAAAGCCAGTCCGGAGTTTCCAGGAAGGAAGAAATCCTTATAGTACATTTATATTAAAAATATAAATTTTATACGATTGTCTTCTTCGTTTAAAATACATACTTATTTGTGAAAGCTACAACCCAAGAGATTTAATAGAATAAAGGGGAAACTGAAAAACACATACAACGTTTCTTCTGACTCTTTTCTTCTAAATTTTGAGTTGGGGTGTTCATCCCCTACCCCTTTCTCTGTCTCTCTCTTCTTCTCCTGTTGCTGCTGTTCCACCTCTTCTTTATCATCCACTTCTACTTCTGTCCTCCTCCTTCCTTTTCTCCTCCTTTCTTTTCATTGCTGACACTAACCAGAGAGGATTTTATTCATGATCATCATCTATCAGTCACAGCATCCTTGTGAAGCATTCATTGTTGGCCCTCTGTCTACAGTGCTGAAGTACTTGGATCACTGGCCAGCCCAAAAATGGCAAGTTTCAGGTCATGGCTCTTCTCCCTACTATACAATTTTCTACATTTAAATTTTACCTTTCTCTATGTTCTTTCTTACTTCACATCTTAGCACTTCTTGCTTTGCTCAACATTTAAAGAATAATACAGGATACAAAGAAGTTCTGAAGCAGTTGGTGGTGGTATGACAGCTGTTCCACTAGTATTCCCCCAGAGAGCAATTTTACTCCATCCGCAGAGGAAAATTAAATCACCCCCTCCCCAGCCCCCTGCACCATTTCACCGATGAGCACCTGCCAGTGACTTCCAACTGGTAGCCATGACAAGAGAGGCCCTCATCGCTTTCTGGGTGGGCAGCCAAAGTACAAATGACATCCCTGTGCCTCTGCTGACAGCCAGATCTGGTCAAGAAGCCATTGCTCAAAACTTTCTACTTTCTGTAAAGAGGGGTCTGGATTCTGTCTGCCCAAAGCTAGTGGGTAAGAAAGCTAGGGTGATGGCTTTAGGGATTGCCCCTTGATTTTTCACATCCTGATATCTCTCCAAAGTAAGGGTTGTTGGAGCTGGAAGGTGACATTCTTTAAACAAACAACAACAACAATAATAAAGGATTCCCAAAGAAAAATTCAATCATTTGGAGGAGAGAATGCTGCTGCCTTTCCTAGCCAGTTCTGCATTTTCAAAGGGAGATTTGTGCTGCAAGAAGCAGCTTTTGGAAGTCATCTCAGGAGAAGATTCTCTTTTTTTCCCTCACTAATCAACCCTTTTGTGCTGGCTGGGTCCAGTGACGAGTCACATGGAACCTGCAGGAAAGCTATTTTAAACCTATGTTTTGCATGCCAAATGTACGGGAGGCTAAAACCTGACAAGGGAGGTCACCGTCATTCACCTTGCTGCTCCTGGGCCGGCCTTGATGATTCACAACTTTTAGCTGTGCCAGGTACTGAAGTGATTTCTTTCTTTCCTTCTTTTTTTGAATTGTAGATTCCATTACCTCTGGAGGGGAAAATGAGGCTCCCAAATATGTCCCTCACTGCTACTGCCACCAGGTTTCTGCTGGAGGCAGACATGAAAGAAGATTTTATTATATCACCATTTCAAGTACTCTGTGCTAGTTTTTATTATTTAACACTTTCTTGGAATTCTGAAGTTGTTGCTGGGAGTCCTGTTGGCATTCTGGTGTGCCCCGTACTATGGCCTTATAAGGCACAATTTATCTTCCACAAGATGTCATTGATCATACTACAGATACAAATGAATTATATGGTTCTTGGAAAAAAGACAGAATTTCATAGCAACTCATATTTGGATCTTTTAAGAAAGAAGTCCTTTAGAAGTAACTGGGAAATATGCCCTTGGCCTGGGGAAAGAGAGCAAAGCTGACTCCAAACCTTTTATTTTGCTATTAAAACCTTGGCTAGGAAGCATGCTTTAGTGGGTGAATGTAAGCCACAGCATAACGGCCAGTATCTGTCCTAAGAAATTCATCTGGTTTGCTGGTGCTTTTCTAGGCTAAAGCACCCATTTTTGACCATGTGACTTAGTGGATACTTTTTTTTTTTCCCCCTAATTTCCCCAAGGACCATATTCAGGCTTCAGAATAAAGGTAAACCTGAGTTACAGGGCTTTTTTGGTGAGACTCCCTGCAGGAAACAGATGGCAAACTTAAATTGGATAATGTCAAAGGAGTTTAATAGAAATTTTTTTTTAATATTTGGACAAGAGGCAGGGGGTAAGGAAATCAAGGGGGATAGTGCAGTGCTCTGGGGCTAGTAACATCAGGAAGCTGTTAACACCTTTAGGTCTGAAGAGGGTAATGGGAGGGAGTGGTTACCAGGAGCTAGAGAAACAGAGCACTGTGTGCAGAGAGCCTCTGACAAGCACTAGGACTTGTACCAGGAGAACACAGGCAGCCCATGGAGATGCTGTGTTGTGGGAGTCAGGGAAATAAATGCCCAGATATCACTCTGCCACCCTTTCAGATCTTTTATTAATATTCCTCACTGATTGATCCCAATTGGAAGCCAGAGACAAGGATGTCATTGATATAATTCAGGTGATCAGCCTCCCAGGGCACAGAGCAGGGGACATCAGGGGATGGGCCACTCTGTGTAAATGGAGGGTATCCAGCAAAAGAATAATTCCCAGGATTTGTGTAACCTTTACTTTTTCTTTGAAGGGACAGCTTCTCTGTCAAATAGGGTAAGTGAACAGAACCTTTGGCTTCCCTTGAGTAAAAAACATATCTAGTGTCTAACTCAATCTTGCGTGTCTGTTTTGATTCAGCAATTGATGTTGATTAAAATGTTCATGTGAAAGAAATATAAAGTGAAAAGATTCATATTTTTCTCTAATTTCTGAGGGCTTATAATTCATATTATAAATAGATTCTTATAAATCCAGAACTATCCTTCAGAAAAAAATGTTTAATTGATCCAGGAACATATGGGTAGCGTCATACATGAGGCAGCTAGAGACCTCTTATATCCATTCAAAACAAAATTGTAACTTTATGAGTAGTCAGCAAAGGTAACCACCATATTATGTAAGTAACCACCCTATTGTAATCGCCATTGTAACTACCCTACAAACACAGAGTTTGAAAGGCAAATATCTTTTGTTGGGTGACATTGGAGGAACAGGTGACAGATGCAACCAACACCTTGCAATTAATTACTGGAATTTTTCAAATAGTTTATTTCCCAACTAATTGTCACTGGGAAAAATGGCACACTTAAGAAGGTAGAGACTACTGAAGATGAATGGCTTGCTCCCTGGTTTTGCTACAGGCTGGCCCTGAATCAAGCTTTACTGTCCATAAATTCTACTAACAGCCACTTATGTGGCCAAAAACTGCTCCTAAATTACCAACACTGATGCTTTCTGATTCTGTTTGGCAGAAAGCAGAGATAGCAAAGCCCAGTAAATCCCATTAAAGCTAGGACAGATGGACAACCCTGGCTTCAAGCTCTGGTTGAGCATTTCAATGCTCTGTAACATAGACAGTGTATTTACTGTCTCCTAATCATTGTCTGAGAGTGAACCTAGAGGAGGTTCTGTTCTCCACTGAACTTCTATAGTATCAGCTCCCATTTGCAGCATTGAAATTCAGCTAATTCATTCCTGCATATTCTTTCACCTCTTCAACTCCAGGAGTCCTTGGCCCTCTTTATTTTTAATTGCATGTCTTCTTTACATTACATTTTGTCTCATATCGTGATGCAGAAACAGGCAGTACTACATAGTGCAAGGAGTCATGGATTGAAACCGGAACACTGGTTTGATTCTGGTCTACACCTCTAGCTCTGTGACTAGGATGAGTTATATCATCTCATTATACCTCAGTTTCTGATGTTTAATATTGATATGATGATAAGACCCTGTTTAAATAATATGAAAGGACATAGCATAGTTTCTAATACGTAATAAGTACTAAATAGATAGTTCAATTTGATTCTGTCCTCCCTTATCATTAGGGTAGTGTGAATGCAAAAGTAGCTCACACAAAAGACTTGTTAGATTTACATTTGTTCATTTTACTCACAGTTGAAGTCATGTGACTCTGTTTATATTTCTTCTTGTCCAAATGTATAGTCCATAGCTAAGTCACACTATACAGAGATGTGCTTTTGTGGATACTTTAAGCATTGCCTATCGTCACCCCACTTTAATGCACTATATTTCAAAATCTCAGATATAACTAATCATTACTTAGCCTTCACAACTATATTGTACAAAATATTCCTTCCTTGGTAGACTGGATATTACAGGACATTTTGTTTGGTGATTCTTTGACAACTTATGTAAAGAATGCACACACACAACAAAGTTATTCAAGATATATATGTTTGTTAACTTTATGAAGTGAAACATACATGATCATTCAGAAGCCCTGTCATTGATACTCTTCTCTAACAACAAATCCCTTTACCATTTGCTACCCAGATAGTTGTATTCAGTGGCAAAGTTTATTCACAAATTCATCCTTTTGGCAGATATTTATTAGTAAGGGCCTATCATATGCCAAGCACTGTGTCAGATTTTGGAAATTCAAAGTTGACTAAGAACAGCCCTGCCATCAAACGGTAAAGGTGCATGGATGCCAAGGAGGGAAGAACAGAAATGCAAACAAAAATAAGTGACTATAGTCGATGAGAGTATATTTTTTCTTCAAAAATGCAAAGATAGTGGATGTTAAGTGTTTTCATCACAAAAGTGATGACTATGTGAGGTGATGCATTTTTAATTAGCTAGATTTAACTATTTGACAATGTACATATACTTCGAAACATCCATTGTACATGATACATATAATTTTACCTGTCAATTTCAAAAATAATTTAAAAATTATAATGTTCAATGACAACATCTATGGAAATGTGAACAGGGTCCAGTTGGCACACAGAGGGGAAATGGCTTTTTCCCTAGAATATGGAAGATTTCACTGAGGAGGAAAATAGGGGCAGGGTCTTGAAGTCAGAGTTGTCCAAGGAGGCAAAAGGATCAAAAGAAAGAGATGCATGCATGTAGAAGTGGTTGGGATGTACAGGTAATAGCAAATAGTCTGTTTTAAATAGAGAAAAAGGAACATGGAGAGGAATTGGAAGAGACAAACCTGGAAAAAAATTGGTCGAGTCCAGAATGATGGGCTTTAAACACCTTAAAATATTTGACTTTACCTTACAGTTTTTTTTTGTTTGTTTTGTTTTTTTTTTTTTTTTAGACTAGATTCGTATTTTAAGAAAGACACTAGGAACAGTAAGGAAAAGATTAAGTCTGTACCACTCTTTGAAATATTTGCCTCTATATAGGATTTTTCTGTTTCGGACTGAGTTGCAACCTTTTCTTTCTTCAGCTTATTTGTGATGCATGACATTGTACTGCTTCTGAAAGAGGATCATAATCTTTTAAATGTATTCGTTGAGAGAGTAGTCATCAGACTGGCTTGTGGAGGATTTTCTTGAGGGCATCAGATTATTTTTTCTGACTTGTATAACCAAAATACGTGTCCCAAAGGATAGGAACTGCATTCCAGCATCAGTTAAGTATCTGAGCATGGCTGCATAAGAAAGAATAAATAAAACAGGGCTTGTTTCTCAGTGCTTTGCAACGGGAGATGATTTGAAAAACTCTGACCTGATCAGCCATTTTTTCATCTGCCTGACTGGGTATGAGTGAGCCCCTGGAATAGTTGCTACATACTAATGTCTAAAATACAGGAATGAATGAGATTTGGAGAAAGAAGCGAAAGGGGTATTGACAATGATTATCTTCATTTCATGTGTGTTTTGGCCCTGTTGGTATCTGGAGCACTCTTGTTTTGCCTTTAGAAATTCAGAAGATGCTTATTATTTGGGCAAATGCAAGAAAGGATCAGACTATTATGCACAACTGCCAAGGCTCCCTAGCAATTATTGCTTCCTTTCAGGGTTGCTGCAGCAGAAGTATCTGACGTTGCTGGGGTGCTGGCAGATTCTATCTGTTGTCATTCCTCCGTCTGCTCCAGCCTCCAAAACCAGGGCCTTTGAGCTCTGCTCCCCATCTAATCAGTGCCTCCCTACCTAACGACATCCACTAATGTGTGCTAACAGATGTCTGAGGGAAAATTAGCTGTGGTGTCCAAATCAATTAGACCAGAGTTCTGTGCAGGAACAATTGCTCTGCAAGCTGTATGGGCTGTATTTTTTTTTTCCTGTTTCTTTTTTCCAAAGGTGAAGTCATGTAGCTCAGGCTCAGCTTCCCTAGTCCATATTTTCCACTTCCAGGCAGTCTACCTCAGTGCTTAATGGGTTCTGATTGGACCACCAGATGGAGATGCCTCTACCAGGTGCAGTTCCCAGTAAACAAGTTAAGAACAGGAGGGCTGCCTCAACCCAAAGGCAATGTAGCCCAGAATGTCAGCTTCAAAGTACAGCTTTGGTGTGTATTTAAATTCTAGGAAATGCTATGTTGACTGAGTTTCCTTATATGACTTATTAGAGAAAGGCAACAATTTTTATGGATGAAGAATGACTTGATTAGCTAACATGCCTACTTTAGCTCATAGAAAGGGATTTCTACCTCCTGTCTCCTAACACAAAGGCCAAATTTTCAAAAGCATGAGTAAGTGGAGTAAAGACTTTCTATTCCAAGGTTAGGCAGACCTGGACTCTGACCCTGTAAGCTATGAAACTTTGGGGAGTTTAAAATTGAGCCTAGGTTATTTCCTTAACAGAGATGCCATTTACATTGAAATGTATTTGATCTCTTTGGGGCAAAGTTTAATTATGTGTAAAGTAGGCATAATAATATCTACATCTCAAGGAAGAATCTGGTAATTAAATAAAACATTCTTAAAACAAGGCCTGTTATATAGTATATGCTCAATAAATGATAGGCATATAATCATTAATTTTTACATTCTGTTCTCAGAGACACCTAAGTAACATCCAACTTATGAAGAATTCTCACTTTTTATAAAACAGGGCTTGTTTCTCACTGCTTTGCAATTGGAGATGATTTGAAAAACTCTGACCTAATCAGCCATTTTAGGCTTTTTTTTTTTTTTTTTTTTTACCACCTCCACCCAATGAAAAATATTTTTGAGCTGTCTGTGGTTATATACTTTTTTTCTTATCATCTTTTCCCAGGTTTGCTGACTCTCCAAAATATGACAGTGAAACCTCTAACCACTACCACTACTGCCTTCATTCCCTACTTGTTTCCTGCCACATTCCCTTCAAAGACATTCATTGTGATCTTCTATAAACTTTTATGTTGAGGAAATAAATACCTGTCCCCAAAATAGGACCAATGCTCATAATAAAAATTAATAAATGATTGGTAAAGATAATAAAGTGCAGAATTTAGAGGCACTTGAAGAAAGTAGTTAAATTTCTTCTCTTTTATTCTACATGCCTATATTTGGAGTTTCATCTTGCTTAGGTTAGACGATCCTTTTGAACATTTTCAATAACTGTCTTTATGCTGCTCATAATCCTTCAATACCCTACTGCTTATTTATGTATTCCATTTTAAAGCTAAGAACCTTTGTGAAGCCTACCTCAGGCAACCCATGTATATGGAATGATCCTATTTTCAAAACGTCTGACATTTGCTACAAAGCTTTTTCAGAAATGGCAGCCTGGGTTTTTTTGTTTTTTGTTTTTTCTTTCTTTCCATTCTGGAAATGTAATCACGACTGAAAGGCATCTAGTCTTTTCAGGGCATCTTCCACTGCTGGAGGAAGTGGAGACACAGAAAGAAATGGAAGCCACTCCATGCAGCCTGAGCTCCCCATGCTCACCTCTCCTTCTTACAAACACAGGTTTTGTTCACATTACCCTCCTGTACAGCCTTGGAGGTCTGGCCAGCTGGGGCTGTGAGAGCTGAGGATTGTGATATATGAATTACCTTCTAATCAGAAACCAGTGGGGTTGTTTTATCTTCATAAAGATTGCTTCTTTTGTTTTGCATTAGTTTTTTTTTTTTTTTAGATACAATTATATTTCTACTTTCAGCTGCTAACTGTGGCCCAGAAATAGAGACCTGTCAGACTCCCCATTTCAGTCTGTCACCCTTTTATGCATGAAACGGTTCTCCATGAACACACAAACATCACACTCAGCTCTGTCAGATCAGCTTCATGGCCACATTTATCAAAATTATCCCAGAGTCCCTTGCAGAGACGAATATTAATAGGGTTCATTTAAAACCAGGAGTGTTACTAATGCTTTTTTCTGTGTGCTAAATGGGAGGAAACAAGAATTACACAAACAAACAAAAAAGAAAGGTAGGGTTGTTAGAATAGTTAATAAGGCGAGGTGAAATCTTTGGGCAAGGGGAAATAACGCTGAGCTTTCAGAAATTTTGATACATCAATTTACATATTATTATTCCCATTGCTTTCCATCCAGAAAGCAAAGCAGCCTTTCTCTGTGTACTCAACACACTGCAGGTAATCAAGCCTGAGCATTTTCCCTGAGTACCTTCTATCTGTCCATCTATCTGGAGCATTCTTAATAGGTAATATATTAATTAAAAAGGGGATAATGTTGTCTCTGCATTCAATTGGTAAAGAGGGCTCATGGAGGAAGAGTAGAGCAACTTTTGAAAGCATAAGTGGAAAGACATTAAGAATTTTTCTTTAATTTTTATTTTATTTTATTTTTGAGACGGAGTCTCGCTCTTTCGCCCAGGCGGGAGTGCAGCGGCGCGATCTTGGCTCAGTGCAAGCTCCGCCTGACCGGTTCACGCCATTCTCCTGCCTCAGCCTCTGGAGTAGCTGGGACTACAAGGCGCCTGCCACCATGCCTGGCTAATTTTTTGTATATTTAGTAGAGATGGGGTTTCACCGTGTTAGCCAGGATGGTCTCCATCTCCTGACCTCGTGATCCGCCTGCCTCGGCCTCCCAAAGTGCTGGGATTACAGGCGTGAGCCACCGCGCCCGGCAAGAATATTTTTTTATTTTCATTTTCATATAGATCCATTTGCACACAACAGACCAGGTCTTATTGGCAGGTCTGCTTCACAGAGCAGCAAGCTAACTTAGTGGTGTCCCTAGTAAGTTTTGTTGGATAGCATTTCACACTGTGATGCTGCTTTTATGCCCAGGAAATGCCATTTTGTTGCCTTGTGTGGGGTGACATCTGCTCTGAGTTAGGTAGATACTGCCATCATTCCTTCCTCAAGCAAAGTAGAGAATCAGAAGCAACCTTTTTGTGTCCATTGGCATTAAGCTGATTTTCATAATTATGTATTATCCCGCCAGAATTATCATGTTTCACATTCTACATGGAAGAAGGTAAACAGAATGCTTGTCTTAGACCCTTGTCTGCAATCACCTAAATCGGAAAGTTTTTGATGAGTTGGTTAGTTTGTTTTTAAAAAAAGCATATGATAACCAGAGAGGAGTGTTTAAAAAGTAAAAAGTAATGGTAATAAGTAAAACCATCAATTTTTAATTAAGTGGAACAGCATCTCAAAGAATGTAAATTCCATCCAAATGAGTGAATACTACTCGTTTCCAATAGATAGAGGCCAGGGATGTTGCTTTATATCATGTAAAAACTCCCACAACAAATAATTATCTAGCCCAAAATTTCAATACTTCCAAGGTTGAGAAGCTTTGTACTAGAAAGGTGTAAAATTTCCAAACAGATCAGGGATAGATTGAGCGATAAAAAAGGCACTGGGTCATTATACTCCTGGAGTTTCTAGAATAGGAACACAGTTGTTTATACAACTCTGACTGAAAGATTATCCACCTTGTTCAGTAACATCATTCTTTGCTACCAAGTATGTGTGTCTGGCAGAGACACATACATGCAGAATGGTGAAAAAGAAAGAAATCATGCAGACAGATTACTTGATTAAGAACTGCTCATTAGGCCAGGCACGGTGGCTCACACCTGTAATCCCAGCACTTTGGGAGGCCAAGGCGGGTGGATCACGAGATCAGGAGACTGAGACCATCTTGGCCAACATGGTGAAACCCCGTCTCTACTAAAATACAAAAAATTAACCGGGCATGGTGGCATGTGCCTGTAATCCCAGCTACTTGGGAGGCTGAGGCAGGGGAATCGCTTGAACCTAGGAGGCAGAGGTTGCAATGAGCTGAGATCGTGCCACTGCACTCCAGCCTGGCAACAGAGCAAGACACTGTCTCAAAAAAAAAAAAAAAAAGAAATGCTCTTTATTAGACTGGTAGATACTGATACTGCCAGAGTCTTAAGACCGATAGAACAGAACAGATGTAGGATTCTAACCCAGACTATTTTATCATCCATAAAATAAAAATATTTGGTATTTCCATTAGTACCATTAATAGCTCCTACAGTAGGACAGAGGATTAAATGAACAATTATGTGCAAAACACTTAGTAAGTGCTCAGTGAATGTTAGGTATTGTTATAACCCTTCATATCTTATCATAGTGGGAACATGATAATAGGTAATCCTAAACTTGATAGAGTTACACATGCCTCAGAATAGTACACATAAAATTTTAAGGCAGTGAAGATCCTGTTCATCACCTAACATTATCCATAACCTTAGTGCACAATTAATTCTAAGTGAATTGTATAATATATACATATGTTGGTTCTATTATAGCAGTGTGTCGAGATATATGTCAAGGAAAAATAAGTAGCATAGTTTACTTCAAGCATAAATTAATCATCCAAACATATCCAAGTAAAATAACCATAGGAAAAAAATGCCCCCACATTTATGAAGTTTTCAAACCTGGCTGCTATATAAAATGATGTATTCCATTTTAAAATCAAGGTGTTTTTTTTTTGTTTTGTTTTGTTTTTTTTTGCATGCTTTCATTTACTTTTGTGGTTCCCAAAACATATGTATGACTTTGCTTCCTTCTTGCTGAATTAAAATCAAGTGTTATCTCAGGAGTTGTATATATTGAGAGGACTGAGAGGTTTCTGGTTGGTATCAAGCATTTGCTTCTACTGTCATTTTTTATGGTACACATCTCTATGGCACGATCAATGTTTGAAATCAATGCTGTTTGAAAGTGCAGCACCTAAGTTCCTCCGCTCTTTGTCCAATACAGGAACAAGCAGAAGAGGCTTCATCCCAGGGACACTCAGTTCAATCATTTACTTGCAAAAGGACTGAATTTTGAATATAAATCATATTTGTCTGCCTAAATTCAGAGGCCTTTGATTCTATAAAAGGGGAGAGATGATTTTGAGATCATATGTGTTTCATCAATCTTTGGCTAAACTTTGGACAAGCATGTTTGATAAATTGATGTTCATTAACAAGCAACTGTGCAATTCAGAAATCACTTATTTGTTATATATTCTTCTTTTGATTGTTCCTCAGAATCAATTCACCATTTTGTTGGCTAATATGGGCCTTAAAAATATGTAGGATCAGGCATGGTGGCTCATGCCTATAATCCCAGCACTTTGGGAGGCCGAAGCAGGAAGATTACTTGAGGCCAGTAGTTTGAGACCAGGCTGGGCAATATAGTGAGACCCAATTTCTACAAAAAGTTTAAAACTTATCCAGGTGTGGCGGCTCACACCTATGGTCCCAGCTACTCTGGAAGCTGAGGCGGGATGCTCACTTGAGCCCAGGAGGTTGAGGCTATAGTGAGCTGTAATCACACCACAGCACTCTAGCCTAGGTGACAGAGTGAGACCCTGTCTCCAAAAAAGTAAATAAATAAATACAATTAAATTAAGAAAACAAATTAGCCAGGCATGGCGGCATGTATCTGTAGTTCTAGCAACTCAGAAGGATTGCTTTAGTCCAGAGATTTGAGGCTGCAGCAGGCATGAGCCACTGCACTTCAGCCTAGGCAGCAGAGTAAGACCCTGTCTCTTAAAAGAAAAAAAAGGAAGAAAGAGAAGAAAAGAAAAGTGACCTCATTTACTCTAGCCACTTCAGGTTTCCTAACATGAAGCTGCCTTGGGAGACTCCTCCATGGCCACCTACATTCCATCAAAGGTATTCCAAACGGTGTTATCACAATTTTATTTGAGATTATGTTCACTTCTTTTGTGGAATTGCTAGGGCAGTTAATAATGGCAGAAATACAGAAGTGAGAAACAACCAATGGAATAAGAATGGTGGGTACACAAATAAACAAGAGATGGCATGTAGAGCATGTGCATTTCAAGGTTATGTGTGCTTTATGTAGAGGGAAAAATGAATGTAGTTTTTTTGTCCAGATGAGCTCTACACAGATAGCAGTCATTTCTCCTTGCTTATCTGAGACCGTTGGACAACTGTCACCTCCCTTCATCTCCTTTCAGCGAAGACAGATTGCTCTCATCAGCTTTCCATTCTGAATTCTTCTCCCTTGACCTGTGTCTCTTAAGTCCCATTCTGGCAGTGGGAACATACGCATTGAATTTTCTTCCATCTATAGAAATACTGGAGTGAGGTCAGAATCATAGTGTTTTGCCTGAGAGTTCCCCTCCCCTCAACTGTGTTTACCCAGGAAGGATAAAACTATCCACACATAACAGGAATTTGCTTTCTCTTTGGGTATGTCATTCTACTGTGCACTGTGCTTCAGCGAGCTTTCCATTGCCTTCTGTTTAATTCCACTCCCAGTAAGTAGAAAAGGGGACCAGTTTTTTTCCCCCCCCAAAGAGAGGCAGAGTAAAGAGCTGCTGTTACCTGGAGCGTGGGGACTCAAGATGAGACAGGGCTTTAGCGATGTATGTTGAGGGCAAAAAGGAGGACTTTGAAAGGTGAACCTTAAAGAGACAAGCTGGTCATTGAAAACTAAATTGCCAAACTTGCCTCCAGTGAACAAATGCACCTGCCATTCGTATTGCAGCCAATTTGCTGTTTCTACTTTTATCTCTCTCACGCAGCAGGCTCCAAACTCTCAAAGGTTTTCCTGTGGCCTCTCTTTGTAATGCCCCACCCAGCAGGACTGTTAGATAGAGGCTTCTGTGTAGGCATTTTATTCCCACCTTCTCTCCCACTCATTGCATTAAAATAAATTGAAACAATAATATTCCCAAGAGAAGTAAAGTTCTAAGGAGCAACAGCTCTTCCTCCAAACCCTAATGCTACTGGAAGCTGTCCAGCTTTTCAAGATGGTGCATGGTGCCTCCATAAAATACAGGCACTGGAGCCTAGCCACCAAGGGAGAGACACTCTGTGCTGTTAACACGTTACTTAGGTGTGAAGTAATGCTTTTAAATGTACTCTCACAGAGTGAATAATAGCTTCTGGAGAAAGACTTCCTTTGATGGATGAAATTGTATAAGCAGGGTCTCATCCCCAAAGCATTTTTTGCCATGTGCAGAAATGTTTGATAATGAATGATCATCAAGTGACTAGTTTTAATTACCTAAACAGGAGGGGGAAACACCATCTTTCCATAAAAAGAATTCAGAATGACAAATGTAGATTTGCTTATGTGAAAACATTCAATTCAATCATTTCCAAAAGATTTGTTTCAACATGTATTGTTGAGCTTTCACAATAGCTTACATTTCTCAACCCTGAAAGATGCTTCCAGTTACAGACTTCTAATTCTCTATGCCTGTGGTTCTCTGAAGACACCTCTATACATTTAAATATAGGCTATTGCAAACACTGGCAGGGAAAAAAAGAAAGACCTTGGAACTGCATCAAATATAGGTTGTTTTTATCCTCCCTCTCTCATGAAAACCTGAAGTAAATGCTATGCAAAGTATTCTAATGCTGCCTTAAGGTTGGTATTTTTATTTGCACAAAAGAAACATTATTCAATTGTGGTTTCTCAATCAACTATAACTCTTACCCAATATAAGGGAAGATCTCAGTCTTTTGTCTTATAACATGCAGAAAATGACAAGCATTTGAGCAATATTTCTATTCTGTTGCCCTTCGTGGTCTTTCTGACTTGCACTTCTCTCTCTTACTTTAGGCCAGCCAAATGAACAGCCTTCAATTAAAAGAGGAAGTGCTAAGTGACTGTAGTGTGTATCTCAGAATGAGAGGCGGGTGTATATATATAGCATACATCTCAGAGAAGGGGAGAGAGCTCTCATCTGAGAGCAAAGGAATTAGAAATAAAAAGAAAGTATTCAAGGCATTCCACGGTTCAAGAAATAAATCCTATTTAATGCTTTAGTTTTCTCTACAGAGATGTTACAGATTCAAGTAAATAAAAGTTGCTGGTCACCTGTTACCTCCCAAAAGTGTATGTCCAGAGAGAGGTCTCTGGCCTTCACTGATACATTTATTCATGCTTTCCCTTTCTGTGTTCCAGAGAAATATTTCAAATCACTATTTCTGATGTTCCAATCAGGTGGCACTGGCGTCTTCAGAGATTAGTGACATTTATTATGAATACTTCCTATATTCCAGACATCATGTATTTCACACGCATTATTTTATTTAAAATTTGTAAAGGCCTATAAGTTAATTTTCCCATCCTTCAGGTGAGAAAACTGAAAGATTAAGTAATTTCCCCAAGATTAAATAGCTAGTAAATTGAGGAACTGGGACTGAAACAAGGCTCTGAAACCCAGTGTCTAACCACCAAATTATACACTATGAATACATATTGAAAGAGATAGTCCCCATCCTCTTGGATCTTCAGACATCCTTTGTTCAGGACATTGATCACACTCATATCTTTTATTCTAGATCCCTGGCCTCTTATGTTCATCCATATAAGGAAGCATTAACCATGAGACTATGGAAATTCAGCTCAAGGGTTAGTCCTCCTGGTTCACTTCTAAAATGCTCATCTAAACAGAATAAGCTTATACCACTGAAGTTGAGTACAATCTTGTCATATAGGACATTACTGATATATATATATCAGTATGATTATATATATGATTATATATATGCACATACAAACTATAAAGGTGTGCTAGGCCAAGTATAACCACATAGTCATGGGACATATTCTGCAAGCCCTACATAAAAATCAGTAATGTTACCATACAATTCTGGCTCAATTTTATCTTCCTTTTGTGCTTTCTGAGAAGAAGATTACATAAAAGAAAATATTCTAAGCATATATACCCAATATACTTTCCCTAAATGATTTAGTTAATCCTTGTGTCTGTCCTGGAATCTAGAAAATTGGAATGTTATTTTTATCTCTTTGGAGATAAAGAGACTGAACTATGGAGAGATTTTGTAGCATGAAGGAGCCCTACTGAGAGTCAGAGAAAGTATGGGGCTCAAAATCTAGGTCTCCTGAAGCCTTGCATTTAGTGAATGGGACTGCTCTTAGATAACTGCTTACTTATGTAGGCCAGATCTTATTTTCTATCCAGAGTCACACATTTTCAGTTTGTCCCTCTCACTATTATCCTGAAATCCTCCCTGGTTGGCCTTAAAAATAGCTTCTGTACTAGAAATATATTCAGTGAAATTCCTTTATGTTTTTCTTATGAAGAAATGATTGTTTAATAAGGAAACCTGCAAAATGCCAAATATAGAATTGTTTCACTATGGGAAACTGAGAACATACTTGACCTATGTTTGAAATCTTATTTGTTCTGATAAAGCATAATTTTGTATTTCAGTAAGGGAAACTAATACAGAGGTCCCCGAGTCCTTGCATTGATTATGTAACAGATTTTCCTTAAATAATTCCTGAGGTATTGTCTTTCTCCTCTAGCTGGAGGAAGAAAAAAAGATCTGCAGGTACAAAAGATACCAAGACAGAGAGAAAGCCAAAAATATTATCCAGGACTCATTTATTCCAGCAGCTATGCTATTTACTAGCTAGCATATGCAAATGGAGAGAAACTTGGTTATAGTACCTGGACTGCAAAGTAAGAATTTTTAGTACAATATTTCCTCAAGCAATTTCTAGAAATACTTGGTACTGTTCATTATCTTAATAGTTGTGAATGGAAGTTGTGACTCTATTGATGAGAATGCCATTTTGCTAATTCAATAATACTCTTATATTATCTTTGTTTAGATTTTACAGAATACTTTCTTTGACACTATGCATTTTATAAAATTCCATTTTGAGATTGCCAAATTTCCAGGCTCAGTGACTTATAGGTTAGGGGCCTGGAAGTAGCCACTTACAGGTTTTTAGCACCAAAGATTTATAATTGGGGTGGGCTCACAGATAACGAATGCCTGACAGGCAGTGAAGACAAAAGTGAGGCACAGAATTAGTCAAAGACATCAATTTCTGACTCTGAACTGTGGCTTCAGAATCACAGAGCAGAGAAGTTCCTATAAGGCCTATATCTCTTACAAGGTGACGGCCTCTGTCAGGCAGGAGGCTATAACTCGTCAGAAAATAAAGAAGAAATGGATGAGTAGACTGGAGGATTAATTGTGTACTCATTAACATCCAAAGTCTCCATTCAATGGAGGAAGAAAGAGTTTCCATTCAGTGGTCATAGTCAGGAAACATGAGGGACTCTGAGAGGACATCATATCAAGTTTCTGACTTTCAGACCCATACACTCCTAAATAAAAGTTGTGTAATTTTCTCTTCTTAATGATGCTTTCATCAGAGTCATTTTGGTCATTAATGTTAGTGGCTGAAGCAGATACTACTGAGTTCTCATGACTTATTTCTTGCTCATGTAGTCCAGTTCAGTTTATGCATGCCTCTGTTACGTAGCAGCTATGCCTTCTTGATCGTGTATCCACCACAGTCGCTGTGACAAGGTAAGAAGGGGCTTTTATTTAAGGGCTAGGCCTCCATATTGCTTACCTCACATTTCCCAACATTTTCTTGGCTACAGCCCAGTTGTATGGTCCCAAAGGAACCCCAAGAGGTTGGAGAATGTCGAGAAGCAACATAGATACTTGGTGAGCACTGACAGCCTTCTCCACAACGTCCAATGACATAATAGACAATAAATTGAGAATACCATTCAGAAGCACATTGAAAGTTAAGAGCACACACATTCATTTTTCCAGGAAGCAGATGGACTAAATGGTGAGGTCCATGGTCGCTGGACAGAGTATAAACAGAGCTAATTTAAGAAATATCTGGGTGGAAGCCTAGTGTATAAACCAAGGATTAAATGTTAATGTGTTTGTCTTTGTTTTTTTGCATCAATTAGGAGAATGTGTAGCATTTGAAATATTTTAATGAAAGATGTTAAATAGGAGAGGCTAGATCTGCATTTGGAAAATTCACACGTCTATGTAAAGTGTCACTCATTTCCCCACCCCCTTTTCCTTCTCTTGACAAATTATTATCATATTAGTAGACTAATTTGATGTTCCCTTTGTCCAGTGTAAGTGAAACATTTCTATTACTCCAGGTTAGGACCTATAATCTAAGGTGTACTTTGAGTCAAACAATGTAGCATCTGATTGAAACAGAGAGAAAGGTTATACAGTTTTTAATGTGTGAATGAGGAGTCATGTTTCACAAATAGCAGTAGCATATAAAATTTAACATGTGACTGTCTTAATCCCAAACATGTTATCAATTACCAGCATAGCAGGTTTCTGTTTGGTTCCTAATTTTTCTTTTTTACAGTGTTTTAAGATACTTTAAAAAACATCTATAATAATTTACTCTACTTTGTAATTAGACTTAGTGATTAGAATCTTTTTCACTTACATAACTGTTTTCCCTTAAATGGATGGCACCAGCTGGCTTATAGCTGAAACCTGATCTGACTCCCAAAGCCATCAGAGGGACCAGCATAAGGCAAAGCCTAATGTGTTGTGCAGCTTCATGAAAAGTCAGTAGAGAGGAGATGTTTTGCATTCTTTTACGTTTCTTTGGTAACACTATATATATGTTAAATATGTTGGAGAAGATTTTCTTTGAGGCTTAAACCTTAGCTTCTCTGGGCATACCTTCAATTTTCATAACATGGAAAGAGGCTAATATTATGTTCTCTCACACAGCCTGTAATCATTAGAGGAAGGGCAAATAGCTAAACATTTGCAGTTTGGAGTTGAGCCACTTGGGGTATTTTACCATCAGGAGAAATGTGATGGCTGTATAATTAATGAAAAAGCATTAGCAAAAGGCTAAGAGAGCAAAGTAATCACAAGTGGCCCTGAGTATTGTTTCCTTGTAATTTTACACATGGTATTGAAGATTCGTTAACTCCCTTATCACACAGCTAATGAAAAGCCATATCAAACTAGGCACTGTGCTTTCTGCTGGTATGACAAGTCTGACTCTTGGAAATAAAACACCCTATGTCCAAAGTCTCTGGGGGCCAAGTTATATTCCAGATGAGGTTAAGTGACTTGCCAAAGGCAGAGGGAGGATGGGTAGAGGAACAGACAGGGAGCAGCTCGCCCTTTCCTCATGGATTAAAAAGGAAGAGATATGGGCTGAGAATCAAGAATATTCCTGGTGGCCACCAGGCCTGGTTCTCAGTCCATCTGGAGCTGTTTGGAACCGATAAAAACAGGAATCCTACTCACTGCTGCTGCATGTGTCTCTGCCTTGTGCAGTCTGTGGCTCACTGAGAACAAAGGATCCCTCATGTCAGGTACCTTAACTGACTGTGCCAATGTGCATCCAATTGCATGACCACCATGACCATCTTGTCCTAATTCTTGCTTTGTAACCTGTCTCATGTGCTTGTAATGGGACATAGAGACAGTGGGAGCCGCTCACTTTCCTCATCCTGTGCTCAATTTCCTTAGAGTTTCTATAGAAACTCAAATGTAGTCTCTATAGATTTCCAGCCCAGACCCTATGGAAAAGCTACTATCCCTGCTGGCCACAAGGGCAGTACCAAATATAGAGCTGATGCAAAGTCAAGCAAGAAAAATTCCTCCTTTCTTCCCTTGTGGACGAGCTGCTGATTCCGACCCATTCTCAGGCACATCTGCATCACGTTCTCCCCACACCCAGCCCTATTTTTCCAGCAGTCAGGTTTTTTTTCTATATGAACCCAGAGTTCCAGTGGCAGTTAAAATCATTTCTTGTTGGAAGGAAGGGTCAGTGGACACATCATGTTGTATAAGCACAAGCATTACCAGATGGATACAAACACAGTCACAGAGGGTCGTGGCTGCCACAGAAATCATTCGCTAGAGTGCTCTGGCCCCGCAGCATGTTACGGAGAGACTGCTTTTTGTGAGAATTGATCAGCTCTCCTAAACACAGGTGTTGTGCGTGTTTATGTGTGAGACCGGGAGCCACGAGGGGGAGATTTCTATAGGCAGCGTTTGTTTCCTTAGGACATAGAGGTTTGAATAAAACATCACGGCAGGGTGCAGAAGTAAGAGAAGAGAAATCTTTTGACATTTTCTCCATAACATGCCCAGGGCTCTGAACAGACAGGTGGAACAAGAGGCCCCTCCATGTCTAACTTCACATTTAGCTCAAGATTAATGAGAGGCTTGCCCCATTTGGGATTTATTTGTGGAAGCAAAGATGGAATGCTCCTTCTCACCATCATCGCCATGCCCCCCTTCTTGAGTTTTAAAAAGAGAAGGGAGAGAGGAGAAAGACCATTTCATGTTGGCCAAATTGAGGGAAGTGATACAGGCAGTAAACAGGCTCATAGAAATGGATCTAATTTCCATTGCAAAATTGTTCAAGCTTTTCAAGTTGCACATATGAATATTATCACCATTATTTAGAAAAATACCTCAAAATCAGAAAGTAAATCCTTAACCATGTAATCTTAGAACTGAATAATGCAGGAAAAAAACTAACTTCAGTAAACGAATCTCCCATTGCTTCTACGCAATCAGTGGCATTTCCATTTCTATGCTGAGCACAGCTACCCACCTAACCAGACTTTCTTATCTCTAGTTGTGCCCCAGTTATCTTGGCCTCTGTTTAATTTAATCAATATGACAGCATCTAATTTGTCAGTTATCAATTATTTATTTATTATTTATTTAAATTTTTTTGGAGACAGGGTCTTCTTTGTCACCCAGGCTGGAGTGCAGTAGCATGATCATAGCTCACTGCAGCCTCCATCTCCCTGGCTCAAGCAATCTTCCCACCTCAACCTCCTGAAGAGCTAGGACTACAGGTGTGTGCCACCATGTCCAGCTAATTTTTTTTCCATAAATTTTTCATAGAGATGAGATCTTGCCATGTTGCCCAGGCTTGTCTCAAACTGCTGCTTCACACCTCAGCCTTCCAAAGTGCTGGGATTACAGACATAAGCCACCATGCCTGGTCAGTGGTATATAATTTAGTTTGTGAAATATCAAAGCTTTCCTTTCATCTTGACATAATCAAAAGAACTGGTCATGAACTTAGTACTTTCACTCTCTAGCTTTGTGATTTCAGTCAAGAGACTGAAACTCACTGAGCCTCAGTTGTCCAACCAATGTAAGGGTGAGACATAGTGGTAATGATACCTGTCTGAGCTATCACACGGGCATGTGGTATGGATCAAATATGGCAAGGCATATACCAGTGCTTTGCAAACTGTATAAAGTTATGCTACCTTAGATATTATTATTAATTACTGTCATTATTACTTTTATTATTTCTTCTCACTTTTCTACTTGTTTGTATTTTCTTTTATTATGTAATGTTGATTTGCCCCTCCAAAGAAGGGCAAACAAAGATAAAAAGGAAAAAAAATCTAACTCATATTCATCAATTCAAGGTTTCGTTTGGGATTTCTCTCCCCTATCCCCATCCCAAACCCTGCATGAATGACATTATGTACCTCTCTGGAATTTTCAAACTTAATTAGAATTACAGAAATTCTATCTCTCCTAGCTATGTTTAACCTTTGCAGCAACTACTGTGTTTTCTATCATTATTATAATTTTTGAAACAATTAAAATTGACGTGAATGTATTAATTAATTCACAATGGTAACTCTATTTGTTTAGAAGGAAATAATGTGTATGTTCCACATTCTATTTAAAATGGTTCATGGTAAGCTTTGAGCAGGGGCAATGCAAAGAAAGAAATTCTAAAACCTCCTGTGAATCATATTCTTGGTCTAAATATTCTATCTTCTGGGCCCTTAAGCAGTGGCAAAAAACAACTTTTATTATTTTCATTGTATTCTAGGCATGCTTTAGTTCACCCTAGTTGTTTCTGTTAGAATCTACCTCCGTCTCTACATGCAAAGAACACTGTATGCCTTAAGCAACTAAAAAAAAAAAAAAAAAAAAAAAAAAAAAAAAAAAAAAAAAAAAAAAAAAAGAATTTAGGCTAGTTATGTAGGCATGAAATCATTACATTTAAGAGATCCTTACAAGCACCAGAGTTATCTCTACACATTTCTGATTCCCAAAATGAAATGAAAAATTAGATGAACAGTAAGCCATTTTGAAAAAGTAAGAGTAACTCTTCATATTATTTTCATGATAACCTCCTGCTGGTACTTCTGCTGAAACAAGAAAACATGGTTGATCTAAGTCATAATTGTTATTGTTTTATCCCCTCATCACCTTTTCTCATGCCTGGCACAATGTCTTTATGTGTTGTAGGCACTCAGTAAATTTTGTTTTGTATGATCCTTAAGCATAATAGACAGGGAATTGTTCCCCGAACCCTTTATACTTCTATTTTCTATTCACTTATGGGTCCTTTCTGTCTGGTTTAAAATCTTCCTTGCTTTTGATATAATGACTTATCTTTTATCATATTATCTTAATAGCTAAATAATTCATTCATGGGATATAGGCAATATTTCCTCACATTCAATTTTTTCAATTCAAAAATTGAATTCAAAAATTAATTCAAAATTAATAGAACACAGAAAAAAATATTTTGGTTGCCCATGACATGTTTTGAAGTTTTTAAGGATATGTCATGTTTTAGGGCTAAATCCTACTGGCTTCCCCTGGAATAAGGAGTGGATTTCTGGTAGATGCCAGGAATGCAACCCGAATTTTCATCTGCTCTAAGAATTATACCATGCAACTTCCTTTCACATAGAAAAATATATCTTTTGGAGTATAAAGGGGAAAAGTACACTTTTCTTTTCTCTGATAATGTCTTAGGGTGCCATTTCGCAGTTGGAATTCATTCAATTGCTATTTGCCACCTACCCAAGGTAGCCTGATATTTTTTGAGCTTCCCTCTGTTTGCTACCCACATTTCTGCCAAGTAAAACCATCTGCTCTGGTTGGACAGTATCTAAATCCTGTTCTGTTAGTACCAGAAACATAAAAGTTATTTTGCCTAGGTAAAGGAAAGATAGTAATTTTATTCATTCTATCTACTTAAATCAGCATCTGTATGCTTTCCCAAATTAGCAAAAACAAATATCCAAATGGCTGGAATAAGAGTCTGGGAATATGAGATTTCAGAGAAGTTGCTGACTTGCTGAGTAACAGCAGCTTCAGTGAGCAGACTCAGAAGGGTTCCATTTGCTTTTATTTAGCAAGGCAATGACCCGTCCATGGGAACAGCCACTTGACATCACACAGAGTGCACCTATTGCTGAAGCAGCAATAATGGACACGCTTAGCTGAATGCACTTGCTGGTGTCTGGATAATTTGTCCCTTTTCTGAACTAGAACACTCGCTTAGATTCTGAGGTGATCGTGAACATTTAATACATATAGAAAAATTTCAATTTAATATACCTTGATTTTAGGTAGACTAAGGGACTCTCAGTTTGCAGATATCCACGCTACACATGTGTCACCAGCAGAGAACATTCACCACTGGTTGGTATATAAATGAGCTACGTAACATTTCTTTGTCCCATGGCTACCATGTTTAAGTTATTTAGAGCCATCTAATTCAAATTAACCCTCCTTTTTGATGGTAGCAACTGTCTGGATGAGTCTCTAGGGACTGTTTTGTTGTACATCTGACTTCCTGGGACAGTGCTTGGGGCTCATAAGGCCACTTGAGAATGTAATAATGTAGGGCTCAAAGGCCCAAAAGAGTGTGCTTTACCCAGCTTACACCTTTAGGCAGCATAGTAAAATGCTGGCTACATCTCGGAGGACTACATAACTGAAGCTTCAAGCACTAACTTTTAGTTACTTGTGCAGTTCAGAAACTGCTCCTGTCTGATGAAAAGAGGATTAAAGGGAGATGACTTTTTCTTGACCATACATTGTCTTAATATGTCATTTTTATTAGCTTCCAGCTCCAGTTTCCCTGAGTTTACTACATTAACACACACGGTACCTAGCATTGCTTTGTTTTGTGCATACATTTTATCTTTTCTTCTAAATAGTTAGCATATTATCTCTCTTACCTTGAGTTATTTGGATCATCACTTAATGCATGCATGAATGTAGCATTAGTAATCACTCCTGGCAGAGAAATTTGAGTAACTGATACTTATAATGAGTTTTTTCTACCCTCAGCTTCACCTGACACTCAAAGAAGCTATAGTTTCTGTATTTTTTCTACTTTCCCATGAAATTTGTGTCTAAATGAAATCATGTTCCAGTAAAATGTGATTCAAATGCCGACCCCACAGGCTGATGTTTCTTGCTTTGCAAATGGATCCTAATAGAAGTGGGAACTAGTGCTAGTGGAAAAGATATTCTCACTGCCAGTTGTATTCTACTACAAGGTCTAAGGCTTCAGAGACTCCAATGACAGCCACAAATCACCTGGCAATATCTGTTGTTTACAAGGACAACAAATTAAAGAAGACCAATTTTTTATGGAGACATGACAAAGTATGTAAAATTGTGACAATTTTATTTTGGCAGCTTTTTCTTGGAAAAAGGAGTCAGCTAAGTTTCTAAAAAATTTGGTGAAAATTATTTCACTCATGGTATATATTCTTGCATTTTTGTGTCACTTTTTATTGGAGATATAAAGTGTCTAGACATCTATTAAATGGCTCAACATACTGGCATAGCTCTCCATAATAGTAGATAAAAGCTCAATACATATCTTTGGGGTAATTTATTGTTAATGCCACAATTAATGATTAATTATAAATTATAGCAATTATCTACACCTTTTGGCAATCATGGAGTCTGCAAAAATATAACTAGAATGCCATTAGCCACAGAAATGCATAGGCTATTTTACCATGTTATCCTAGGAGGGCTCAAGCCAACACTTCTTTATTAGCTAGTTTTAGTATGTAATAAATAATAGGTACATTTGTCAGACCTCTTATTGCTTTGTAGATAGACCAAGTTCAAATGCATTATCTTATTTGACCCTAATGTCAATCCCATAATATCGCCTAATGCCAACCTTGTACCTCCAATTGCTAGGTGAGGAAACTAAAGCATTTAAATAATTTGTTATAGTTTGGTCATTTATTCACTCAAAATTGGTTAAGCACCTACAAAGTGCCTGATGACGGAGATTCAAAAGCAAATGTCAGAGAATATTCTGCTGCACTGTGAGCTAGTGGCTGGGCAGGATCACAAATCCCCTGGCTCTCAATCTAGTACACTGTGCTACATTTCCCAGTCCTGTCATCCATCCTGGAAACTCCCACACCATGCAGCAAAACATGCTTTAGTGGCATTTTCAGAAACAAAATGCCAGGTTAGATGGATGTTTGATGTTTCACTAGATGGCATTTATGTGTTGCATTGTGTATTTTTATTCTCATTGTTGAATCCTGGGAGTATGCTTATTAAATACAGCAAGTGCTGCTCAAGAAACATTGTGTAGATTTTTGAACCCAGTTCTTACATAGACACACCATATTCTTTCATAGCCTGTGACATATGCAAATAAACAGGGCTTAAGCTTTTCCTGCTGTACCAAAGAAAAGTTAAAAATTAGGGAGTTGGTGGTGTTTCTTTAAGACCCCACCATCACCACATACACAGTAGTGTATACACCTTGCCCCATCTTTGAATGAACAATAACTAATGAGACTAATTTGTTGCTAATTTGTACCATTAGAAATGGCACTTTGAATTGAGTACAAATAATAACCGCTAATTATTTGAGGTTAGGGAAATGAGCCAACTGACCACTTTTCTCTCCTACTCTGGAACTGATTAGTTTCCCTCTGATGGTTGTTCAGTTAGGAACCAAGTATAAAGGCATTAAAACATTCACAGCTGGAATTAAATGGCTTTGTAGATCTAAGGTTGTTTTAAAGCAACCAAACTGACAGATACAAAACCAATGCTTAACGTGCAACAAAGCTAGCATGTGGAAGCCAAAGGAGTATCTAGGCAGAGATGACAACAGTTTACCTCTGTGGAAAGTCCCCTCTTCAAATTTTCCCCTTATTATGGCTAATCCTTACTTTGCAAAAATTAGGATTCTTTGATTTAAGCAATAGAAATTGACTGGCTAGTCTGATGTATAAAGCAGGTGGTCCATTGGAAGAATATGAAATAACACAGAATTGAAGGAAAACAGAAAAACTTTACTTCAGCAAGTACACAAGCCCCGTATCTCTGGATATCCAAATAATAACCTCAAATAATTAGTGGCAAAAACTAGTGAAGAATAATAGTCCTTTTAGGTGGTTACTCTTTCATGACGTGTACTAACCATTGCTGCTGAACAAATCACTTCAAAATCAGGAGCATAAAATAATAGTTATTCTTTATTTTGCACAAGTGGGGAAGTCAGCTGATTTAGGCTGAATTTCTTGAGGTGACTCTTCTCCCAGGGTTTCCAGATTTGACAAGTAAAAATAAAGGATGCCCAGTTAAATTTGGATTTGGGATAAACAACAAATAATTTTTCTTATAAATGTGTCTCATGCAATATTTGGAACACATTTATACTAAAAAAGCATTTGTTGTTTGTCAAAAATTTATATTTAACTAGGTACACTATTTTATCTGACAATTCTGTCTGGCATCTCCCATCCTTCTCCTGGGATTAAGAGGCTCAGCTGAGTATGTTCTTCTCGTGGCAATGGCAGAGGCATAAGCACAAGTGAATTCAATGGTGCCAGCACTTTTCAAAACTATGCTTGTGTTCCAGATGCTGACATCCTGTTGGCAAAAGCAAGTAACATGACCCAGGGATGAAAAAGTATGTCACCCTCTGTAGGAGGGCATGGATGTGGCAAAGGATGGGGATAGAGGGAGGAGTACAGATTTGAGGCCATTAACACAGTCTGCCAACAAGAGATTAAGTCAGTTTCATCCTCTTTTGAATCATTCCTCATAGAAACCAAGTTCCAAGGCGGGGATGTTTGAATGGTCCAGCTTAGGTCTTGTACCCACTCCTTGTCCAAGAATTGGTCACTTGATTAAGAGTCCCAACAAACCAATAGCTGTGGGTAAGCAGTGGTTTTTCCAAAGGAAAACCAGGATGTCTTACCAGAAGAAAGAGGCATGGATTCTGGGCAAGTAAATCATATATGTCTATTCCACTTATGTCCCTGACTTTGTCTCCATTTCCACTTTTTGGCATATATAAGAAACGTTAGTCTTACACAAAAAGAAGAAGGGATGATTTGTGAACCTAGAGAACTGTACAAACAACTCTGGACAGTCAACTCTGGGTCCGTAAGAGTCAGGGCAGACCCTGGAGATCTGGTAGAGGGTGGATAAAGGAACTACAAAGACAATAAGGAGGGACAGAAAAACAGGTGGCAGAGCCAGACTGACTGTGTCATGATCTTACTTAAGCCTGCCCCATTGCATAGCTGAGGGAGTCTATATTATTAGGTGCACCTAGATTTTGGCATTATTTCAGAAATCACCATTAAATTTTTACTAAATAGAAAAAAAATATGTAGGCCCAATGCAATGGCTCATGCCTGTAATCTCGGCACTTTGAGAGGTCAGGGTAGAAGAATCGCTTGAGCCCAGGAGTTTGAGGATGCAGTGAACTATGATCACACCAATGCACACAGAAAAACAAAAGAAAGAAATGTGTATTTTTTAATGCAGAATTTATGTGCATTTCAATAAAGAATATTACCCATTTAATAATTCAAATTTTAAAATTAACACATAATAGTGTGGTATTCAAAAAATTAATGATATATTTTAAAAATATTTTGGTTGAATTAGTTAGCATGGTAAGTAAGGTCTATATTTACATGTTTCCCAGAAATACTGGGCTGGCCAGGTTGGTAGCACTTTATAGGGTGATTCTGAAAACCAAAAGAGTATATGCACTTTACATCATTCAACAAATGGTATTGTGGACATTGGCTAAAAAATTATAGGGAGGAAAAAACTCTGATTATTTCTCATACCAGAAATAAATTCCATATGATTCAAAGAATTCAATATAAAAAAAGAAACAATTAAAATAAAAAGAAGAAATTGAGATAAGTATTTAACTGTTCTTATGTTGGAAAAGCATTATTTATGCACAAAAGCAATGGAAGAAATAACAAAAGAGCGATCAATAGATACAACAACAAAGAAGCTTTAAACTTCAGCAAAACAAAAATAATCATAAACAAAAAAGTAAGAGCCAAAGAATAAATTGTAAATATTACTACATGACAACAAAAGGTCAATTCCTTACAATATAAGTAGCTCTCATTAATCAGTAAGAAAAACAAAATAATCCAGACAAATGTAGTTATCACTGAAACTGAATAGATTGAAAACATTGAATAAATGGTTCATGGCATTATATATAGGAAAATATAATAAATCACACTAATATTCTGTAAATAAGAATTGTTAAGGGATTGTCTAGAAAGAAAAGAAAACACTACACAGAGTACTACAATGCTGCAATAATTCAGCATAAATCAATATTACAGTGATTTTGAAAAATAAAAAACTTAACATTTGCTGATTCAAATAAGAGTATTATGTTAAACAGTACTTTCTAGGCAGTCATTTCTCCTGAGAATTAAACTAAAGAAAAAATACCATCTCTACCACTTTTTCAGAAGTGAATATGATCTAGAGGAAGAGTAAAGTTTGTGAAACATACAAATTGTAGGTTTTGGTTCTAGCTGTATTATTCATTAGCTATGTGATATTTACCCATTTTTGTCCCCTTTGCCCACATGTGGGAAATGGTAGTAGTGGTAGTAATAATGATAATGATAATAATAATAATAATACATTTTACTTCCCAGAATTTTTATAAAGATTTTATAGGGTAATAGAATAAAATTTTTGAATTGCCACCTGATGTTATTGGTGATTATCTAAACTTAATTCTATGGAGGGCTATGGGAAACTAGGAAAGAAATACTAAACTATTACACTAAGAAAGACATATCTGTATCTATCTATCTATTTCTCCGTCCTCACAGAAAAAGAAACAAAGACGTTAAAACTCAGAAAAGCCTGTAGTTGAAGAAGTTAGACACCAAGTTCTTCTTGGTTCCTATGTTCCTGAAATATACAGACACTCCTCTGCCTCATGGTTAATATTTTTTATTGAGTCAAATAAGTTGATAGTGAAATAGATGACTAAAGGGGTAGCTAAATAAATATTGATAAGAGCTCTATTTTACTGGTTCAAAATGAAAACTTATTCCTTTCTGACAAAAATTCTGTGAGATACCTTTCTTGAGTGAAGTAAAGAGTTGGGAAAAACTAAGTGAATTTTTTTCAAGCACTTTTTGAGCACCTACTATGTTCTAAGCACCATGCTCTGTAAGATTCAGTGGTTTAGAAAACACTGTGCGTCTTACAGTTTAGTGAAAGGCACAGGTAAGTAACCCAGCTGTCATGATTCAGTGCTGTGAGGGTGAGACACAGGGCATTTCACCCAATATGGCCTCCAGAGTGGGGCATGAGGTGAGAACACAGCACGGCATTTCACCCATTGTGGATCCAGGAGCAGAGTGGGAGGCAGGGTGGGGAATGACAGGAAGGTCTTTCGTAAACAAGTAAGGAGACAAGCTGATGAGCTGAAATTTGAAAGGGGAAAGAGGGTAATTGCATGAAGAGTTGAAAGACTATTTCATGTAGGAAGAAATATAATGTCAAATGCCAGAGTGTGAGGAGAGCACATTTCAGAAGCCAAAATTTGCCTGATCCCACCAGATGATGCAATGCAAATGGAGTAGGAAATGAGGCTGGAGAGATAAGCAGGGCCAATCATGAATGACCTATTAAACCGTATTTAAAAGTTTGGATTTTATCTTGAGGACAATGAGATTAATCAAGAGATATTATATTCATATTTGCAATTTAGGAAAAAAATATCTGATTGTAGTGTGGTGAATGTGTGGCAGTGAGCATGAAGAGAGGAAGGCTAGAGGCAAAGAAACCGTTTTTTTTTTTTTTTTTTTTGAGACGGAGTCTCGCTCTGTCACCCAGGCTGGAGTGCACTGGTGTGATCTGGGCTCACTGCAACCTCCGCCTCCTGGGTTCAAGCCATTCTGCTGCCTCAGCCTCCCGAGTAGCTGGGACTACAGGTTTCCACCACCATGCCCAGCTAATTTTTTTTTTTTTTTTAGTATTTTTAGTAGAGATGGGGTTTCACCGTGTTAGCCAGGATGGTCTCGATCTCCTGACCTTGTGATCCACCTGCCTCGGCCTCCCAAAGTGCTGGGATTACAGGCGTGAGCCACCGTACCTGGCCGAAACCATTTTTAATATTTTCTCATTTCAGTAATTTAGGCCATCCCAGAAAGAAATGTTGATGTCTGAAACAAGGTTAGTGGGAGTAGGGACTGGGAGTAAAGAATGAATCTGATATGTGTGTATATATATATAGAGAGAGAGAGACACACACACATATGTATATATACACATATATATGTATATATACATCACGCTTATATAAAATTGATCCTCCATACATGACATAAACCACAGAACATGACATAAACCACAGAACATGACATAAACAACAGAACATGAGGATCAATTTTTTATGAGTGTGGTCAAGGGGAGAGAGCAGTCAAGGGAGATGCTTTGCTTTTTTTGCTTAGACAATTCTGCCTGATGATACTGTTAACTAAGATAATAAAACACAAGTGTTTGGTGGGAATGAAGGTAATGACTTTAGTCCTGAGTTTGTTGAAACTTGGGTGTCTGTGAGGCAAACAATAGGGATACAGAATAGTCCATTGGAATGTAGGTATAACAATCATGAAAAATATCTGGGCTGCAGATGTTGATTGCTTTAGCTTCTGAAGCTAGAAAATAGGTAAGATCCTTCGATGAATGTATAGATTGAGATGAAGACAGAGGTAAGTGATCAAACTCTTAAATACAGATAGTTAAGGAAAGGACAAGATAA
Source organism: Homo sapiens (assembly GCF_000001405.40). Taxonomy (NCBI): domain Eukaryota; kingdom Metazoa; phylum Chordata; class Mammalia; order Primates; family Hominidae; genus Homo; species Homo sapiens. The sequence goes on along the minus strand of NC_000003.12, from coordinate 116,022,649 downwards.
GCTTAAGAGTGAATCTGAGAAGGCTGACTACAAGGATAAGAGGAAAAACAGTCAAGTTTGGTGTCCTAGAATCCAAGGGAAATAAAAAATAACAACTGGAAGGAGCATCAACAGAGCCAAATACTTCAGAGAAAAACAAGCTAACAGAAATTGTCCATAGACCTAGAAACAATATGATAATTGGTGAGCTTCCTGACAGTAATTTCATTTGAGGTTAAGGAGAGAATCCAGATTGCACTGAAGGTTGAGGTGTGGATGGGAAATGACGATGTGGTGTAGAACAATTCCCGCAAGAGATTTGGAAAGAGAGATTGAAAGTAAATAAGATGGGAAAAAAATAAAAATAAAAAAGGGACACATGTTCTCAGGATCTCCTGAAAGCTATGTCACAGGAAAAAAGAAAAAAAAAAAAGAAGTTAATAAGAGTTTAGGGAGAAATTTCTTTTGAAAGCAAAAAACACTGCATCATATGTACATGCTTATGGGAGGAAGCTAGTACAAAATAAAGTAGGAAAACAAATGATGGAGTAAGACCCATTGAAAGAGATCCAGAGGCACATGGGATACACTGATACAGCGTGATTACATTCCTAACTATTCAGCACAAACACTTTCTGTATCTCCAGTCTCTGAGACTCAGTACTTGAATAGATTGTCCTTAATTAGGAGATGCAGTGTGGTTTGGTGGCCAGAACATAGCCCTGTAGTCAATTATTCTAGATTTTATTCCCAACTTTATCAGTACCTGTCTATGTGAAATTGAACAAGTGGCTTAACTGGTGTGACATGTAAATGCAAAGTCTTCGCTCTATCTCCTTTTATTTAAAAAAAAAACACCGAGAGAGAGAGATTGTGAGTCAATTGCACCACAGGTAGTAATTCTCTGGGATTTTTTTTTAGTTGTGGATTTTTTTTCTGTTTTATAAATTTGCATGGTTTTATATTAGGGATATAGAGCCTTTTTTATCAGAACATATCTATATTTCTTCTTACCCTGTGTCCTGCGTTGCAATTCACATGTAACTACAACTTTAGTAATGTGGACTCTTAGAATTACTATATAGCTTTCTATGATAGGTTTTGGATTGTTGAGGATGACACCTAGTATGTCCACATTATGTTCTGAAACACTATCATTGATTTATAGTTCATTGCAGTTGTTTTGAAGATGTTCAGAGCACTAGCCTACTCATCTGGGAATTAGTAACTGTGAACTCGAAATAACGGAATAATTGGACATTCAGGAGCTCTGAATTCTAAGTCCAGCCATAGTTCTTGGTGGGCTCATCCTTAACAAGCCATCATTTTTCTCTGTGTCTGATATTCTTCCCTGTAAAATGTATATGATCTTTCAGGTTTTCACTGCAAAAGTCTGTAAGAACATATTGCAAGACAGTGTGTGAATATGAGAAAACGACCCTTAACCCCAATAGCTAAAGGGAGGATTAGGAACTCTGTAAATAGAGATTGCTAAATATTTGGAATCAACTACAGTCTGCTGCCATTGGGTTTGACTGGTAATGACCAGTCCCCTACCCAGAGGCCCTACAAGAGTGGAATGCTGAGGTGGAGAGGGTCCTCATCCTGCTTCCTCCTTGTGACACTCTGAACCAGTCAGTTGCCCAAGTACCATCAGTGTCTCCTAATGAAGATTTGCAGGGATCGTTTGGCTGTCAGGTGCTTGCTTCTGCAAGCAGAAAATGTTCCTGTTTTATTCGTCACTACACAGAGTCTCTAATGGGCAGTAAGAATGAGAAAAGATACAATTCATTATTGAACTCCTTCATGCTCTTTTGTCCTTCTCCTTCCCCCAGACACATACTTTCTCAGGGACAGCTCAAACAAGTGAGTAAAAAAGAAGAAATTCACAGTCAAACTATAAACCCTGCTATTTGTAATCAGTGCATAACCTCTGTGATGAAATTTGTGAGTAATTCACTCCCCACTTAAGCCTACCGACGTGTGATCTAATGTTGCCACCCTGAACACTAATGAAGGAAGTCAGACGGCAGTACAGCTAGCCCTTGAGGACTCATTTCTCACGTCACCAAAAACTAATTTCTGTTGTTTTCAGCCATCTGGTAGCCTGGGTTGTGAAGAGGAAGTTTCATTCAAGTAGTGCTTATGAGCAAAGGCCCTGAATTGGCTGGGATTCAAACTCATTTTCTGCCCCTCACCTAGCCCCCTCTATGCCTCAGTTTCCTACCCATAAATAAAAACTTCATAGGATATCATTTCTTTATTGTAAGAAGTTATTGAAGTAATATTTGTTAAATACTCTATGTTGGGTTTTAGGTATAATAAATGTTTGATTAAAGCTAGCTATTAATTACATTGTTAGTAGTAGTGGTGTTGGAAGTACTAGAAGTAATAGTATTTTTGAATGTCTACCTGTCTGTGAGATAGGCCTTATTAATTCACGTTTTAAGTTCTAAGATACTTCATGCAGCCTGTTATACACAAAGATGATATTTAAATGCTTTCTATTGTGGTGATTAATCCATGTTCATTATGTTGCTAGATTATAAGTAACCAGGTATTGCCACATCTTAATAATACAGTAATGTAATCTTATGCTAAATAGCATTGTTTTTCTTTTGCTGGTACTTGGAGAAGACATTGGATTATATTTATTTATATATACATAAGAAAATAAATTTAAATAACAATGATAATATTAATTTACATAAATGTGCATGCTGTCTAATATCTAAATAAGGTCCATTCTAGTATTTTTAAAAGCTAAGATATTTTCATCATACTACTTTGTGTATTTCCTACAGCACTCAGATGGCTTTGTGAAGGGTGTTCTTACCTTATAGTAGTGCTTTAGGACAACTTATGGATTTGGTAAGCAGATGGCAAGCATGGGTCTTAAAAGCATCCTACTTCTTAACACAGAAATTCAAATTAAGTTATAAAACCTTGAATTTGCCACTTCCAGTTGTATGGCTACAAGCCTAATCTTACTGACATGGTTACATATTCCATTTCCTTTTGTTTTCACAGTCCCACCAAAGATCTCCAATATCTCCTCGGATGTCACTGTGAATGAGGGCAGCAACGTGACTCTGGTCTGCATGGCCAATGGCCGTCCTGAACCTGTTATCACCTGGAGACACCTTACACCAACTGGTAAGCAATACTCCAGGTTCCAATATGCCACATGCTGTTTAAAATATGCTCATGCTCCTGGAATTCTGCTGAATCAGAAATTTCAATTCAATTCAGAATCAGAATTGAAATTCTGTTGAATCAGAAGGTCATGCATCTATCTTGTTATTAAAATACTAACAGAATGGCAACTTTTTTATTTTATTTATTTAGGGTCCTCATGGTCTTTGCTAACGTGTTAATCTCTATAAAGTTTACAATCATTGTACTGAATATATATGTAGATCTGGCTATCATCTATCTATCTGTCTATCTATCTATCAAGAGATCTATCTATCTGTAAAATTTCAGTTTCAATAGAACAGCCCCCCCCCCCCCACCCACAATGCAACAAATACAGAAGCATTAAATGGCTTGATATTATATGTAAAATACATGCCAGTTTGGTGATTCAGTGTCTTGGGGCAATATTTTGTCTGAATTAATTTTACATAGTTGTTTGTATGTTTGTTTGCTTGGCTTTTAACTACAGTTTTCTAACTTGTAGCACCTTGTGAAGAAATCTATCAAGAAAATACAGAATTGTTTCTGACTTTTATTGTCCTGCCCTTGGCATCTGGTTCTGTGCATCAGACATGGACTAAGCTGCATGAACTCATTATGAGTCCCAGCTATTGATACTAATTCAGTCAAAATCAGAAACTCATTTCCCAGGAATGTCTTCAACATCCTTTCTTTCCCCTTCTCACCACCATCGCCATAAAAAGGTTCCCAGGCCTCCTGCTTTTTGAACTTTTTTTAAATGTTTGAGCAAATTATTTAAGATTAGGTACATACATACTCCTCTACTCTACCAATTACATTTTCTGGTATGCAAAACCATGTCTTGTCAAATAACACAGTCTTTATAGAATGTAGCCTTCTATTTAAATCTTCCAGAAAGATAGGCAATAGGTGAATTATTCTTATAAAATATTATTGATTTTGTAGAGAACTCACAAATTTAACTAATTTATATCTTATAGTCACTTAAAATTTCCTCATATAAGTAACTAGAGATTTGTTACAACATATTCATTTTAAAATGAACACCATAAAAATATTATTCAAGACTGGATGTACAACAGGAGCTAAACTGAGACATTTCTAAAAGACCAGGATAGTATTTGTTTATAATGTCTTTAAAACTATCTGTATTGTGTGGTGTGAAAAGATGGGTCCTCTCTTTGATGTTAGATCCTAAATTAATTTCTCAAGTAAAATTTGGACCAACCTATAGAATGGTTTTATATTTAGGCGGGTATTCTTATTAAAGGCCTCTATTTTCTTGAGAAAGTGTCACTCAAAACCCATCCTTATTAACACAGGCAATTTCTCATTTATTGATAATATATACATGAGACACTTATTTGGGAGAGCAATCTTAAACTCATTGACTCGCATACTTATTTTATACCTCATGTGGAAAAAAAATATGTATAAAGGATTGTCTCGAGTATGAACGTAGATATTATATCTTTCCCTTGGAATGAATTAAACCTTCAGAGCACGTTCTACTTGGATGGCATTATGTTGGCTCCAATCCCATGCCACCTACCCCTGTCCCAAGTAGCATTGCTTTTACTGAATAGCAATTTGGTATAGAAGCTATTGGCTCATATTTAAGGATATTATAAAAGACACCTTCTAAAATCATTGTGTTTACTGTAATGTTATAATTGAGAGATTGTTAATTGTTTTACATAGTTTTCCTTTGAAAAGACCATTTGAGGAAATTTGTTTTGTTTTTCAATATCTCTACTTTCTTTTTTCCTAAGCAATCGTTTGCTTTTTAAGAAAGGACCCAGTGAATTTTCATAAGTGATTGTATGTCCTTTATTGTTTGACTGTTAGTAAACTTACAGCCAAATTTATGGACCATCTGTAAAAATATATAAATTATTATACATAAATTACACATTAAAAATTGATTATAAACAAGCTATGTAGAAGTTTATGGGATCAAGTCCATTTCAGATCACACTTCTGCTATCATCTTGTTTTCTTACCATTATTTTTATTTTGTCTCACCTTTTCTAATTAACTTAAATGTCTATGTAAATATACTATTTATAATTTCTTACTCTTACGTGGAACAAGGTGGTAGATAAAAGAAGGGAAATGGGAGTTAGAAAGGAAGAAAGATTCTATTCAAGTTATAATCAAATAATGAACTGCATTAATAGAAAGACACTTTCTTTTGGCACAATACTGACTAGCAAATAGGCTTTTCAAGAAAAATTTGCTATGGCTGAACTGAACTTAAAGATAGATTCCTTTTTATCCCTTGAATTTATAAAACTTCTGATGTGGAACCAGAGTTTCAGAGCCTTTCCCACCTTGTCTAGGAGTTTGGGTAGTCATAACTAACTCTCATAAACTTTCCCATGATAATGAACATGTGACTTGACCCCTTAATAGCTTGTTTTTCTATGATGTTTCAAGTCAACAAAAGACCAGAGGACAAGCCATGTCTTCAAGAATAAAGGCTGTATTTACATAAACTCAGAGGACCCCGGAGGCTTCAATATCAACCAGGAAAATAGATACACTCACAGGGATTCTCAATAGTCAGTAACAGAGGTCAGCAAACCACAGCCTATGTATCAAATTTAGTCTGCTCCATTTATGTACTGCCTGCAAGTGAAGAATAGTTTTTTAATTGTTAAATGGGAAAAAAATCAAAATAATTTTATTTCTTTGACATGCAAAAATATATCTGTATCTATATATATACAATTCAAATTTCAATGTACACACATAAAGTTTTACTGCAACCCAGCCATGCTCATTCATTTACAAATTCTCTATGGTTGCTTTTGTTCTAAAACAGCATCACTGAATAATTGCAATAAAGATCACTTGGCCCACAAATGTAAAATATTTTCTATTAGGCCCTTTACAGGGAAGTTTATAGACTCCTGCTCAAGGCCATAGCTTGGGACATAGGACAAGGATTTGCTGCACTCATCCATGGCCAAGTAGGGCTTTGGGGATATCCCCCACCAAGCTCCTTCAGACATCTCAAAGGAAACAACTTTACTCTTCTACAGTCTTCTATCTAGGCCCACTTTGTAGGTCAGATTCTATTCTGGCACATGCAAAACTAGCTTTCTATTGCGTTTGCAGACTTGAGGGCAGACTACTATTCTCCCTTACATTCCCATGCCTCCTCTTTCATTTCTTTCACATGTGACCTAAATAACCAACTGATCATAATCATATTCCTGGTGACAGGAGAGAGAACTTTCCTTTGCTATTTTATAAAGGAAACTAGGATTTTTGTTTGTTTGTTTTCATGGTTTTTAAAAATTTCTTTCAAAATATGGAAACCGTAGGTGATTCTTTTCAGCCTGTAATGTGAAGTCTTTCTTGGAGATTACAAACAAGCTATGTGGAAGAGACCCAAAGAAGAGACTCTGCTCCCTGTGTGACAGCAAAGCTGCCTGCAACCCGTGGCCATGTGAAAGGAAAAAAAAAAATGGTTAGCTTTGTTCAATTATTAATTGTGTCTTCAACAGTACAGAGTGTGACTGTCTTGCAAAGGAAATATACCTGTAATTAACTCGACCCCACAGGGATATTGAGCCCTGGATAGGGGAAGATTCTACGCAGGGTTCACAATACCTGATTATCTGTCATTTGATGACATGAGGGAAAGAAAAGAAAGAAATATGCATGGTATATTTTTAGGAAGACAATATTTATTACCTCTTAATTTAGTTTAAAAAAAATTGGGTAAGGCCAGTTTGTTTCTTTCTTTTTGCATCTGAAATTTCCTTTTCAAGTATACTGCAAGTGCTTAAGGTAAATTAGAAGAATGGTGAATTTTTCATACATACAAAATAAAAAACACCTGAATTAGATGAAGTTGAAGACATTTATGCATTCTCTGCATGCCTTCTTATATTTCTGATTTCTTAATTTTTCTCCCCTCTTCAGTTATATAGTTCAAAATGATGTGTCACACATGTAGTTATTAAATGTGACCTATTTTCTCCCTTAATTAAGTTAGACTTTCATAATCCTGTGACTCCCAGAGGGCAATTGCACTGTAACGTGTATTTTCTATGGAGTGTTTGATCTTCCTTCTGTGAGCAATGCTGCTCCCATCTTCATTTAACTTCGTTTCTAAGTCTTTCTTCTCACATTCATGAGGAAGTCCCTTTCTCAAATGTGCATCATGTGTTGTCAGGATTGCTCAGGGTCACAGAAAGAGTTTCTATGCGTTTCATTTCTGCAAAGGTTTACACAACCTCCGTAGTTTTCTATCACTGAAAAACTCAAAAGGCACACTGAGGATTTAACCCTTTAGGCTGAGAACAACCCAAGAGATACTGTGTAATTTTCTTTTTCAGCCACAAACCAGATCTCACTTTAAAAATATTTTGCAATTTGATGGAGTGAGTGGGAAAATATTGTGCTTGGAGAAGCTAAGAGGAGTCTGAAGAGCATGAAATCCCATTTTCTCATTGGACATTGGGTTTTAACCACTTGATCTGAGATTCCACTTTCAATTCATTTCCAAGTCTGAACCCTTCACTGATGGTACTTTTTAATTCTATTAATGCTATTACTCTCATCTGTTTTACTTCTAATTGTAACTCACCCAATATGACCAGCCTAGACTCTGACCTCATGGGTTTGAGAGAAATATGTAATGTTAAACTGAACTCATTTATTTAAGTTGCATTATAGAAGTACCTGTTGCAAGTAACATCCGGTCCTTCAAGTTAGCATGTTAGAATTAGTATGATTTCATATTTAACACAAAGAACACATTTTCTACAGTTCAAGTTTCAGGAAATTATTTCTCTGGGGCTTTCTTGTGTGGACCTTCCAGAAGATTCAGTGAGTCAAACTTGGTAGCATATGCATGTGTACTAGTCAAAGGTATGCATTTTGCAGGTAAAGGCTGTTGGCCATGCAGTAACATTCAAAAGAGAATAATGACTCAATTTATTCTATTAATTGCTTTCATTTATCTCTTGCATTTTTTATTTTTCAATATTTTTATTTTTTATTTTAAAAGAGGAGAAAATAGATAAAGAACAATCTTATGTTTTATTTTCAGTGTCTTAGTTATATATTGGTTTTAAAATATGTCATCCATCAATACAGAATTATACTCAGATTAATCTTGACCTCCATCTCACAATTTGTTCATTTGGCAAGAATTATTTACAGTGTTCACTCTGTAAACACACAAGGAAGAGCAAGACAGACATGGTCCTTGCACAAATGAAGCTTATAGTTCAATAAGAAAGCAAAGCATTAAACTAATACACACACCTCTTGACTTAGGATGGGCTTATCCAGATATAACCCCATCCTAAATTGGTGCACATGCTAAATGCATATGACTTTCACACCATCATAAAGTCAAAAAATTGTAAGTCAATCCACCATAAGTCAGGACATCTGTAATTGCATGAATAGCCCCATAATTAGATTCATTATGAGGAAAAATTATGGCATTCAATGAGACCATAAAACAGGGCCATGTAGCAAAATCTGCAAGACCAGCAAAGCTCACCTGAGAAGTATTACGCTGAAACCTCAAGGATGAATAGGACCTAGCCAAGAAAATAGGGGAAGAAAGAGTATCCCAGGTATAGAAAACAATGTATATAATGGCCTAGAATGATAATGCATTTAAGAATCCAGGCAAGCGTCTGTATGTGAGATCATGATGTAGGGGTTTTGTTATGCTACTTTTCTTTGAACGTTTAAATCTCTTTTTTAATCACACTTTTTCTTTTACTTTTTAATATATCCATTTCCTTCTTCCAAAAGCACAAAAATAAATTTTAAAATGTTTGCTATATTTTATTTTCAGTGCCTTACTTGTATATTGATATTATATATGCCAATGTATAAACTACTATATATACTGTAGTAAATAACAGTGTATCTACTGCATTATACACACATACACTCACAGAGAAAGTTATATACTTTCCCAGTATAGTCTCAGTATATCAGTAGCAGGTATATAGACAGCTGTTTGTGTGTATAAAATATCTTAAATTTAGATTTGAAACATATTTTCCCAATACAGATGGCTCCATAATGGCCTAATCAAGTAAATACAAATTCTTTTTTAGTAACTTTATTATTGAAACAAATGGATCATTTAGAAAATGACTACAAAATTTAACCACATGATTACTGGCCTCCACAACCCAAACTTTAAAAATCCTGGAGATGCTCACAGTAACTGACATGGTCAGCCTTTAAGTCATTGAGAAGATCTGCACAACCTAACGTGCTGGCTATTCTTGCAAGTGTTGGACAAATGCCCTAGCATCACCCTACAACCCCACTCCTACCCTACACACGTGTCATCAGATTCCCAGAGCACTCTGCCTGAAGAGAAGTGAATCAGCCTAGATGTGTTCTTGGGGAACTAGTTTGGACATCAATGCTCCAAGACATGGTGGAACCTTGGGTGGGGAGAGGCAATAACTTAATCAGAAACTTTGTACGTGGCCTAGTAAAACAGAAATACAGAGTCCACATCTCTCAACATCTCACTCCTTCAAATACTTTTTGCCACCATTCCAAGTAGTCTATGTTTAAAATACATTTAAAAATAGAATACGTATCATATATTATCCTGAAAATTAAAATAATACGTAGGCAAAGTTCTTGGTGCAGTATTAGCAATTCTTGATATCATTATTATTATTTATTGTAACTATAGTTAACTATGTATTAGCTGCATAGTGATCATTTTGGGTGAGATTAATAATTTGACTGAAAACCACCTCAGGCTCTTCTTTATTCAGGTCTATCCTTCATTCCAGCACAATAACCACGGGGATTTTTAAAAAAGCTAACATCCAAGTTAGCCTTAATATTTTACATCTTATATTACATTTCACCCCAATGTACCCGCTTAAGGTCTATTTTTTAAAAGGCCATGACAACGACAGTCTCTTGTTTGTTAGAGGGAGAAGTTCTGACATGGCTTATTCATATATCCATTCTCACCTGAGAAGATAGTTTTCCCACAGTCTGGTTATATAACAGTAAATATTTTATTAACTGTAGCTATATAGAACCCATAATGGTGAATTACAACCCTTGTTATTTTTTTCAAAACTGGTGTTTCAAGAGATGATTATACTATCACACACACAAAAATGACCTGCAATGTTCAAGAGTGAGCCATTGAACAGCAACAGAGAGGAGTTACACAGAAAAATAAACAAGCAAACAAATAAGCAAATAAACAAATACTACATTATAGTTTCTTCAGGAGCATATTTAAAAATCAAAGTGACCATGGAGTTGTTGAAATGAGCAGATGCTTGCACAATAAAATTCATCACAGTGAGTGCGGGTAGATTTATTTGGGAGTTAACCAAGCCACTAAGAAACAGGATGCAAAAGGATTCACACTGTGTTGATATGGCTTATCTATACAGGCAAAAGCCTCATTTGGTTGTAAAGCTCCTGTGGACTGTCCACAATGGACTTTCCAATGTTGTTTATGGATGTCAGCTAAGATCTATCTATTCCAATATCCCTCGTGAGATGACAGGGTAGGTCTGATTTAGATCCTTGCCAAGGGGGACAATCTCAGGTCTCATGAATCAAGATATGTACCCAGGGTTGTCAGAAGCAAAGGGGCCAGAGGAAAAGTTCCAAGAGATGTTCAGGGAAGGAAATAAAAATTGTCTGAGCCAGAAAGGTAAGAATGATCCTGGTCTCTTTTTCTTCCTTTGCCCCAGCAATGATTAATTTCACACATTATCTTGAGTATTTTCCTTGGAAACTACTAATTCATTCACTTTCCTTATTTTCATTGTCACAATGTAGTTCAGCCAATATTTCCTCTCACCTGCCTTTCATCAGTTTTCCAGTTGGACCCTTTGCTACTATTTCTAAGTATGGAAATGGTCAGGTTAATTTTTTTTTTTGCTTAATTTTCCTATTTCCCAGCACTTTTGGAATAAAGTTCAAACTACTTAACATGACATTAAATGCCTAATTCAAGTGATCATCCTATCCCTGGAACACTCTTGAAATTATACTCCTTTTATATTTCAAGAGTGTACTTTATTCACTTGCTTTTTGGCCTTCACAATTCTGGCTTTCTACTTGATACATGACTGCTTATCTCATTCGTACCATCATTTTACCAGTATAACTTATTCTTGCAAGACCTTCAAGATGACACTTCCTCCAGGAAGGAACATCGTAAAATTAATAAAACTGCATTTTAACTATGTGCTCATTCATTCTCCCCCTAGTTTATAAGATCTATAAAAATGCAAAAACTGGCCGGGTGCAGTGGCTCACACCTGTAATCAAAAAATTAGCTGGGTGTGGTGGCGTGCGCCTGTGGTCCCAGCTACTCAGGAGGCTGAGGCAAGAGGATGGCATGAACCCAGGAGGCAGAGCTTGCAGTGAGCCGAGATCATGCCACTGCACTCCAGCCTGGGCAACAGAGTGAGACTCTGTCTCAAAAAAAAGCATAAACTATGCCTTATTCATGTGCATATTTTCAAGATATTAATTGGCATATTACAGGTGTTCAATCAATCAACCAAGTTATTGAATTAAGGATTTCATTCTAAAAAAATAGAAATATTAGTGGGAAGTAACCTAACTTATATCATGAAGTATAAACTAAATACACACTGATAATAAACCATGAGTGAATAGAAAGAAAATTACAAATGATACAATAGAATTATAGAACTTAAGCCTATCCAACTAATAGTTTCAGTAATTTATTGCCAAGAAGATTCTGGACATTTCAGGAAAGTTCTCTGTCTAGGTCCAATTCAGATTCTTCTTGCCTTGAGTTACTCTGATGTGCTGACCTGCTTCCATCCCACTTGCATCATTTTCCAATGTTCTATGGCGAATCCTCCCAAATCTCAACATTCTTGTAGCTAGCCCTTTCATAGTCTTTTATCACCCATTTATTATCAGCAATTGTTCTTTTCCTCTCAGCAGTTATCACACTCAGTAATTGTTTTAAACATTTGTTTACTTTTTTACTGTCTATTTTCCTCATGAAAGCAGCCACCTGCATGTCCTTAGTTCCCATTGTAGTGCCTGGCACAGACTAAGTGTTCAATAAATATTTTCTGAAGGAATAAATGAATTAGTTATTCCAGGGAAAAGTCAGACTCTGTTGCAACCTGCTTAAAGCTTACACTTAAAGAACAGAGTCTTCATAAACTATAGTTTTACAGTACTATATAATGTACATCTTTAAAATATAGGACATTTCCTTTCCTGAAAACACTGTGAAATGTTGGGCTGGGTACAGTGGCTCATGCCCGTAATCCCAGCACTTTGGGAGGCCAAGGTGGGTGGATCACTTGAGGTCAGGAGTTCGAGACCAGGCTGGCCAACATGGTGAAACCCCATCTCTACTAAAAGTACAAAAATTAGCTCGGTGTGGTGGCGTGTGCCCATAGTCCCAGCTACTTGGGAGGCTGAGGCAAGAAAATTGCTTAAACCTGGGAGGTGGAGGTTCCAGTGAGCCAAGATTGTACCACTGCACTCCAGCCTGGGTGGCAGAGTGAGACTCCATCTCAAAACAACAACAACAAAACAAAACACTGTGAAATGTCTATTGCAAATTTCTTATCTGGGAAAGGATTTTTTTTTTCTTTATGTATGTGGTGACAAGGATCTCAACACTATCACGCCAATAAACTTGTGCTATAGTGGGGGTGAGGGTGTGTTAGGGAAGGGTTCAGTCCCACTCTGACAGTTAATAAGTTGAGTCAAACAGAAGAAGGAGCCCCCGTTACAAGAGCTGGAAGTTTTATAATACTTCCTGTAATTTACTATAAAACCCTTCTGGTGGTGGCCACCTGTAGCATAACTTTTGTGGCCAATATTAGATGGCCGCTGGATTTACAAATTTGGCTGATCATCGGAATTACCCAGAGCAGAAGCAAAGGTATTGAACAATACAGATTCCTTAGCCAATCTCACACTTAAATTATCTCTTTTGTGAATTTTAGGATTCTGTAGAAGTAAAGCCTCTCAGGGAGTTATATTATAAGCCAGGTGAACAGAATGATGACACTATAATTACAGGGGGATTGCCAAGACGATTGGAAGGACTTCTGTTACGACGGTGCTAGGAAATGATCTGAAGAATCTTATTAAAATGTGGATTTTGATTCAGTGGGTCTGGGTGGGGCCTGAAATTCTGCTTTTCTGACAAGCACTCAGGTAATGTGAGCACTGCTGCTCTATGGGCCACAGTTTGAGCATCATCCAGGATCTTCAGAACAAAATAGTTTGGAAGATTGTGGGATACATAAGCAGTCTAGCACAGAGAAACACCTAGGTAAGTCCCACAATGTGTGTAGTACTCACCGAATATTATTACAATGTTTTATATTTTCAATTTTTCTGTTTCAGCCTAGAGATTGAGAGGTGGTTCAGAGAATGAAAATAATAATAGTTTTGAGAAATAAGGTTTTTCCTTGGCTACAAGGTTGGACTCTGACTATCAGAATTGGCATCACTGTGGAAATACAGAATATTGCTCCTGGAAGAAGTGGTAGAAGAGACAAGGAAATGCAGAATATTGGGTCCCATCCCTGACCCACTGGATGAAAATCTGCATTTCCTCAAGATCCCCAGGTGCTCATTAAATTTTGAAAAGCCCTGGACTACAGGTGGAGAAAGCTGCTGTCCTTAGTATTCGAAGTATAGCAGTTAGGGACCTTTCCCCACGTTCCTACCAATCTGGTAACACTAAAGTTCATCCCCACCTCCTTTCCCTTCAAATGCATTTCTACCATGAAAAGAGAAAAAAAAAAATATTGGTGGGGAGTGGGGGTGGGGTTATAATACTTTGTCATTGAATACTTATCACTGGAAAGAACAGCATCTAATGCTGTACCTGCTACATCAGATGCTGCTACTAAATGTTGGAGGAAAAATGTTGCCTAGTGTACAAAGAGATGCAGTCTGAATGACAGTAGCTACTTTTCTCATCATCTTTTATAATAGCTTTATCTGCAAAATGTAGACAATAATATGTGCCCTGCCTGCTTCAGACTGTTGCTTTCAGGGATCAAATGAGATAATGAATATGAAACTAGTTTGAAAAATGTATGTCTCTCTACAAATGTAAAGAATTGAGAGGAAGAATGATTTGATAGAAAGAATACAGACTTTGGAGTCAGAAAGCCCTGCTGTCCATAATTTACTTTTATATGGGTTTAAGTAAGTTCTTTAAACCCTCTACTTTCCGTCTGTAAAACATGAATAATCGAATGCCTACTCACCTACCATAAACGTTGATTTGCCTAAAGTGAAATAATCCATACGGAAGTGATTTATTAATGAAAAAGCATTATTCAAGTGTTTGTTGTTGTTATTAAGTTCCACAGAACACAATAAAGACTTAAATTACAATCATTTTGGTTAGATAGTAGAAAGAACTAACTTCAAGACTGGAAAGCACTCCGCTTGCTAATAAAACCAGAGTTTCTGGATAGTCCAAAACATTGGTTCTTAGAGTATAATTCCTAAACCAGCAGCATCTGCATCACCTAGAAACTTGTCAGAAATGCAAGTTATCAGACTCCACACCAGACCTACATGAATCAGAAACTCTAGGTGTGGGGCCCAAAAATGTAGCTTAACATGCCCTTCAGGTGATTCTGATGCAAAGTAAACTTACAGAACCCCTGCACTAGAGAAAACACTTCTTTTTGAGATAGTCAAGGTTGTATACTGTTTCTACCAAGCACAAATATAGGAGCATTTGAGATTCTTCCTGTGCAATAATAAGAAATCAACAGGAAATGTTTCAGTGACTGTGTGTGTGTGTGTGTGTTTATAAAAATATCTTGATATATATGCACTATCACATTTGTTTGGTTAGAATTTCTGTCACTTTAGATGAAGAGGTTTAGAAGTAACAACTGCACAGAAATTCCCACTTTGTCTTTTTCTATCTACATTCTAATGATGTTTGAGTCTAACATATCACTTAAAATGTGCACACATTTCTGAAATCCTCATCATTCTCTTGGCATATTCATTTGCAAGTCTCCCAGTACACTGAGGCTGCAATTCATTCTAATAAAAAAGAGGAACCTCAATAGGTAATTCAAATGGGGTCTTTCTGCCCATAAAAGACATGCCAATAAAATTACCCCATGTCACTTAAGAAACTTTGTGAGAAGCAAACTCCTTGGCAAAAAAAAAATACCTTGTCATTTCCTTTATGTGTCACCTGCCTTCGTTTCATTTCATGCATCAAGTCAGAAATTTTTCTCAAGTTGGTCAACTCAAAAGCCCATGAGGCTCTGTGAAGTCACAAGATTGCGGCTTTGTCTGCAGTTGACTGCAGTGTTAAAATCTGATGATGGGAAGAGAAAAAGAAAAAAAAAACTTCAATAATTCAGTTGGCAAATATCAATGCAAATCAGATCTAATTCTTTAAGGTATTCTAGTAACAAAAACTAAAATGTCACTCTTTGAATGACATCAGTCTTTTTTTCTTTAATTTTTTTGGCCTGATAGCCGAGTCTTTATGCTGTTTGGGCTGTGGAAGACAGATCCAGATCAGGGGATGAGAGACTTGAAAAGCAGATGGGAAAATAGTCACAGAAATTTAGTCTTCATAGAACAATCCAGGAGACATTTTATATTTTTCAAAACATAGGAAAATTGCTTCAAATTGCACCAAATTATATATTCAAGAATTTCACCTCGGAACAAAAGTCATTCTGATGATAACACATAGTATTGAGGACTTAGCTGCCCATTGCTTATGGTCATGTCTGTGATAATGGACACAGAAGTCGGCAGGGGGTGATTATTTGAGTAACTCTGGAATTTAGACAGGCTTACTTTTGGAGTCATCTAGGTGAAGATGGATGGATGGATTCCTGAAGAGACCAGAGATAAACATTTTCTATTTTCTCATAATTAGTTGTGGTAACTATGGCTGCTATATATATGACTTCTAAAAGCCCACCTACTTAATATAACTAAATAATCCCATTTATTTTAAAAAATAGTTACTACGTTGTATCCATCAGCTGTGGGCTATAATCAAATACCATAAACTGGGGGATTTAATTTGCAGGATGTATTTTCTCACAGTTCTGGAGGCTAGAAGTCCGTGATCGAGGTGCCAGCATGCTCAGGTTCCGATGAGGGCTCTTTCTGGCTTGTCGATGACCACCACTTTCCTAGATCCTCCCATGACTTCTGCGTGTGTGTGGAGACAGTGAGCAAACTCTCTGGTGTCCCCTCTTAAAAGAGCACTAGTCCCACCATAATAGCCTCAGCCTTGTGACCTCATTTTAACCTAATTATCACCCAAAAGCCTCATCTCCAAATACCATCACATTGGGCATCTGGGCTTCAACCTAGGAATTTTGGAGGGACACAATTCAGTACATAGCATATAATATCTGCTCACATGATGCTGATCATCAGGACTTCTGGCTCATCTGTCTTTCTTTGAGCTCTGGGGTCACAGATTTTTAATTGCCCTGTTATCATGTTTCTTTATGACTGCTATACCTTAGAGGTAAATCCTCTCTTAAACTCTGAATATGCAGCCATAACCAAAGGACCAACTGGAACCAGTACTGCCACCCTATTGCTAGCTCCTCACCCCAAAGTCTGAATGGCCTATCAGTAGAGCCAACCCTGGTTGTCTTCTCTATAATGCCAGAAAACTAGAAGGAGACCCAAAGAACACCCCCATTGGGTTATTCCTGTAACATACCAAGGCCAGCCTGAAAGGAAAATTTGTTTTACGCATGTGTGAGCAGCTATAACTTTCTACCATTGGCAGTTATGTTACTGATTGTTGCTAGAGGAGATAATTCCCCCAGGAACGATTAAGCACTCTAAGCTCTCCACAGCAGGCTGACTCAGCTGCTGCGTGTCAGAGTGGATCACGGGCTCTGCTGAGGCTAGTGTGTGATGTTGCTAAGCCTTTGAGAATGTATGTGAATCTTCACTCAGTTCTATTTCCTGTCAAAGGTGTGGTTCTGCCAAGGAAATGTCTGGCAGCAGGAGTAACCCATAATGTTATTCTATCATGCTGTGTAAGGGTGTGAGACTGGGGACTGGGATGGGATAAAGGGCTGCTACCATGGCCAGTCTGTAAGGACTGAATCTTGCTTCTGACCTGATCATAAATACAGTCCTCATATGGAGATAGGTGAAGAATTATTTCAATAGATCCAGAAAATTTATTATTGATCTCAGTTGCCTGAGGTGGTACCTTTCTGGGTTTGAAGAGATTCTCAATATCCATGGAAACACTAAGACAGGGAGTTAGCTCTCTTTCTTTAGGGCTTCTTTCTTATATAAGAGAATTCCATAAGATTTGGACAAACCGTAATGAATATTCAGATCTTTTCTCACCATAGTATCTATCACCACCATTACTACTATTGCTATTACTACCCACTGCTACTACTACTACTACTGCTACTATTACTACCATCACTAGAACAGTCACATTAGTTTCAACTACTGGTGTCAATTGGGGTCCCTACTTCATGTCAGTCTTGTCCCAGGTACTCTGCATTGACAATTTCTCACGTATGTAGGAGCTACTAGGAAGCCACCCATGTGTGATTCTATGAATTTTCAGAACCCAAGTCCAGAGCTCTACAGGCAATCAGCTATAAATCTTGAATTGGGTCCAGAGAGAATTGCCAAGGGGTATTCCTGGGTTTTATCAGAAGAGCAAAATCTACCAGATACCAGTAGGGATTCCATATTCATTTGTTTCCCTATTGACCTTTCATAAGAAATCAATCAAATGGGCAAGAAATAGTATAAAAATGGTATAAAAGTACATACATATATACATATATGTATATACATGCTTATGTATATATGTTTATATATGCATATACATGTATATATAGACATCAAACCAAATGTATATATATGTATATATATATATGCACCTACGTGTGTGTGTGTATATATATATATACACATATATATACACACACACATTTGGTTTCATGTATGTATGCATAATAGTGTATGTATGCATAATTGTGTATATATGTATATGTGTATATATGTATATGTGTATATATGTAAGTATACATATATACATTTGCTTAGATTATTTGTATGAACTTGATATTATTTTTATTACTAGTTTTAGTGAAAATTTGTTGCTTGTATCACTATAATGATGAATATTCAATTACAATGAAATACTCTTTAGCCTTGGCCTGAATTTTTACCCTCAAAGCACAGGGACCATGAGTTTTCATTCTGTTCCCGTACTAGAAAAGAAACCATTTGGGACCACACTGAATATTATATTGAAGCCCTGAACGTCAATTGGACTTTTAGATTTTTAGTAATAAATATTATAACACTTTATGATTTCTCAGTTTGCATCAGTAGGAAACTAAACTACAAAAATGTATCCCTGAGACATAGTTGCAGTCATTAATCACACAGTTTTTCTCAGTAATGTTTGCCAAACTATCTTGACATCTGCACCATCAACTAACTACGTCTGTGTATTAGTTTGCTAGGGCTGCCACAACAAATAATCACAAACGTGCATGGCTTAAAACAACAGAAAGGTGTTATCTCACTATTTTGGAGGCCAGAATTCCAAAATCAAGGTATTGGCAGGGCCACACTCCCTTTGAAGGATCTAGTGGGAAAACTTTCCTTACTTCTTCTAGCTTCTTGTAACTCCTGACTTTCCTTAGCATGTGGCAGCTTATTTCCAGTCTCTGCCTCTGTCTTCACATGGCCTTGTCTTCTGTGTTTTTGTATCTGTGTGTCTCAAATCTCCCTTCCCTTTCTCTTATTAACATCATTGGATTTAGGATTCAGCGTTAATCCAGGATGATCTCATCTTAAGATCCTTAAATTAATTACCTTTGCAAAAGCCCCTTTTCCAAATAAGGTCACATTCACTGGTACTGGGGGTAAGGACTTGTATATATCTTTTGGGGGACCACTATTCAACCTACTACAATCTGCTTTAAAGAATAAAAAGATTAGAGAATAATGAGATTTGAGTGGAACAAACCCAAATGACTTTTGAAAGGCAAAATGTGGGGAGCTCCAACTCTTGCAATATTGAAATCAAATGTAATTAGATCTTGCCTTTATTGTCAAATAATCTGAGAAGAGATTTTCTATACTACACAATTCTCTGAGTTTATCTATAAAGTCAAAGGTATTAGATAAACAGAGGAAATACGTAACGCAATGTAAAAGGATACAATTAGGAAGTAGGCTAACCTACATTTGAGCTTTAGATATGATTTGCAAACTGTGGGACCTCAGTAAAGTGACTTCCTTCAGTCATATAAGGATCTACAAAATGATGCTATCATAGAACTTTCTCATTACTGTTGCACACCGTAAAGAGATAATCTTCATGAAGTACCTTCCACGGTACCTGCCCTGCTAAGCTCTTGATAAAGGTAGTGGCTATATTGTTCCTCCATTAAAATTTCTGAAGTAAAATATTAAAAAAATACTATCACAGTTAACAATAACATGTTTGCATCTTTCCTTCACCCTAGCACTTTAGTTATAGCACTTCTTCTTAACCAGTCTTGAAATGATGGATTTTGTTCCTTCAAACATTGCTCATAATAGATGTGTCAGGTATCCTATTTAAACCCTAATGGTTGTGCAAATATCAGGGCTTATGAAAACCCAAATATGAGATAAAAGAGAAACATTTAACATAATTCAGAGGCAAGCAGCCAAAGTAAGCTGAGGGCAAAAGGTTAGCAGAGAGGACATTTGTCTACAGCTGAGAAACAGAAGCCCATTTTGGTTCCATTTGCATGTACTTTCTTCCTGTCTGGACATTTTGTCCACACAGCTGTAACCTCCACTACCCCTTGGCTAGTATCTCTCTCATAACCTTAATCATGACTTCCCCTTATTCTCTGAGTGCACTGGGATTTTTTTTTCCAAGGGATGCTTTCCTGCTCCTCCAGCAATGTACAGAGGGATGTAGGGGTATGTGGTGCAGCTGGGAAGACAACCAAAACTGCGCATTCAAAAGGCCTGTCAGATGGCATCCAAAGCTTCTTTCAGCCTGGCTTTCTGCCTTTGCATTTCTCCTTCCTAATATCCCCGTGTGTTCTCCAGTGTCTGGCACCAAGAAAATATTCTTCATCTTTTTTTTTCCTTTTATGCTCTAACTTCAAGTTCTTCTCATCTTTAAATGCAAGCTCTAGGAAACAGAAGACTAAGCAACTGCCCTCTCTAGGGCATAAGTGTTAGTAAGCCACACACAGTGGAGTGGGCAATTGCCAGGGGAGCCTGTCTCCTGCTGGTTTGGACCAGGGCAAGGTGAGAATCTGACAAATATTAGCAGAGCTTCTGTGTGAGCTTGATTCCCATGACCTTATGGAATTCTATAATTTTGATTTCAGGATCACTCTAACTCATCATCTATAGAAAGATGATATTGTTTCAAAAGTTAAAGTCAAAGAGAAAAGAAAGAAAAGGATAACATTGTGATGAAAAGTTCGTTAAGAGGAGGGTGATAGACAGAATAATGACCCCCCAAAGATGTCTATATTTGAACCTCTGAAACCTGTGAATATGCTACCTTACATGGCAAAAGGGACTTTGCAGATGTAATTAAGTTAAAATCTAAAGATGAACAAATTAGTTTAGATTATTTGGATAGGCCCAATGTAATCACAAAGATCTTTATCAGAGAGAAGCAGGAAGGTCAGAGTGCCAAGGGAATGTGAAGATGGAAGTGAGGGTTGTAGTTAGAGAGAGAGACTTGAAGATACTACACTGCTGGTGTGAAGATGGAGAAGGCGGCCACAGCCAAGGACTGCAGGCAGCTTCCAGAAACTGGAAAAGACAAGGAAACAGATTCTCCCCCTCAAACCACCAGAAGGAGCTCAGCTCTGCTGACATTTGGACTGTAGCCCAGTGAGACCCATTTTGGACTTCTCACCTCCAGGACTCTAAGATAATAAACTTATATTATTTTAAGCCACTGAGTTTGCATAGCAATAACAAACTAACACAAGCAGTTTCCCCTCAGAGTTCTTCATGGGCAGACACTCAGTTATGTAAAATTAGCTTGAGCTTTTCTGGAAGGAAATAAAAGATACGGAATATATGCCTGTACAGAATTCCTTTTTTTGGCATAATGGTGTATAATGGGGAATTGAAATGCTCTGATCAGTGATGTTAGCACATATTTTATTACTGGTGACTAATATTCAAAGAATTGTATTATGTTCAACTGTAATGCAAAAAATGACAAAGGAAGCTTTTCTGTTTTTTTCTTTTCCTTTTTTTCTTTTCTTTTTTTGTATGATCCACAAAGCACTTTAGGAACTTGCACTGCCTCGGGGTAATCATTGTGAACATCAATTATCATTGTACCATTGAAGCACAGAAGCACCCGCTAGTAATAATATTTCTAGGTGATGAGCACCAGATAAACCATCATTTACTATGATATAGTGCCTTGATTATGCCTGTTAAATTACAACTTTGGGAAAACTGCATAACTGTTTCAGAATTAAAATTTACTCATTTCAGGTATTTGCTTTGAAACACCATGACAACAGAAATAGAATGAGAGATAAAAGGAGGTCCCATGGTTACTCTTAAATGCAGCTCTTAGAATGCTGACATGAGAACTCCTCATCAGTGGTCTCTACTAGAAAAGGGGTTAGGTAAGCAGGTGTTTTGCTTTAGTCTCATTTGGTGAGCATGTGGGGTGTCCTCGACTTCAGGGTTATGAACCTGTCATACAGATACAACATTTTTATTGCCAACACCTGATAACATGTGTTACTTGAAGGAAGAGCCAATATCGTCTTTCCTCACTCCCCTTCTCCATGTGTTATAATTCATAGAACAGAACCAGGTCCACAACAAGTACTCAGTGAATGAATAAGCTAATGTTGAGTTCTTTAAATAGCAGTTGCTGACATTGGTGCAGCCCTCAGTGTACCAGGTGCTTTCCCACACATGGCTTTGGTTGATCACTCAAACACACAGTGAGGTGGCCATCCGCGTTTGAGGAGGTACAGCTGCTGATTCATGATGACTCATAGTCACATAGTCTGCCATGGAATTCTGGTTCCATCATCCCTATCTAGGGGTTCTGGGGAAATTTACTTAACCTTCTCAAGTCTCAGTTTTCTCATCTGCAAATATATATACATATATAGTTCTTGTATCGTCAGGTTGTTGTGATGATTAAGTGAGATGGTTTCCACAGTGGGCTCTAGCATAGAGCCTGGCACTTACAAAGGAGTGTATAAATCATAGATTTTTGCTATTCTCAGTTGGTGCAGGAAAACAAAGAGTAGAGGCATTAAGTGACTTACCCAAAGTCCCTAATACCAAGAGAGAAAATCTGGCTTGAATCTTCTCTTGATACTGGGTAATTATCTGAGTCCAGAAACCATTGTTTAATCTCTCTTTCTTCTTTGTTGTCTCTTCCCAGTGTGCACAGATACATGCACACACACAAACACACACACCACACATACCCCTGCATCACTGCCCAGTTTGAGTTGCTGGGGAGAATGACTGGGGAACGCCACATGTTCTTGTCAGGAACCTGCTAATGGCAGCTGACAGCTGTGCAGTGGCAGAAGCTGTGTGCTTGCAGGGGCCAGTCTCCAACTGAGAGGAGCAGTTTCACACCCAGTCCTAGGAAAGGCATTCAGCTTTTTCCTCCTTCCCATGAGAGCCCGAGGCAGCCTCCCTCCCCACCAACCACTGTGCTCATACAGCGATTAGTTTATCTGCCCTTCAGTAACCTGCTAATTCCAGGTAATGGAAAAAACCCTTCGCAGAAGTGGTTTACCAAACCACCTTCAGGATTCTAAGGAAACAGGGCTTCCTTCACATGTCCAAGGTTTAGAGATGGAGATGGGTACCTTTTCCCATGAATGGTAGCCTCAGGGATTTGAATCTTTTTGTTTTATTCCTCTTTCCCCTGAAGCTCATCCTTCAAACCAGGCTCTTTAATTTAGGACATGACGGGGTCCACATATTAGGATAAGCACAACATATTAGCTCTGCAGGAGCTGCCAGAAAGGACAGTAGCTATTTTGTGCTTTAGGTTTTGAGGAGAAGAGAATTTGACAAATGGCCCGTGTCCTTGGGGGATAACAAAGCAGCAAGTCTAGGGTAGCCAGAGAGGAGAATGATAAAGACAAGGGGAACACTGATATTCAGCTTTCCAAAATCTCTCTTCCCATGGAGGGAAAAGAAACATTGTTCAAGTTGCAAATCCTGCTGCTTGTGATTCGGAAGATTCCTGTCACTGAATATGCAGCTGAGCAGCCCTCTTTGCAAAGGCTGATCTCAAAGCCTCATCATCGTTGCCCACAAGCCAATCCTGGCATCGCTTTTCAAGGGATTTGTTTTGTATTTTCAGTATTAACACTCTGAGCTGGGAAAGGATGACAGCCCCATGAGCAGCAGCAACACAGCTTGGTAATTGGTTTTTAAATGCTTTTTGCTTTAAATTGATACCATGGGTCTTTCATTCTTCCTCCCTGGAGGAATTTCAATCTTTTATTTTTTGAAGGGTGACTTTTCCTCATCCTATGAGAATTGAGGGACAGACTTATAATTCCTGGCTCTCTTAAGTAAGGACCCTAAGAGGAGATAGATGTTATCCTACCAGGCAGGCTGTCGGAACACGGGCGGGAGATGGGAGAACTGGGTTCCAGTTCTGACTCTGCTCCTGATTGTCTGTGTGACCTTATATAGATCACTCTTCGTCTCAAAGCATCTATGTTTTTAATAAGTAAAACGAGAAACTTAGCTTAGACTTGTGTGTCTCAAACTTCACCTGCATATCAGTCACCTGGTGATCTTAGTAAAATGAGATTCGGATTCAGCATCTCTGGGTGGGGCCTGAGATGGTACATCTAAGCTTCCAGGTGATGACAGCACTTCTGGGTCAAGGACAATGCAAGGGTCAAGGATGTTGTTTTTCTGAGTGTGGTCTAGTGACCACTGAAAGTCCCATCAGGGCTTCTCCCATTACACTTTGTGAATTCAACATGTTCTCACTATCCTAGCTGCTAAACACCAGTTCAATCCCATCATCTCTCTGCTAGACTATTCAGCAATCCACCCACTGGTATACTTTCTTCTACTTTCCACACCCCCTATTCCCTACCCAGCCATGATAGAGCCTTTTTGAAAACATAAATCAGATCATATTTACCCCTTACCCCAGTTAAAACCCCCCAGTGACTTCCAGAATCTCTTGAAATGAAATCCAGGGATTATTATGGCCCTACATAATTTGGTCACTCTCTATCACCCCACCCTCCTATCTTTCTCCCCCTCTCACTGTGTCCTAGTTGAGTGGTTGTCAACTAGGGATGATTTTGCCTCCCAGGAGACGTGTGTCAATGGCTGGAGACATTTTTTGATTGTCACAGCCAGGAAGGTAAAACCAGCATCTAGTGGGTTGAGGCCAAGGATGCTGCTGAAATTACAATGCACAGAAAAGCCCCATATCACACACACGATATATAGAAGTATTATATAATATATAATATTTTTAATATTATATGTATAGCTATTATATGTATATATGTATTTTATATATTAGAATATATAATAATGTATATTGTATATTCTAATATATAAAATACATAATATATATTCTAATATATAAAATACATATATTAGTATATTTAAATGTATGCATGTATATATTTAAATATATGTGTGTGTATGTATGTGTGTGTATATATATATATATATATATATATATATATATATATATATCCCAAAATGTCAATAGTTTCCCTCTTGAGAAACCCCACCCTAGCTACACAGTCCTGCCTTGTATTCCCCAAGCTTACCAAGATCCTTCCAACCTCAGGGCCTTTGCACTTGCTGTATCTCCTATGCCTTCTGTACTGTACCTCCTGTGCCTCAACCCACTATATGTACACACACACATACACACACATTCTTTTCATCATTAAGGCCTCAGTTCAAACATGGCATCCTAAAGAAAGCTGTCTCTGATCACCTTAGCTCACACACACCCCTTATGCTACTCTTTTCCCATTGTGCTGTTTTATTTCCTTGTAGCACTGTCACTATTTGAAAGTTTATTATTTGTGAGATTTTTATCCATAGCCTCCCAGTAGAATGTAAGTCTCATAGTCCCACAATGGAATGTACATTGTCCATCTTATTCACCGCTTTACCCTCAGTGATACTACTACACTATAGAAGGGTGACCAGGGCATATTTACTGCTCACAGATATATGTTGAATTACTTAGCATATAAATGAACACAAAGTAAGTCTACTATATATTATTTAAATGTAGCATTCTTAGCCCCATTCCAGATGTATTGAAACACAATCTCAGGAATCTACATTTTAACAAGCATCCTTTGTGATTTCTGTACACACTGGCATGTAAGGTCCACAGGGCTCTATAACAACTAAGTAACTCTTATGGCTAACAGAGAGTGAGTCACATGGTCACTCTAGTCGGTACGTGGATCTTGCCAGCCAGTCAGCTTATCTTCTGTTCTCCTTGGAAAAGGCCAGCAATACTGTCTTTGGTTTTATCTCTGTGGGTGGGAGATTGGGACGACTCCCAGTTGGGAAGACAATTCTGGCCAGGATCCAATCCATCCTTACCCTGAGGTTGAATAGACCTGGTTTATTTTTCTTGATAACTTGAAGGGAGCCTGAGAGGAGGGGAGGAAATGACCTTTCCTGAGCAAATAGTAATAAATAAAGAAATGAATAAAGGATAAACAAAAACTACATGAATTTAACCTCAAATAATGAGATTTGTATGGACTTAGAAAAAAATTGTTGTTTTTTTTCCCCACATCCATACCAGTGTCTGTGAGATCATAGTCAACTAAAAATTGAGTCATTTCACACACAAAGCTAATGAGCCATGTATTTCCCATTTTGAATTTACATCATTTGTTTTTTTTAATTTAAGGGGAAAACTTTACATTTATCCCTGTTACATGTTAGCAGATTTGTTTTATTACTGAAGTCATAATACTGTAAAGCAATGATTTTGAAATTCTTGTTACAACAGACCAAGGATAACCCCAATTCCCTGTAGATCTCTCTTGAAATAAAAGATGGTGGGGGGATTATCTGCATATGTCAGCCCAGAAGTAGAACTCACTAACTGGATGCTATTCTACCATCCAACTATTCCTAACATGTAGTAAATGTTCAATGTGTAGTTATTATTATTACTGCTATTCTATGGTTTGGCTATTTTAATTGGTTATTCTTAGTAAATTTGATTATGATGTCCTTTTCTAAGTCCCTCAAATTGATATCAATCCTTTAATTAGCACACTTTAGGAAAAAATTTTAATCAGTTATGAATCAACTTTATTATAATCCAGTTCACATATTCCTTGTGGATTATAAAATAGGTTCTAAATTAAATATATTCTAAAGTATATATTTAAAATATATTCTAAGGTATTTCTTTAACCAGTTGTTGGGTAATCATAGTAAATTAATCTCAGGTATCCATTCAATCTAGAGTTCTGATTGTTAATATATTGTATCTCAAGCTAAGTTTTCTCTAATGTTTATTCACATGTCCCCATAGACTAATCACTTGTTATACTCAGGAAAATATTAATATATACAAGTTTCCTCACCAGCTCCAAATAAATGTCCATTAATTTTCCAAGAAAATTTGATCATGGGGATAAGTCATTGGGGATCAAATGTAACATGAGTTTTCTTAATTTAGTATTGAATGATACTTCTGTCCTATTACTAACATGTAAAGTCAATTGAACTAAAACATATATCTTCTCATTTTATTATTTTTCTCTCCACCTCCTTAAGTCTAGTGAAACATTGGTCATTGAATAGGTTATTGGGGGGAAAAAACCCTAAAACTGTCTTCTGAACATCCTCTGAAATGTATGCAGTTTTTTGATTCATTGACAACAAAAACATAAATTCAATCATTAGAAATTGGTATTAATCAGAGAAGGCACTAGTGGTCTGTGATATAGAATAATTATCATCATCATCATCAACAAATATTCCCTGAGTGGCTTCTATCAGTGTGCCATGCAGTATTCTAGATCCTGAACACTGTGGAAGAGGAAGGGCACTAAATTAAACAAGAGGAAAAAGCCCCCCTTGTCTGGGATCAGTACTGGCCTTCACTATGAACAGGCACTTTTAGGTGAAGATAACAAAGCTCTGGAAGGGGCAAGCCTATTGATCATGTGTATCCTTAATTACCTGGCTACTGACAGGAATAATGGTGACATTACACAGAAAGTGGATGGCCTCTGGGGCAGGACAGGCTTCTTTCCTTGTTTTGAAAAAGAATGTATGGAAACTTCCTTTGGTGAATACTATGTATGGAAAGTTGACAAGCTTAGATAGACCAGCAAGATTTAAAGATGGTTGGTACACAAGTACAGGAAAGCTTCTAGGAATGCTTTACACAAATCTTTATTTGTACTTTTCTCTGAAAATATGGGCATTGTGCGATGCCCAGCATCTACATTCTCACGTATACCTGTATCAGACTTGACACATCTCTTTCAGAAAAGGATGAGGAAAAAGCCATTCTGTGATAGGTTATCACCCCAGCATCTCCACATGCAAATGCCTGTTATCAACCAAATCTCTATCCATGTAGAATGAAAAGACAACTGCTAAACTTGACTATAGTTTCTTTTGAGTCCACAGATTAAAGCGAAAAGAAAAGTGAAGGCACCTGTGGCCAAATTTCATTTTTCATTCTAGTATAAAACAAAGCTCTCAAATTAAAAATTTGCTCTTAATGACTCTACATTAACATTGTTTCTTTTATCTATTGAAATCCCAAGACATTCCACTACCAGTATTTGGGGATCACTCACTCCATGCTGAAATGAGGCTACCTTTCAGCAGTTAAATGTGGCTAGCCTAGCGATTATTCAACAGCACACTATATCAGTTACAAAGACTAAGACACATTAAGAGAAACCAAGCTTCATGAAAGGATCACAAAGATCATGACTTTTTATAATTAAATAATTTTATAACTGATATGACCCACTTCTCAGGTTGCATTACCAAATGAAGTTGCATTTTTGAGAGTAGTAACTGTTTTTATTAAAATGACTAGAGCTCCCTTCATATCTATAGTGAGACTGACTATTCTTTTCTCCTCTTTAGAAGTCACTCCTCACAAATCCCCAGGTGGTAGACTCATAAAATTTCATCCTGGTTCCTCCCTCTTTCCCTGAAGCTGACTTTTTTATTTGGTTATTGTTTCCCAAATATGCCAACAATAAGAGCAGGAGAGTTGAAGAGCTGATGCCATACTGACATCCAGGAAGTCACTCTCTTCATTGCTGTTGTCAGTGCTGCAATGCCAGGTTGTCAGTGGTTATTTCCAAAGGCCAGATTCAAATCACAAAGGTAGAGAAAAAGCAAACAAACAAACACCAAAGTTTCTTTTTCCCAACTTCCACCATGTAAAAGCTCTAGAACTTGAACCACTAATTTTTAGTCTTCCAAACAAAGTTCAAACCTAGAAGACATCTCTGCATTTTTTCTAAGAGTGTACTGATGTGAGCCAACAGCACCATTCTCTACAGGTGTAAAGTGTTTGCTGAGATAAATCAACATTCTCATTTTGATTCATCCACTTGTCAGTAATAAAAAATTGCATACTAATAAGAAAGGAAAGGAATTGAAAATATAATGAGATGGGGAAAACTTGATCATTGTATATTTTATACAGATACCACATTTTTTACTTAAAAAAATTTTTTTTAAAAAGCCACTATTGCAGATGTCATAATTTTGAGGGCAAAAGGTTTAAAATATGTATGTTCAAGTCTATAATAATAAGCAAAGTCTGTTTCTTTATGAGCACAAGGAAAATATCACAAAAATAATCAAATTAACATAACATGTCATGACTTAGAAAACTGAGTAGACAAGTTATGAACAAATTTCAAAAGTGGAATAGATGAATTTAGTTTACATAATCATTAAATGTTAATAAGATTATCTGAACATACAAAATATAGTCAGAAATTTTGAGGAATTGATTCCTTTATGGAATACTAAATTCTTTCTCCTAGATGCACTAAAGAGAGGATGAATACGCCACCACAGGCAATACAGCAGTAGAAATGGAAATGCTAGATGAATTTTTTTCTAACACTTTAAAGACTGTTATGAGGATGTGTAGGATTTTACAGTGGCACTGAGCTCAGATTTCTGTTAACATATCCAAACTGCCACTAGAAAAACTTAGGGGGCTTCTTGTTTGCTTCTTTTTCCAAGCATTTATTTATCACCTTCTCCCAAAAATCTCTGTGCTTTATAAACATTTGACTTACAAATAATACTAACCATGTAGAGTATGTAGGAGAAATATAAATGTATTCCTAGCTTACAGAGTAAAAACTACTTAGGCATACATAGCTTTGAAGCCAGATGTCTATGCAATATCGAACTTCAGAAAGCTGAAAACAAATGCAGGAGAAATTGGCACCATCCATACATCCAGTATCAGCTAGGTAAAGAGAGAAAGAGAAGCAGAAAAGAGGGCTCTCCCAAGCCCTCAAGGTCCTGTGACTGAAGAGACAGCCAGCATCCAAGGGAGACCACTGTTACCCTGACAGCATTAATTAGAGCAGCAGATATATTAATGAGCAGTCATATCAATGCAACTTCTTAATTATCCATCTCTAGATGGTATTGTTGTCATAAATTTACTTTTTATTAAATATATTCTATTATTACCCTTTAGTCATCTTTATGAACTGTATCGACATTATCTGATAGTCTTCTACAATAGTAGAAAGACCATCAATACACAAAATAAATGCATTTTTGAAAAGCTTTTTATTTAAAAAGTTTGTGTAATGAATCTTACTTTTATGTTTATTTGCATCTTATGAGAAGATTTGACTCTGTGGTTTCAAATGACCAAATCTACTCAGTGGTATCATCTAATCTGTATGCTGGTTTAACCCCGATAATAGAAGAGGGAGGGTGTCTTTGATCGTCCTACTCACTTGTAGGAGCCCAAACATGTATCTTCAAAACTATAAAGAAGACCAGCAGCCACAGGAAAAAATAATTTAAAAATAAAGATTTTTTGACCTGGAGGAGGAGAGTAGCGAGATGGGAATCATCACTTGGACACCCTTACCCTCCTCTGGCCCTCATCAACTACTGCTGCCATTGCAAATGAGAGCTTACACTGCCATCTTGACTGGGTCCTCATCTGTATCACATAGGCTGATGCTGGTGTAAAGTTGGAGCTGGGGGCTGGGGACATCTCATCTGGCAATAACAATCCAAAGTATTATTACTCAGCTAAATACTTTATAACATATTTTATACAAAATGTATGTGCTGCACATTTTCTTCTCAAAGTATACTGGAGGCAAAGACAATAAATAACTTAGTTTCTACATCCATGCTGTCCACCCGCCCCCTTTCAAAACAAGACATTGGGATAATTGAGGGGGAAAAAATCTAGTAGCATGTGCAAGAGCAAACATGGGTGGGGAAAAGAAGGTAGTTCCAGATCATTTCCTTTCTCCTTTACCCTGGGGCATGGCATGGCCTTATTCCTGCCATTGGAGCTTGCAACAGTATTTATTGCTGGGCACAAATAACCTCAGCACATTTAGCAACCTGCAGTGCAGTCCGTGGCATTGCTTTCATAGTAACAGCCTGCCTGTCTTTAAACGGCAGTTTCCCTTTTTTTGGGGTTTCTACTGCTTTTACTTTACCTATAAAGAAGAATAGGTTAGACAGAGTGGCTACAAGCCGCATTTTCTTTTCCCAGATAGATACAATTTGGAGATGTTAACATTTGTTTCTAGCCCCTCGATTACTATGACTATGTAAGATTACTCTGATTTAATCATTCCACCTTGTGTTCATGAATTATCACTTTGTACCCCACAAATTTATACAATTATAAATTATCAATTTACAATAAAAATATTACTCTGGCTCAGGTATTTTGCTAAGCCATACATGTGTTTGTGCTGTGTGTGTCCACAGGCATGCACATGTATATGTATGTATAATATATAATTGTATTTAATTTTATTAAATACAAGTTGAGTTCTATATGACATGTATGACTATCCCTATTTTACAGATGAGGATACTGAAGATTAGGAAATTAAAGAAGTAAAATCTACATACTGTAGGTGATATTTCAGTTCACATCTCATGCTCAAACTGCTATACTGTGAGTTATAATCTTGGCAAAGCTTTCCAAAGTCTAATCCCTGTTTAGTTTTAAAATCATGCTATGCAGATGAAAAAGCTCTGTATTTTTTATCTTCTTTTTTTCCAAGGAAGTAAATGCACTCAAACATTCATTTACAAAATACTTTTTTAAAGTGATTATCTAGTTTAGAAGAAATGGAGGCATAGCCGGGGGTCGGGGGAAGGAAAACCATTTTATTAATGTTTTTAGATAAAATGCTGAGATGTCTTTATAGTAGCCAATCTACTAGTAATTGGCCTTGCACAATATTTCTCAAAATGTGATTCAGGGCTACTTATATCAAAATCACTGGGGTGCCTGTTAAATGGAGTTTCCTGGGGCCATCCAAGACAACAAATAAAAGCCTCTGAGGATAAGCCCTAGGAATCTACATTCAAATAAGCCTACTCTCCCTGTGATCTTAACATTCACTAAAGATTGAGAACAAATGTCCTAAGACCTCGTTTTGTTTCTCTTCATGTTAGTGTGACAGGTATTAGACAAGGCCGTTGATGATAGGAAAATGGTGAGTTTTAGGTAGATACAGTCCAAAAATATTTCGATATCATTCAATGACAGTAACAGAGCTAGTTTGGGAAGTTCAGGTGCATTTTCACCAGCCACTTAGAACCAAGCTACATTTGGAATTCCTGAGAAAACAGAAGCTGATTGGTGTGTTCAGACTGTTTTAATAGATGGCTAGAAAGAAAATAAGCATTTTGGAGGAAACTTCTCTTACACATGACCTTGTATGCAAGCTAAGATGCCTACTACTAGGTCACAGAATTTATTTAAAAGAAATGAGCATTTTACCAAAGATTTTGCAATGTGTGCTAATCAGAAGCTGCCTGTCAAGTTGAAGTAGCATCAAGAGGCTCAGAATAAGGGCTCTTGGGCGTTAAATGGTTCCTCCCAAATACCAAACCTATTATCATGATTGGCTGTTATAGCCCTCTAAACGGCAAAGTGATTAAATTGATCATTATGAAACCCTAAAGATGCGTAATTATGACAAATAAGACTCAAGTGCAGGGAGATTTCTATCTCACTGACTGGATTACATTTCAAGGAAGAATCAAAGAAGGAATGCTTTTAAAACCACAGTCAGCTGTGTGTGGAGGCTGGTTAAGAACTAGATTCTCCTGATCTTTACTCATATCTCTTTTGTATGTCATCTCAACACACTCAGTTCAGAAATCTCTGTAGCTCCTAACTCTGATTTTAAATTCCAATCCTATGCAACAATCTATCCACTTATATTATAACTCTGAATGTACACGGGTTGTTCTTTTCTGATCATTTGTTAAGTGTCAGGTGCCTCTAACATCATCTTGGGTTTATTCTGAGTTACTCTAACTCACTCTAAATCAAGTCCTCAGCCTGGATGTGCTCATTTAAGTCATTTATCATTAATAATAGCAATGGCTAAAAAAGAGGGCTAGGAAATAAGCTATTTCTACCCAGTCTAGTCTACATCTAAGAATTGAGGACAATAATTCCGGAGACTAAGTACATTACCAAAAAGACAATGGTTCCCTCCTGGAAATGCACCCACTAAAAACCCTTCTAAAACATGCCTGGATTAATGACAAAAAGATATACCAGACCAAGAAAGTCTAACACAGAGTCAAGCATTTTTTTCTTTAGCACTATAGAGGAGACAGATCATACAAATTCCATTTCCTGATAGAGTGCTTTTCAATTATTGACAGATGGGCAAAGAGAACATGGAAAGAGAAATAAAAAAAGAAGCCTTTATTGTACTTTTGGAAATGAGCAGCTAGATGTAATACTAATGTAGTGACCACTAACAAGCTTCATTGCAATATCAAGCTTTGTTATTAGTAAAAAATAAAGTACTATTTACGGAATACTAATATTTTTCTAATTACCAATATCTTCTTTTAAAAAGTCCCTTTTAAGAATGTGGTGTGAGGTACAATGCAAATTATAGTTGTGGTGGTTGATATTTCCTTGGAACAGAAAATCACCAGGAATGTGGTTAGCATTTATTTTCTCTGTTCATATGGTACACAGGACGTAAGCTATTCACTTTTCTATTTTTCCTTTTTTTCTTTTCTTCTCTTCTATGAATTGCTTTCACTTTCTTCAGTTCTATTTACCACATAACTTGAACTATACTCTCATCCTGTGAACGACTCATTTAGTGTGAAAATTGAATGCCCTTTAAGAAATGAATTGTCAGTGTTTGATATCACTATGCTCCTCTCATTTAGAAAAACGCTATGGTTTTATTGGTGAGAAGGGAATATAGCAAGAGAAAGGGAGTCAAAACATCCTCGAGAATGAAAGAGTTTTAATTGTTTTCAAGTATATGTTAAGACTGTCATAACAATATGGGAAAGAGAACAAAATAGATAATGTTGATGAAAATAAGCGATGACATCTGGACCACTTTTATTGTTATCTCAACTGAAAGAACAACGCTTAGAAAATACCAGCCACGTTGATAATTGAAAGTGTTGTTTTGCTATTAAAAATGAAGGAAATCAAAAAAGAATATAAAGAAGTAAATATGTGTTTAAATTTATAGTTCGCTAATTTTCAACATTAGTCCAGTCTAAAGAGTTCATGCTACATCCACCCACAATTATTATCAAGGCACTCTCTAAGTCGCAATGGTGTGTACCTGTAATCCCAGCTACTCAGGAGGCTGAGGCAGGAGGGTCACTTAAGCCCAGAATTTTGAGTCTAGCCTGGGCAACACAGTGAGACCTCATATTTCTCTTAAAACAAACAAACAGACAAACAAACAAAAAACACTTTATTCTACAGACATTCTATTCCCTACCCTGATATCCAACATTTAAATTTTGTTCCAGAAGCAAGCTTGAGAAACAGTGTTTCTTGTCTTGGCACTACTCTTTTAGGCATGCTTGCTTCTGTGTGCACATGAAATCAAATTAAACACTATGTAAAAAGAGTTAACTATGTGATTTTAAGTGAAATATAGTAGATCAAAATGGAAATACATCACTTATATAATGTTCTGAAGCATTGTAATGAAAATTTGCATGTGATTTTGTTATCTCAAACATTAAGAAATAAAGAAGTTACTCAATGGAGTAGTTTACCTTTGTCTGGTTTACTTGTAGTTAGAAAGCTTTTAGATGAGATGAGTCTTCTCATCTTTGCAGAGGAGATGGGATCATGAAGATATTAGCAGAATAAGAAGTCATCCAGTCAGAGAAAGATTAGAGAAACATTACATATTTAGCTTTATATAAATCACCTACATATAGTTTATAAAATTGTCCTTATGTACCTAAAACTTAGAAGGAAAGAAATCTGACCTGCTGGATGAATTTGAAGAGTTTGAAGAACTTTAGCTGTGAAATGATAGGAAGTCATTCCATGCAATTTTTAAATAGCAAATCTTATATTCAAGAATTTTCTCCTGACTGCAAAATATGCTTGCATTAAAGGTCCTATATCAGAGGTATAATTTGGATGTGTGGTCCAGAATTCAGTATATACAATAAGTCCTAATTCGTAATCATCTGGTAGCATATACATGAATTCACACATCATAAACCATTCTATACATGAAACCTTGTAAAACTACATTCTATCTGATAAATGTTTTCTAAACTTTGAAGATGTTGACCTAAACAGTGTTACTTATTTAGTAGACATTTTACTGTTCTTATATAATGTGGAGAAGTGAAGGGAAAGGGATCTAAATTAATTGGGATAATCCCAGCTGCCACTGTAGTTCCTGAAATCTCAATAACACAAGGTTAAACGAATATTGTTTAAAACAATAAAAGTGTATTCCTCCTTTACATTGCAGTCCTGTATGTATCATTCTTCTCTAACTTGCAGCTCTGCCATTGGAAAAACATGGCCTCCAAGGTCACTGTGAAGGGGGAAGAGGGAAAGAACAGGAAAGGCACTAGCTCATAACTTCCTCAACCAGAAGAAACATGTTTCACTTCCACTCACAATTCACTGGCTAGAACTCATTCTTATGGGAGAGACTAACCACAGGGGAGGCTTAGAAATGTGATCTTGTTTGTGATCAGGAAGAAGAAAATGAAATGAGGTATGGTAAATACAAAACATTTTTTTTCTGTCGCAGTCAGCGCTCTGACCTCCAGAGAGCCATATACTTCCTTTTTCACATAGCATACTGTCCCCTTCTCCCTAAGGGAGAAAACCCAGTAACTGCAGACACCTCCAGTTCCACAGTCTTACCAAAATACACAGCCTTGCTCATGAGGTTCAGATATTTTTCCTCTTAGTCCAGCAATTAAGGAAATAAAAGGATAAGCTATCTGTCTCCTCCCCTCTTCATCACATATATGCCTAATATAAAATGATAGAAGAGAAATGGAATGAGGCTCCCTGGGAAAAAGGTATAAATGGGAGAAACATTAGTCATTGGTCCAAAGCAATTCCAAAATTCCACTGGGTGTTATGAAAACTCCCTCCTCCCACCTAGTGGTGAGATATGATTGTTGCTGAGCTTCTGATTTTGTGTTCTTCCTCACTGCCCCCACCCCCCTCTTTTTTTTTCCAGTGGCTCCTGGATCTGCCATCTAGGGGTAGAGATGATCACTCACCTACTATTTCCTTAATCACATCTGAAGTGGGTATTTGGAAATATGCTTTCCTTAGGGGCTGCACAACTTTTTCAGTTCACATTCTTCTCGTGGTGGCCCAGGGTTTAAAAAGAAAGCAAATTCTTCAGCCAATTTCTCAATTAAATAAAAATTCAAAAAGCATATGTTTTTCCCAGAAATTCTGGCTTTCTTAGTCTGGGCTCATTATTTTTTTGGTGATATATGTATCCCTAAGATATACTGGTGAAATGTGTTTTAGTAGGCTTCTAATCTATTTGCTTCTAGTCAGCAACTCGTGCTAACTATGCTCAATGTTCTTTTGAACTCAGTTAACTCAAATAGCTCTCAAGCATGTTTTATTTCTTTTGCTTTCTAACCCCTACATTCCTTCTCCAGCCAACTAATTGTAGCTACCTTGAGCCCCACCCTTAATATGGTCCTTGCCCTAAGTTTCTTTTATCAACTAAGAGGTTTCATTGGCCCTTTGTCATTCTAAGTCTTTTAAAATTCCACCTGTTACCATTTGAGATCAAGAAGCAGTTGGCTTTTTTAACCCTTCAAAGCCCCAAACTTTTGGACTCTTCTTTTTTTTCTACTTGCAAACTTGGCAATTCTCTCCTTTGATCATCTCTTCCAAAAGCAGTTGTATTCGTTATATATTGTTGGGTAACAAATCGATCGAAAAGTTAGCAGCTTGAAACAACAAACATTTATTATCTCACAATTTCTGTGGGCTGGAAAGCCAGGAGCAGTTTAGCTGGGTGGCTCTGCCTCAGAGTCTCATGAGATTGCAACCAAACCGTCAGCTGTGGCTACAGTCTGCGAAGAACTGACTGGCACTGAGAGTCTACTTCCAAGTTCACCTACATGGTTGTAGATGTTGGCAAGGGTCTTCAGTTCCTCACCATGTGGGACTTCCAGTAGAAAAGCCCCAGGGCTTCTCATAATGGGGTTTCCTTGGGCATCTGTTATCCCAAAACAGTGAAAGCCAGTGAGTGAGCATAACAACAGCCAAAACCAAAGCCACAGTCTTTTGTGACCTAACCTTGAAAGTGATATGCCATATGATATTGGTCACTCATACCAACTGTAGGATAACATGGGTACGAGGTATGAGCATCAGGAGGCGAGAATCACTGGGGATTATCTTTGAGGCTGTTTTCCACAGGCAGCCAATAGTAGCAAATGCAAAGTTTTTGAACTTCTTTTCAATCTGCTTACTCGGTTAAGCATGTAGCCTAACTCACAAGTTAATAGAGGTGACAATTTTACCAAATATTTTGCTGCTTCATATCATAGATCATGTATCTAGTTCTTAACTGGCCACCAACCTTTCACTTTGCTCACTAATTAACCACTAAGCCAATATTCCATTTTGTATTTTTGTTCCAGCAACGCTTTGGTACTGATTTTTTATTAGCTAGGATATTTAATAATAGCTATCACAATAAATGTTAAATTATCCTAAATGTTTCTTATTTCCAGGCTTTCTTGCAATAAATCCTTCCTCTGTAAAGTGACCAGAATTTCCTCTGTAAAATACCTGTTTGAGCATAGTAGTCTAAATAAAAGCCTTTTGGCTCTGATACCTTCAGGACAAAGTTTATCTTATTATTGCTTCTTACAAGGCCCTTTACAATCTGACCCTAGCCTGTATTTCCAGCTTCATTTCCAGCTGTTCCCCATACATAATCTAAGCTTTGATCACAAGACTGCTCACCATCTATGGAATATAAGAAGCACTCTTACACCTCTGTGTTTCGTACATGCCAATCATTTTACCTAGGATTACATGTCCTCCCTTCAAACCTATATAGAACCCTGATGTCACCCTTTCACTCATTTTACCATTGCAATGTATGCATAACTTTACTGTAACAGTCTTTACAATGAATTATGTCTACTGCACTATAGTGTGTACCCCTCAAAGGAGCTACACTAGAAATTACTTACCATTATCATTAGGGCTTTATCAATCTTACTTTCTAACTGGATTCTTAATATTAATACTAGGTACTGCTATTTACTAATTAGTATACGGTTTAATTTTTAGTAATATGATAAACATTCATTGAATCCATAAATGATTAGATAAGTGAATTGACAAGGATCATTCATTCCTTCTTTTTATTCTCACCACATAGCTAAATCCCTCACACTTTGTACCTATAGTAGACTCTCAGTAAATGTTTAGCAACTATAAAATGGAAGAAAATCACTGATTCTTTCTTTCTCCTTGGATGCTCTTATTTTAGCATACATCTAGCCTAGACCTATATCTTGAGTTTAAGGCCCATATATCTAACTCTTTGAAGGAAATCTCTATTTATAATTCCCAAAATAAACGATTTTAATATGCAGAAAATTTGAATTGATCATGTTTCCCATTCATATCCATTTTTACTCCTGATTTTTTTTTTCTTTGTGAATAGCACCCCCATTCAGGCAAGCCAGAAGTGTGGGTGTCATCCCAGACTCTTCCTATTTATTTGCTCCCCATACCCAGCTTGATTCTAAGCTGTGACTTAAATATCTCTTGAACTGTTTTTATTTCTTGATTTTTTTTTCCAACTTGGTATTATGTCTCATTTAGAGTACTGCAGGAGCCTCTTAACTGGTCACCCTACCTCCTCTCTAACATTCCCTCAGTTTATTTCCCATAGTGCTGTCAAATTATTGTTCTATAGCACAAATTTGCAACCTCTATTTCTGTGTAAATGCCATCAATAGTTTCCCATTGTCTCTTAATGTTAACATTGCCACTTTTGTGCCAACATCAAGAATACTCTGTGGTTCTGCCCTTGCCTATCTCTGAAGACTCATCTCTTGCCTGTTCTCCTTTCTGCAGGCCCCAGTGTAAGGAGCCATATCGTGTTAATCATCTGTGTTTTCCACTAGGCACTGTCCTCTCATGTGTTCTGCCCTCCCCTCTGTATGGCTCTTTCTTTGACTAGATGTTAATTACTTATTTTGGAAAATCTTCCTTTTAGGCAGACCTTTCTGTAAATAGTTGTTGGCTCAATGTGTGATTATCAGAAATCTTAATACTGAGGAACATAAAACCAAAAACTAGAATGTACTTTGTAATTTAGTAATTATTATTATTACTATTATTTTTATTCTGAGACAGGCTCTCATTCTGTTGTCTGGGCTGGAGGGCAGTGGTGCAATCATGGCTTGCTGCAGCCTGGACCTCCTGGGCTCAAGCCATCCTCTCACCTCAGCCTCAAGTAGCTGGGACTACAGGTGTGCACCACCATACCAGGCTAATTTAATTTATTATTATTTTTTTCTTTTAGAGATGAAGTCTATAGTGCTTAGGCTAGCCCTGAACTCTGGGTGTTGAGCAATCCTCCCTGCTCAGTCTCCCAAACTGCTGAGATTACAGGCATGAGCCACCATGCCTGGCCATTAATTTATTTATAGACAAGGCTAAATACCATGTCAAATGCTAAGATTTTCCTATAGTGACCCAGATGACCCATACTCAGTTTCCTTTTTGCATCTCAGAAAGCCAAGTTTTTAACTTGGTGTTTGTTTTTTGTTGTTGTTATTGTTGCTATATTTTGGTATTGGCAGGGGCAGCAATGAAGGAGTGAGATATGGAAGTTGGATTTTCCATAGCATTACTTTTAAATTGAATCTCAACTGACCTCTCTGGCAAGCTATTCATACTTTGCCTTAGACTGGATTTAAAAAAAAAAAAAAAAAAGTCTCCATAGGCAATGATTGGTTAAGACGGAGAAAAGAGATAACGGTGCACCCATGGGAGGAGGCTGAGAAAAGCAAAGACAGTGACAGGCAGATAAACAGAAAAAGAGGAAGTGATTAAAAATAAAAATAAAAATAAATCTCAGGTACTTGAAAAGCCCTGGCTGAGACAGTGATGGAGATAAAAAGAGAAAGAGGAGAAATACAATCAGCACTACTGGTAACTGGAGAGGCTGGAGGAATGGGGGATGGAGGCTCAGAGACTGAAAGAAAAGAAAAGAGAGAGAATGTACAATACAGGGGAAAAGGGAACATAGGAAAAGGTTTTTAAAAACCTGAGAAACTAGTCACAGAGTGTAGAAAATGGGAAATTGAGACACTGAGGACCTCTTGGGTCCTACTTCAGCTGTTTTATTAATTCTGTACCAGAAGAATCTTGGGCAATTTGAGGATTTCCCCTTTTTATTTAAAATAAACAAGTAAATACATATTTAAATAAAGAATCTGTATCTTATGAGACTAAGTTCAAAATCAGTGTGGACTAATAGGCATCCAGATGATTTGGAAGCTGTTACTAAACTAGGTAGAGAACTTGGCAAGCTTATCTCTGGAACGGGAGTCATGCCATCTACATTTCTTGCAATCACCACCCATCCCTGACTTTCTGCCTGTAAATATCTCCTTCATACACAGTTCAGTCTCAAACATCCACCAGTTGTATAAAGGTGTTATTCTCATTCATCAATAACCGCTTATGAAAGCCTTAGGCTGTCTCAACTTTATCCTTTCCCTATCCGTAGAATGAATTGATAGTGATGATTAAGTTTTATTTTATACTTCCTCCTTCCTTCAAAGATAAATAAAATGTGGAGGCATTTATGTTAAATTATGTAAAGAAAAACATTTTGACCAAGAAGCATACAAGAGATTAAGATGGGTGCACTTTGGACCTCCAAGTTAGACTTTTCCATTGTTAGTGACTCTTGTCATTTTTACCCTTAGACACCTAGTCACACATGGATTGGGCTTCTTTAGATAACTATGTAAAGGTTTTCTTGTGAGAACATTCAAAGGAAGGTGGCATAAAAAGAATAATGTAATTTTCATAGCTGGAGGCTGGAAGGAAACAAGGGCCCTTGATTAGAATTCCGATGTGCGGATTTGGTTGTTTTTTGTTGTTGTTGTTAAATAATGCTCTCAGAAATCAGGTCTGCAAGAGAACATGGGACAATATTGACTAAAGCACAAACAATTCAGCAAGTGACCTTCATGCTTCTGAGCAACTAGCCAATCAGAATTCATGGCCAGTAGATGCCATCCACATCCAATCAGTATTCATTTCATGTGACTAGTAACCTGCTGATGTCAGAAAGTGGATGAAAGGCAGCATTCAGGTATGTAATATGATTATAAAATAATAGATCAGAGTGCATTTCTATAAAAAATACAAGGTTAAAGAGGATTGGAAAATGTATTTTGTAGCTTTCAAAAGATACAGTTTTTTTTTTAAAGATCATACTGTCAACAATAGGGAAAAAAACAGAAGCTCAAAACCAACAAAAAGGAATTCACAACACCTGTTGCTTTCATTGCAAAAGGTCTAGCTTTACATGAATATCTAAGGACTTGACTGAGAAATAATTTTACTATAAAGGTGTAGTGGGTATTAGTTTCCTGACATCTTTCTGAGAACTCAGCTTTGGAGGGCAGGACCTTTTAGCCCTATCCAAATTTTCACTCTGATTGATCGCTGAACTTACTTTCTTTTTTCTTTTTAAGTGTATTTTCCATGATGCAGCAACTTCTTGTGAAACAACATTCATTTCACACCATGAATGCCATGTCATTGCTGGGTTATAGTTTATGAGGTTTAAGTGGGAAGGGAACTCAGTCTGGGACACTGGCATTGTGACCCAGGGTTGAAAACAACTAGTGGAAGTACTCCCCTAAGCTCTGGTTATCACCAGTGAAACGACAATTCACCTCTCCGTTTCCTTTCACTGAAACTGACACTGTAAGTTAAAAAAACATAGCGAGGTTTCAAAGAAAGGAAAATGACCTTTAAATTTTCTGAAGCATAAAGGCTACTTCATGCAACAGAGAACAGCAAAAGATATATGACCTTAGGGGTAAGTGAGATGACTAGATTAGGAGATAAAAGGGGAACACAGCTGGGACCTTGGGGCTTGTCCTTTCTGAAGTCATAGGACCAAGGTCCCCTTTAAATGGAAAATAGAAGTGGATGAATCTCAAAAGACTCAGTACAGGTAATAACCCACAGATCTCAATAATTATTCAAGGTATCTAAGTGTTCCAAAATGGATTGTCAACTTGCTGTATTTCAGTATTTCCCATTATACTTGTATAAAACCAGAACCAAAGGGAATATGTGGGGAAATAAATATAGAACTGTTTTCTGCTATCTATAATCTCAAAGTAGAAGTTAAGACTATTTTCTTTCTACACTAACAAATAGAAACCAAAAACTCCAAACTGAGAGATCACCATAGGGCTTATTTTCCTTTTACACAGAAAAAAGATTGAGGAGTTGGAAAATAGTATCTATTTTGAAGTTCTGGAAACTGAAAAATTTCAAAATTATAAAGAGAAGACATCAACAGCTAAATTTAACAAAAAAACTTACAATCTTCTTTAGTATTTTTATGAAACTCTAAGTAACAAATCTACAGTTTAAATTAACTGATCATTTGTTAAGAGGGAAATGAATTGACAAGGGATTAATAGTCTGAAAACTTGAAAGAATATTTTACTTCATGAATGTTAAAATATCTTCTTCCAATTCTAGGTTAAACTCTCAGAATGCAATGGGGTATCTTAAGTATTTTTTTAATAATAAATGTAACTTTAAAAAAGTTACAGTGAATTGCATGTACTAATCTTACTGGAAGTTCAAATACAAGTTGACTTTAGAGTCAAAAAGTATGTTAATTTAACTTAACAGACTATGTAAAGAACTATGCTAATGATTAAAGGGCACCTTTAAGCAGAAAAATTATAAGCCTCACTAAAGTATCTCAATCTGTCCAAAACCTATTTCCATTTAGAATTAGTTAGCAAACACTTATTAAACAACTACTATATGCAGCTATAAGTATTTGAGTCAATGGAAGATGCACCATGATTAGAAGGAATAATCTCTGTTCTTTATTCAGAGGAGAGAAACTTGATGTATGGTGATCAGAATTACTATTCGTGGAACCATAGTACTCCAAGGGACCTCATGTTCTTTGAGATTTTAGGCAATGGAGATTCCTCAATCTCCCTTGGAAGTTCAATCCAAGGTTACATGAAGAAACTATGTTCTAAGCCTCTAACCTGAATACTAGCCACTGTCTAATTTCTGCTTATATTTCTGGGCCCAAAGGTACTTCTAAAGAAAATCATAGAACCTTCAAAGCCATGCTTTCTCATATCAACTGAATCCTGCTGCTAAGCAATACTTGTATCTAACTCTTTCTGAATATCTCATATATATATTTCATAATGGATATAATAAAAGTTTTGCATTCTCTTCAAATTGGTAAATCTCACAATATTGTTGTTCTTCTCACGTCCTTCCATATAAACTAGAGCCCTTAGACTGGGCCTTTTCACCTTTCCTTTTCTCCTCTTTAAACTATTCCTCCTAAAACAAATACTGGTGGAAGCTAATTGTTCTAGGGTTGATGGAGAAGCTTCAATACGACCAACTTATTCTGTTTTTTTTCTTCCCTCTCTCCCCTCTTTGCTCTTCTTCCCCATGTCTAGTCTCTCTATCTGTGCACTCCTTTTAAAAAAAATCTTTAAGATACTCCACGTCTTCAACCCTTAGATATTGATCTCCTTTTGCCTTTTCAATATCTCTTTATTCATGCATAGCTCTCTGCCTTAAATATATAAAACTCAGTTTTATTGATTTTTTTTCTGTTTTACAATGTTTCCCACTCTACCAATAAATAAATTTCTTATTCCTTTAGTGCCAAATTTCTCAAGAAAGTTGACTTCATCTCCTTACTCACCTCCTTTTGATTTCAATTAAAGTTGGCTATCACTGCTTTCTTCCTAACTGCAAAATCAAATAGTCTTGGCATCATCTTAATTCTCCTTTTATCATGGTAGCACTCAACTTCTCAACCAAAGCCTTTATCAGCAAGGTCACTGATAGGCTGTAAGTTGATAGCCTGCCCTATTTTTTCCCCCATTTTATCATTTCTGCCAACTCCTTAACTTTTTTTTTTTCATTGATTCTTTTCTTAGTCTCTCATCTGTGAAATAAGATGGGATCTGTTTGTTACCTTGGAGGTAATCACTGTAGGATAGTTTGTTTATTTAGTAGGAATACTGCTAATAATACTGCATTTCTGAGCTTGTTTTCTCCTTGTAATTTGTCACTATCATTAAAAAAACACAAAATTTCTTGCTTGACACCATTGTTATTCAAACATTCATAGTAAATTACTGATGAATAGTTTTTGATGTGGTGGGAAGAGTACTGGATTAGAATGTTAAAGATCTTGGTGGTGAAGAACAGGTAACTTAGCCTCATTTACCTTGAGTTTCCTTACCTGTAAATGAGGATTATCATGTCTGCCCTCCCTTATTGTCATGTTTATTTCAATCTATAATCTCTTCTTACTGGGAACCAATATTAAGTAGATCCATATATTACCAAAGTTGTCCTTTACTTTTCTTTTTTTATAGAGGGCATAGATTTTGCCTCTGCTATGAGAAGGAAATAACTACCATTTCCTTGCCTTAAGAAAGAAGTCGCTGGGCGTGGTGGCAGGTGTTTGTAGCTCTACAGGCTGAGGTGAAAGGATCACTTGAGTCCAGGAGTTCGAGGCTGCAGTGTGCCATGACTGCACCACTGTACTCCAGCAGGGGCAACAGAGAGACCGTGTTTCAAAAGATAGAAAGAGAAAGG
The DNA here is from genome assembly GCF_000001405.40 of Homo sapiens. NCBI lineage: Eukaryota > Metazoa > Chordata > Mammalia > Primates > Hominidae > Homo > Homo sapiens. Next base: position 115,978,008 of record NC_000003.12, on the reverse strand, counting down.
AAGAGGAGGAAGAGAGGAAGGAAGGGAGACAGGAAGGAAGGAAGAAAGAAAGACTATGGGGTTTGTCATAATATCTACCATTTTTTTAATAACTTAGGATAAATTTAATTTATTCAGTTCTTCAGTGCCATAAAGACTATGTCTTCTTTCTTTTTTAGTTTGGCCTTCTTTCCTTCCTTCAAAATTGGAACTTGCTTTAGTCGACTATTCATATTTAAATCTGAAAGAAAGAAAAAGAGAGACAGAGGAAAAGACAAAGATTTTTTTTTTTTTTTTTTTGGTGTTCTGTTGTATTCATTCCTGCTCTGCCATTTAATAAATGTTATACCCAGCTTGGACAATAAGGAGGAGATATTTAAGTTGGGAGACATTTAGTAAGAAGGAGTCATTTAGATTGGACTTGCAAGAATCAGTACAATACCAGCTGGTGGAGTATGTGAGCATTTCAGGCAAAGGACAAAATCTGAGCAAAGGAATTGAATTGGGAAGGTGTAAAGTAAACACAAGGGAGAGTGACTGGCCATGTCTGGCAGGAACCTATGGTAAATTAGAGTGGTTGGGCCAAATCTGCTTTAGAAAGGTAGATCCTAGATTCTGTGATTTGGGAAACACCCCAGAGATCATGTGGATCAATTTCTACTCTTGATGCTTGAATTAACCCTATAATATTTCTTCAGAGTTGTTACTGAGTAAATTTAAACCTATGATGACAGAAAACTTACCAGTGACTATGAGAATTTTCTTTTCTACATTGAGCATAAATCTATCTTCTTTTCATCCATTGGTCTTAATATGCTAGTCTGGGCCATACTGAAAAAGGTAAAATACCATTCTTCTTGATCATTCTTAATATATGTAAAAGGCATCTTGGGTCATTCTAAATCTTCTCACTTTCAAGCCAAATAGTATTCCTTTATTCAATAATATTTCATATAATATGAAATAGATTTCATTTCTTCCGCTCAATGTTATGCTCCCTCTCCCAAGGCTGTTCCCCAGTTGTTCTGTCCTAAAAGATGATATCTAGTACAGAATGAAATACTCACTGTATTAGTCCATTCTCACATTGCTACAAAGAACTACCTGAGAGTAGGTAGTTTATAAAGAAAATAAGTTTTTAATTGACTCACAGTACCACAGGCTGTGCAGGTGGCATGACAATCATGGCAGAAGGCAAAGGGGAAGCAAGCACATCTTCACATGGCAGCAGAGGAGAAAGAGAGTTAAGAGGGAGGGGCCGCACACCTTTAAACCATCAGGATGCATGAGAACTCACTCACTATCATGAGAACAGCAAGGGGATAATCCGCCCCCATGATCCAATCACCTCTCACCACATTCCTTCCCCAACATTGGGGATTACAATTCAACATGAGATTTGGGTGAGGATGCAGAGCCAAACCATATCACTCACTATGAATCCTGACCAAATGGAATAAAATAATACTGTACTATTTGTCTCCTGGAGATCATCTTTTTAAAATTGCTTCTGAAATCTTTTTCTTCAAACAAATAGAAGTCCCTTCACAGTGATGATGACCTCTCTTGTTTGTTGTTTATGCTCAGCCTCTTTTGATTCAGATTGAGTTTATTGTCATGTATATATTATGTCTCCAAAAATATTAGCGATTTATTTTTGCAGTTGCTAAGTCGGTTTTTTCTCTCCACTCCTTTCCATCTCCCCTAATCTTCTCGTTGTGAATTTAATTATTTTGAATTCAAAGGATTGTTTATTTTCTGGAAAAAATGGAAATATTTTATGGAGAATATTTAGTGAAAGTATAAGTTTGCACTTAGTTAAGTAGACAGTGATACTCCACTGAAAATTTTTGACATGATCCAAATTCTCTTTAAGGAGACTAATCATGCAGCCACAAATAGAACAGATTAAAATGGGAAGAAACAGGAATGCAGTTTGGAGAAGATTTCAATTGCCTCCTGGAGTGGTGTCAAAGAAAATGGAGAAGGGTATTAAGCATGGTGAAAGAAGCTGAAGAACTTATTAATGATTACCATGAAAGAGCTGAGAAAAGTAAAGTTCCCTGTAAGGTTTCAACCTGTAGTGACTGGGAGAATGGTAAAACCAAGAGAGATGTTGCTTTGGAAAGAGGGGGCAGTTGGGACATTTTGAGTTTGAATGTCAGGTATACGGATGTAAAAATGGCTGTGTGGATGGTTAGAAATGATAGGATGGATCTCAGGAAAGAGATAGGGACTAGAAACATAGATATGTGTCTTATTTACACAGAAGATTATTGGTTAGAGATTTTCAAGAGGTCAGTAATGTAAGATACAGGGAAAAAAACAGTCAATGCTTTGGCGGTTTAGAAATCTCTGTGGTCAGAAAAGTAGGATAACTTGGAGAGCACAGAAGTACAGGAGTCAGGAGAGTGAAGTGTTTGTTTTTGAATGAGTCATCTCCATTCACCATCCCCAAACTATAATCTCCCCTCTCGCTTTCTTGAATAACCAGCTGCCTGCCCTTACAGATATTGAAACTGATTTCTCAGAAAACAACTTACTGTCTGTCTCCTTTGCTTTTTCTTGTTGTCTTCTAACTGCAAGAACACCCCAAAGCTCTGTCCCTGCTTCAATCATCTGCATAAATTGGGAAAATGCTAAAACTTTACCCCAACCTCTTTCATTAGTTCGAGACCTGTATTTACAGGCTAAGTGCCATAAAATCAACTTGGATGTCTCTCATGTTTTGTTTTTTTGTTTGTTTGTCAGGTTCTTTTAATTCTATTTTTTTTATGAGATGGGGTCTCACTGTGTTGCCCAGGCTTGTCTCAAAATCCTGGGTTCAAGCCATCCATCTGCCTCAGGCTTCTAAACTTCTGGGATTACAGGAGTGAGTCACTGTGCTCAGCCAGTCTCTCATGTTTGCATCTCACACACAAAGTATTCTAAATAGGATCCATAATCTTCCAGGACAATCTCATTATTGGCTCAGGAACACTCCAAGATGTCCACATTGTAAACCTCCAACATAGCTTTGATTTGTTCTTCTCTTGCCCCTTACTGTTGAGAAATAAAAAAAGAATCCTAAGCCCTCAACTGACTGAACAGATCCCCTCTTGGCCAAGGGGACCCCAGAGAAACCTTGGAAGCTGAGTTCCCAGCCATGTCAGGATGAGAGGTTCGACACACCTCATTATAACCACCTCCCTCCTTAACCACCATTAGACTTTTTATCTTAAGGGCTAAACAGAATCCAGCCCTTTCAAAAAACTCCACACTGTTAATATCTATTACTAGCTTATCTTCCCAGTACAAAACAAAGACAAGATGAGATTAGTCATTTTTTCACCCCTTCCTGAGACATCTGCTTCCTCTATTCCCCTTGTCTTCAAAGATTCACCTTACTCTATGTGAAATGAAAATTTGGGCACTAACTAAAACCTCACAAATATGTAATCATTGTCTCATTGTTGCCCTTACTTTTAAGGAAAATGTGTAGATACTAAACCTCCTGAGAACCTATTTGGAAAAAATAGTCACAGATATGTCTGTGATCCACCATTTTTTCTGGGTGCACCCTCAAGCTGGCTCAATACAGCTCGATTGATTGGGACATCTGCCTCAGTCACTCATTTTAGTTGTCACTATCATCCATTTCTTTTTTATTTCTTTTTTCTTTTTATTTTATCATTATTATTATTTTTGAGATGAAGTGTAGCTCTGTCGCCTAGGCTGGAGTGCAGTGGTGCGGTCTCAGCTCACTGCAACTCCCTCTTCCCGGGTTCAAGCAATTCTTCTGCCTCAATCTCCTGAGTAGCTGGGATTACAGGAGCCTGCCATCATGCCTGGCTAATTTTTGTATTTTTAGTAGAGGGGGGTTTCACCTTGTTGGCCAGGCTGGTCTGGAGCTCTTGACCTTAAGTAATCTGCCAGCCTCAGCCTTCCAAAGTGCTGGGATTACACTACCCTCCATTTCTAAGGCCAAATCTTATCAATTTTACCCACAAAACATATTCCAGATCCATACCTTCAGCGTTATATTTTTCACAACTACCATCATTTTTATTCAAGACCTCATTGTTATTTTACAAGTGGTATAGGTTGTGCATTCCTAATTCAAAAATTCAAAATTCAAATTTTCAAAAATTCCAAAGTTTTTGAGTACCAACATGACATTGTAAGTGGAAAATTTCACACACAAGTACTTAACACAAATGTTGTTTTGTGAACAAAATTATTTAAAATATTGCATAAAATTACCTTCAGTCTCTGTATATAAGGTGTATATGAAACATAAATTAATTTTTTTTTTTGAGTTGGAGTTTCACTCTTGCCACCCAGGCTGAAGTGCAGTGGCACCATCTCGGCTCACTGCAACCTCCACCTCCCGGGTTCAAGTGATTCTCCTGTCTCAGCCTCCCAAGTCGCTGGGATTACAGGCACCTGCCACCATGCCAGGGTAACTTTTTATATTTTTAGTAGAGACGGCATTTCGCCATGTGGAGCAGGCTGGTCTTGAACTCCTGACCTCAGGTGATCCACCCGCCTCAGCCTCCCAAAGTGCTGGGATTATAGGCGTGAGCCACCGCGCCTGGCCAACATAAATTAATTTTATGCCTAGACTTGTATCCCCTCCCCAAGATATCTCATTATGTATATGCAAATATTCCAAAATCTGAAAAAAATTCAAAATCTGAAACACTTCTGGTCCCAAGCATTTTGAATAAGAGACACTCAACCTGCATTATTCTTCTAGATGGACTTCTCACATCTAACCATTCTCATCTCTAATTTGTCTTTATAGACTGCTGCCAAATTAATCTTTCTAAAGTACAATTTAAATCATGTAATTCTCCTACCCCAAAATGTTTAATCGCTTTTTATTACCCATTGACTAAGATCCAAACTCCTTAAAATAACATTTAACACCATCACCATCTGGTGATGTCCCATATTTCTAGATCTATCTCCCATTTCTCCCTTTCAAAGATCCAATACCGCATTTAAACTACAACATGTCCTTCTCTTGTCTGCCTCAATCTCTTCATTCATTCCACTGTTTTTGCCAGTAATGTCCTTTCTTCTCACTCTTCTTTGTGAAGCCTTTTTTGATTGTCCCAGCAGAAAATATTAATAATATATAATTCAAAATAATACATAATATATAATATATAAAAATAATATATAATGGGCTAATACATTAAATGTGTTACATGCATTGTCATGCTAAATCCTCACAATAACTGCATCACATATCTATTATTTTCTATATTTTAACAATGAATAAGCTACTGTTTACATGGGTTTGTTTATTCAGCCAACAGTATCATAACTTGTAGCTTTCCACAGTAATCTAATCTCAAAGTCAGTGTTCTTAACCTTAATTCAAATATTTTTAATTTTATCTTTACCCCTTAATGAAGAACAATGAGTTTCTTGGCTTTTCTGAAGCCATAGTAACAGGGCTTCAGTAATTTGAATTTTATTTGAATTCAAATAAAGGAGAGTTTATTCCCCTGACAAAATGGAAATACTTTGTGGGGAATATTTTAAATATATTAAAAATTTTAAATATTTTAAACGTATTAAAATACAAAAATTTTAATAATGACATTAGACACTAATAAAAATGTCTTTTTTCTTAGTCGTAGTTTATTGACATAACTTACATATGGTAAAATCCATGCTTTTTAGTGTACAGTTCTATTAATTTGGTCTTTCTAACTTATTTCTATGCTCTCTTTTTAGAAGCAGATAATTTACTTTTGCAGTTCCTTTTCATATGATTTAGTTGCTATAAATTTTGGCTTTCCTTTTATGCTACCATTTCTTTGGAAATGCAGCATGCTATCAATATTGTTTTTAGTAATTCTCTGACTCTTCTTTATGAACTCAAGCTTGTTCATAGAATAAGGAGTTTAGAGTTTGTTCATGGAAGGAGATGTCTATAATTATAGCCAGAATTTATAGATTTTCTTCCATTAGAGCTTTTCTATTAGTGTGCTAAACCTAATGAAATGTATATTCTTGAAAATTATTTTCTACATCTTTATTTAATAGATGTATAGGATTTATAGGATTAGTAGCCAAAAAATGTGGAAAATGTGCCTTCTCAAGTGATAATTGAATGCAATAAAAGAAAATAATATAAGAATGGAATCTACTTTATCAGAAGCTATATTTCTGCTAAGCCTATAAAATTAATTGATTTGTTCATTCCTTCATTGAATAAGCTTCATTTATTGAGCCTCTACTGATGTGAAACATTCCCTTAAGCAGCTTACCATCTAATAGGTATAATCAATTAATGTTGTATACAGTAGGAAAAGGAAATTTCCATGGTGATAATCACCTTATCAATAGTTAATGGCTAAGTTATTTAAGTATGGAGTCACCAAATGATAGAGGAGTCTTTATGATTTTTACTAACTTTTAGGAAGAGTTAACACAATAATATCTGGCATGTTACTAATGTTCAGCAGCAATGAAATAATAATTAGGTTTCAAGCCAAGAATGATTTCAAAGCTTCATAATATTAGGTCAGTCAGTGCACTAGAAATAAGAGGACTCTTTTTATATAAAATCAAGAGTCCTTCAGTATTGTGAAGCAAAAGAAAAAGTATTTTCCTTGTGGGCTTTTAAAGATAAGATAAAGCCCTTTTAAAAGCTTTATCATGAAGTTCTAACAAAAGTTTTACTTGCCAGTATAGTCATAAATACATAATCTTGTTTTGGATCTCTGTTTTATTATGAAACTTTTAATGGAACAAACAACAACATGTACAGGCATATCTAGTCATATTGTATTCCTCATTAATTGTACAGGCACAATTTTTGAACTTTCAAAAGGAAGTGTAAGAAACCTGTTTTATAGCCCTTTCATCACTCCAGGATCACAGTTCCATAGCTTCTCCTCCAGCCCTATATGCGCTGCCTATCCATGCTAGGATTAATCCTTATACCTCTGAATAATCTGAATCAGCACTTGAACTTTCTCGCCCTGGCATGCCTTGGAGAAGCTGAATGAATTGTTCCCATTACTCTGTCTGTCACCTTCCTCTCTCCCATCCTCAGCTCCCATAACAAGTCATTAAGAGGGTTAAATGAATTGTAATGTCCAGTGATTACTATAAAAAACCCCTAACACATATCAATAATAGGTCTCATGACAACATATATGTCACAGAATTCAGTGGAAGAAAAGTTCTCTCGTGCGCTCCACCTGCTAACCAGCATTACCAAAATTACTGTTTTAATAAGTAGGTAAATATCCTATTTTTAAAGATTTTTTGCAAGTACGAAGTGTCACATTTCCACCCTAACAATCTGAATTTTCACACCCCACAGATATTTGTACATATATCTGTGATATATACATTCAAATGCATAGCTAAAATATTCAAATGTACATAATAAGTCTAAGCAAGAACTTCTTCGTTCTGACCTAAAAGTACCTCATTAGCACAAATGTCCAAGATAGACAGCCCCAAGTACACTAAGGTCCAAGGGCATGAAAGAGCCCTCACTTTTGTAGACTAACAAACAGATTCATGCAAATTAGTGTGTGAACTTGAAGATATTATCCTGCCAAACTGATTGGTACAGACATACTGCCAAGGGGAAAACACCAGCTAGGCAGTATTATGATTACTGTTATAATTATTGCCAAAACCATAAGACCTTAAAGTTTTCTGGATGAAAGGCTTGCAAGGGAAAAGCAATCTATCCTAGGGTTCGCTCTGTGGACTTGAAATTACTTTTCAACCTTTTCTTCTTATTTATCCAACTCATTTCAAAAGATGAAACACCTATTCCAAGGTGAGGAAAGAGGCTTCTGGGGAAAAGAAAAAATAAATTCTTTAGGATGGTCTTATTATTTTCTGTTCATTCTCCCGATTCTTTTTCTCCCCTTCCTGCCTATTTCCCTGGTTTTAATTTGTCTTACTCTGTTTCTGTCCTTTCGCCCTCAATTTTTCAGAATGTTCTGCATCTTTTCTCTATGTCTCATCTTCCAACCTCTCAGAAGTATTGTCATTAATCAGTTATATATTCAGTCTGTTCTTTTGCTGCTACTCCTTTAAAACATCCTTATGAATATTACTTTGGAGAATTCATGGTACACATTATTGTCACTGAAGGGGTGACAGTATAATATATGCATTTGAAATTAGGCAGTATGATGTGACGTTAAAAAGTAACATTTTGGACCCCAACTGGTGTGCATTTGAACCCAAGAACTGCCATTTACTAGCAGTGATAAGCCTAGTTCTTTCACTTTGCTGAGCCTTACCCCAGAAGATCTTATGATTAATAATATCTAGCTCACTAGTTGTTGAGGATTAATAAAGATAATAATATTAATAAAACACTGAGTAAAATGTCAGAAACATGAGAGCATTTAAAACAAACGAATGATACCAAGATGGTGGTGAAGGTAGTAGCAGTGGTGGAAGCAGCTGTAATTGTGGTGATTATAGACATGAGCTTTCAAAGAATTTTTTCGCCAGAAGGGTGGGTCACCTTCATCCATTTGGATTGCAAGTCTGTGACAAACATCATGTATTTAAAAGCAGAGGAAGAAGTGCTCTGCTGTATCAATTGTACTTCAATATGAAGGTTATGATCAGGCTTAAATCTCTTCATGTTCCTAGAGACAGATTCACTTCACACACACATACCAAACTCTAAATGCTACTCTGCCCTGCCTACTCTTTTTCCAACTATTATTGTAAAATTATTCGTACATTCAAAAGAATACTTAAACATACATGTGAGGGGAAGTGGTGAAAAATGGCCAAACAGAAGCCTTCACCAATCGTCCTCTCCGCAGAAATGTCATATTTAACAACTATCCACACATGAAAGCACCTTTATAAGAACCAACAATCAGATGAGCAATCACAGTACCTGGTTTTATCCTCATATCACTGAAAGAGGCACTGAAGCGGGTAGGAAAGGCATTCTTGACTTGCGACACAACCCCTGACAGTGGTTGTGTGGGTCAGAGAATCTGTGTGCTTAGGGGAAGGTGAGCTCAGTGATTGTAGGTCTTTGCATTGGAACTCAGTGCTGCTTTTCACTGCAGAAAGCAAGACTGGGTAGACCCCAGCCAGTGCTGCTGGAGGGAGCATTTAGGTCAGTCCTAGCCAGAGGGGAATTGCCCATCCCAGTGGTCAGAACCTGAGTTCCAACAAGCCTTGCCATTGCAGACCAAGGCACTCTGAGGTCCTAAATAAACTGGAAAGGCAGTCTAGGCCACAAGGACTGCAATTCCCTGGCAAGTCCTGGTGCTGTGCTAAGCTCAGACCCACTGAACTTGGAAGACAAGAGACCTAGTGAAACATCAGCTGGGGTGGCCAAAGGAGTTCTTGCACCATCCCTCCCCAAACCCCAGGCAGTGCAGCTCACAGCTCTGGGAGAGACTCCTTCCCTCTGTTGAGGAGAGAAGAGGGAAGAGTAAAGAGAACTTTGTCTTGCAACTTGGGTATCAGCTCAATCACAGTAGGATAGAATATCAGGTAGAGTTCCGAGGTCCCCATTCCAGGTCCTACCTTCTGGATGACATGTCTAGACACACCCTGAGCCAGAAGAGAACCTGCTGCTTTGAAGGAAAGGACCCAGTCCTAGCAGGATTTATCACTTTCTGACTAAAGAGCACTTGGACCCTCAATAATCAGCAGCAATACCCAGATAGTAATTGCCGTGGACCTTGGTTGTGACTCACAGGCGAGCTCACTTCAGGTGTAACTCAGCCACATTCCCAGCTGTGGTGGCTATAGGGAGGGAATCCTTCTGCTTGAGAAAAGGAGAAGGAAGAGGGACTTTGTCTTGCAGCTTAGACACCAGCTAGGCCACAGTGCAGTAGAGCACCAAGCAGGCTCTTGGGGTTCCTTATTCCAGGACATGGCTCTTGGATGGTATTTCTGGACCTGCTTTGGGCTGGAAGGGGGCCAGATTCCCTGAAGGGAGAGTCTCAGGCCTGGCAGCATTCACCACAAGTTGACTGAAGAGCCCATGGGCCTTGAGTGAACATCAATGGTAGCCAGGCAGTACTCACTGTGGGCCTAGGATGGTGGTGGTCACAGGGAGGGACTCCTCTGCTTGGGAAAAAGGGAGGTGATGTGGTTTGGCTCTGTGTCTCCACCCAAATCTCATCTTGTAGCTCCCATAATTCCCACATGTTGTGGGAGGAATCCAGTGGGAGATGGTTGAATGATGGGGGTAGGCCTTTCCCATGCTGTTCTCGTGATAGTGAGTGAGTCTCATGAGATCTAATGGTTTTAAAAATGGGAGTTTCCCTACACAGGCTCTCTCTTTGCCTGCTGCCATCCACATAAAATGTGACTTGCTCCTCCTTGCCTTCCACCATGATTGTGAGGCCTCCCCAGCCACGTCAAAATATAAATCCATTAAACCTCTTTCTTTTGTAAATTTCCCAGTCTCAAGCATGTCTTTATCAGCAGTATGAAAATGGACTAATACAGTAAATACCAGGAGTGGGGTGCTGCTGAAAAGATAAATGGAAATGTGGAAGCGACTTTGGAACTGGGTAACAGGCAGAGGTTGGAACAGTTTGGAGGGCTCAGAAAAAGAAAGGAAAATGTAGGGAAGTTTGGAACTCTCTAGAGACTTGTCAAATGGCTTTGACCAAAATGTTGATAATAATATGGACAATGAAATCCAGCCTGAGGTGGTCTCAAATGGAGATAAGGAACTTCTTGGGAACTGGTGCAATGGTGACTCTTGTTATGTTTTAGCAAAGAAATTGGCAGCATTTAGCCCCTGCCCTAGAGATTTGTGGAACTTTGAACTTGAGAAAGATGATTTAAGGTAGCTAGTGGAAGAAATTTCTAAGCAGCAAAGCATTCAAGAGGTGACTTGGGTGCTGTTAAAGGCACTTGGTTTTAAAAGGGAAACAGACCATGAAAGTTTGGAAAATTTGCAGCCTGACAATGCGATAGAAAAGAAAAACCCATTTTCTGACGAGAAATTCAAGCTGGCTGCAGAAATTTGCATAAGTAATGAGGAGCACCTAGATTAAGAAAAATAGAACCTTACCTATATCTTTAAAGTTCTGGTTATGCCCTTCCCTGGTTTCATCCCCTTCCCCTTCCTTCAGGATGCCACCAGGGAGGGGCATAAACAGAATTTCAAAGATATTGATAAGGTTCTATTTTATTAATCACTATCCTGAAATTTAGGCTTATTATTGCATTGCTTTTACTTATAAATTGCCTATATGTATGTATCCTCCAAATAATAAATTGTTTAAATTTTCTTGTTGTTGTATTTTTATTCAACATTATGCTTATGGATCATATTATGCTTATGGTTTCTTCAGAGGTTGAGTTTATTCCTAGCTCCATATTAGTAGTTCATTGGATAAAAACATAATGAAATTAACTATTCTTCCATCCATGGATTTGGTTATTCCAATATTTGGTCTTAGAACCATGGTGTTATGAACATTTTTTTTGTTTCCTGATGCATGTAAGGATAAAGTTCTTCAAGGCATATACTTAAGGCAGAAAACTGTGGGACTACAGAATTTGCACACTTTTAACTTTATGGAAGGTCAAATCTTTTTCTAATGTGGTTATATTGGTTAAGATTTGTTTAGGCTGCTGTGGCTAATAAAAATTTCAGAATCACAGGAGTTTAAATAAAATAGTCATACATTTCTATCTCAGGTTCAAGAAGCCTGGAGGTGGTTATTCCAGAGATGGTAAGGCACTCCACAGTGTCGAGATCAAGGCTTCATGTACTGTATAGGTTAACTTGTATGAACAATTTTCATTCCCAAATTTATCTGTCAAGATCGAAAATGGTTTCTGGAACTCCAGCCAGTGTATCCACATTTTGGCTGGCAACAGGAGAAAGACCCAATAGGTGCATAGTCCCTTCCTTAAAGATGTACAGAACACTTTTATTTTCATCCTATTGGTCAGAATTTACATGGCCATATGGTTACATTTGCCCCACATGGCAAACTGGGAAATGTAGTTTTCTGCCAGTTTGCCATGGAGCCAGCTAACAATAGAGAAATCTTATTACTGAGAAAGAAGAGAAAGACCAATATTAGCAGATAACTAGCAGCTTCTGCCACAGTGGTTCTACTAATTTATATTAATTTATACATACATACAACTAAAGATAATTTGTATTTCTCTACATACTTTCCACACTCAAAACTATCAGCCTTTTAAAGGTTTGTCAAAATGCTATTTATAAAATATTATGCCATCTTAAAAACTTGTATGCCTTTGATTAATAATAAAGTTTCATCTTTTCATAATTATTATTTTAATTTTTAAATAAGCTACCTGTTTATATTTTTCATTTTTGTGTTGTTTGTCTTTCTTTTTTGGACTTTAAGAGTTTTGTATTCATATAGAAAATAACCCTTTACCAGTTATATAAACTGCAAAAAAAAAAAAAACCTAAAATACAAAAATCTTCTAGTTGGTATCATAGCTTTTTATTTTTTCAATTACTGTTTGATGAAAAGAGATATTTTGCTTAATTTACTTGAATTTATTAATCTGTTCTATTATGACTTAAACTTTTTGTATCTTATTTGAGAAATCCTTCTTCACCCCATGGTTATAAGATATTCCTATGATTTCTTCTAAAAGTTTTGATTTTTTTTTGCATTTCAATGAGTTAGAATTGATATTTTCTGTACATTTTGAGTAAGATTACAATTTCATTTGTTTCCCCTGGAAAATTAAAAACTAATAGTCTCAGCACAATTGTTATAGTTTAAATGTTTACCACTTATCTGAAATGCCAACTCTGTAATATTCATATTTCCTTTCTTTGTAGATATCTGTTTCTGGGAAGTAGTAATCTATTTCTATGTCTATTTATACTTTCTTTGTATATATCAAATATATACTTGCCTAATATTTATAAGTAGGTATGCTATTTAATAAATCAGGACCCTCTCTCATATCGTATTTTTTGCCATCAGGTATTTCTTAGTTACTGTATGCTCTTTGTTCATGCACATAAATTTTAGAATCACTTTTTCAAGTTCAACAGTAATTTAAAAGGTCACACATTAAATCTGTTGGTCAATTTGAGAATAACTGATATCTTAATAATATTAGGTATTCTTACTCATGAATATGGTACAATTTTCATTTGTGGAGGTCTTCTTTAATGGCTTTCAATAATGTTTTGTGATTTTATGCCTAAAGATTCAGCATATAGTTTTTTAGATTTATCTCTACATTTGGTATAATATTGTTACTATTGTTAATGTTACCTTTTTAGAAATATCCCCATTCAAGCTAAGTTTTTGCTGCTATCTAGAAATGCGTTTGATTTTTGTTTCTTCATTCTGTATTCACCCAATTTTCTAAACTGTCTAAATCCCAAAAATGTATGGAATTTTTTGTGTTTTTATATAGACAATTTTATCATCTGCGCATAATGAATGTTTTGTTTCTTTCCTGCTAGTTTTTGTACTTCTTTTTCTTCTTGTCCTATACTACTGGTTGGAAACACCAGCCAAATGCTGAATAGAAGTAGTGATAGAGGGCATTCTTGAACCATTCTAATTTTAAAAGAAATGCTTACTAACACTTCACCATTGAGAGTAATTTTCATGTAAGTAAATTAGGTACCTACATGGATGTACTTCTGTATATATGACTATTGCTGCATTTATATAGTGACAGCTGCACTGTACCATAACTCATTTTCTCAACTAATATTAATTGATTAATCATCATGCCCAAAGCTTACTCTAGTTGATATGTGAGATTCAAACATGAGTAAGACACATATCCTACTCCTAAATAGTTTACCACCTATAAAAGGTGATGATAACTATTTAAAACCAAATAAAATAAAACACCAAAAATAAGTGCCATAAGAGTACAAACAGGATACAATAAAAGCTATTAAGAACAGGGCAAAAACTGTCAATTGAACACTATCAGGAAAACTCTAGTAATTGAGATGGCATTTAAACTAACACTAAAGAAGGCTGGGTGATGTGGCTTACACCTGTAATCACAGCACTTTGGGAGGCTGAAATGGAAGAATCACTTGAGCTCAGTAGTTCAAGAACAGCCTGGGCAACATAGGGAGACTCTATCTCTACAAAAAATAAAAAAATAGCCAGGTGTGGTGGTGTGAGCCCGTGGTCCCAGCTATTTGGGAGGCTGAGGTGGGAGGACTGCTTGAGCCCAAGAGGGCAAGGCTGCAGTGAGCTGTGATTGTGCCACTGCACTCCAGCCTGGGCAACACAGCAAGACCCCATCTCAAAAATAAATAAATAAACCAACATTAAAGAATGGATAGAGTCTTAATTGGAAAAATCATTCTGGGTATAGAGACGGCAAGAACTAAAGCTTCTACCTCTTATGTCTGTATTCTAAGTGAAGTTAAAACCCTCTTACACCGATTTCAAGTAGTCATACCCGCCATTCCCTCAGCCAAATTCAATCACATACTGGAGTCACATCTAATGGTCAGAGTTTTGTCTTAGCATGATCTATCCCCTCATTCAAGCACATGGGTAATGGGATGGGTTCTTCAACTGACCACAAACAGGATTATCCTGCTTGATTACCTCCCTTAATAACCAGAGTACAATACTTTCAAACTTCTTTTAACTGCCTCCAAATTCAAATATACTCTCAGAGAACAATTTGTCACCTCTGAGAAGATTCAAAAGAATAAATAAGCATGTGAAGGCAATTCTCAAAGGATTCCCTAATTTGGGGTCATAGTAGTAGCATTAGAACAAGTGTACAAATTTACACAATGGCAGTTTTGAAGCAACCAATCATTTGGATTAATTATGGTACATGTGTTAAAATTCTAATCACATTATTTAGTAGTTGTACTTATATATGATTTCTGGACCCCTTGTTACAACGAAACATGGAGATCCTGTGGTCCCACACAATCAAGTTGTTCAGAAACTTTTAGGACAGAAAATCAGAAGAAGAAAATTGAGGAAAAAAAACCATTTAAATATATAAATAACCTGAACCCTTCTCTCATCCTATCGCTCAGTAGTAAGTTGGTCCCTGGCTAATGTATTACTCATAATTTATTGCAAATTTATTAAACCTCAGTAGCTCAGAACATAGTAGCTTATGGATGATCCCCTAATTAGTGGAATTAGAGGATGATACTGTTTCCTTTGATTAATTGGCACATGTGGAGACTGGGTGCCCTCTGAGGCCTATCATTTGCATATTAAGTTACCACATATCAATGTGCTGAAATCCAAAGGGCTGGGGGCTCCATCTACCCATGCGAAGGCAATGTCCTGTGGATCTAATTAAATCACTATGCTCTTGGCCCTTTCCCTTTTCTACTCACTTTGGCACAATTTTCCAAGGAGTAACCTAAAAGTTGAAAAGTGAATAAACAGCTTATGTATATGTAGCAATTTACCACTTAGAGATTCCTTTCACATATATTATCCTGTTTAACTCTCTCACAACCCTCTTGAGCATACACAGTTTTATTCCCGTTTTGCAAATAGATAGTGAGATTGATAGGCCTCCCTATTTACAAGGTAGTAATTGATCAAGCTGGGACTCACACCTGGATCTTCGTTCTCCAAGGTCAGAGCACTCTTCACTATGCCACGGTGTGTCATTAGAGAATTATCTCAAATTGTATAATAAAAGACATGAAGAAAATGTTCCTCTTCCAACACTGGCCCTGTTTTGTATAAAGTACTATCATACTCATTGCCTCTAGAGAAAGCAGTCAGTTCAATGGAATTAGTAAAAACAGAGCCTAAGCACATGAAAGAAAAAAATGGTGGTCAGTGACAGCCAGCATGCAGGAGATAGTAACTTCTATAATTCTTCATCCCAGGATTTCTAGCCGAGACTGAATGGCCATTTGATTGCAGTTCTAATTCAAACGTCAGCTGTGCAGTTGGGCAAGTCGATCATTAAGGTCTCTTTACTGTTTATGTGATTTTGAAGAAAAAATAGCAGACCACTTTGCTGGGTCAAGAAAATGTGCAGGCCAGTGCCTTTGCTGGTCATTTGTCAGAGTCTGGACACAAGTAAGGGTGTTATTTTAGACAACAGGTAGTTCCAGGACCCAAAAGCCATGCAGCTATCTTTTAGGCACCTGTCACAAAGCATATTTTCTCTGCCGGATAGAAGTAAGAGAGTATATTTGAAAGGATTTAATAAAGGTTCTGAAGGACCCTCTTGGTATAAATGCTGATTATTGTTGTCAGCGTTATTTAAGAGCAGCAGGAGGGAGGCATTTCAAATAGAAGTTTAGCTTCTATTCCCAGAAGCCCCACCAGATCCAGAATTACTGTGGTCTTTAAGCAATCTGTGAAACTGGCCTCTCAGAAGAGAGTGGAGGAAGGAGGCTGAACTGCCCCACGTGGTGTTCTCATTGCCGCCTCAGGGAATTGATTGGGGAACTGTTTTTCAGTTTAGTTACTGAGTCATTTTTCATTTTGTTCTTAGTGCCAGAGGCTTATGCCCTTCATTGGCAGCACTGGGAAGAAGGCTAGATCAGCTTCCCTAGTGGTGACATACACTGTGAATATGCTTCAAGCCAGATTTGTCTAAGAGGGGAAAAAAACAAACACAAAAACTTATGCTTTTCTTCGTGCTTCTTGCTACGAATTCTAAAGGAAGCCCCAGACCTAAAGTTGTAGCTCATCCTGGGAGAAGAGGAGAATTGGCAGTGTCCTCCAGTTTCTCCATAAGATAAAATTGTGTGAATGTGGCCAGCTTGCTATGATTTGGTGCTTCCTAACTCATCTCCCACTGTCTCTTCTGACTTTAGGAGGCTGGAAAACACATCTGCATAGAAATGACAATATGAGAAGATCTTATGAGAAAAACCCTGCTTGCTTAATGTTGCTTAATGTCCTATATCTAGCTTTTCTCCACTTCCACTCCTCTCTCAGCTTCTCCCAGTCCCTCTGAAATAGCATTTGCCTCTTGGTGATGCCAGCTCCCTTACCTCGTTAAGCTGCTGCTGAAAAGCAGACCCGGGGATTGATGGCAGACAGGTTTAATGTGGCTTGCACAGAGCAGTCAAGTTGGGCGTGTGGGAGGATGCTGGGGAGATATTACTGCAGGCGCAGGCACACCAGCTGACTGAAGTTGCTGTGAACTGACAGCTAATGGGGGAGCTTTCTTTGATAGCTGTTTCATTTTGACTGTGCTGGATTTTTAAAGAAAGTTCTCCATGGGGAAAAAAATTAACGATTTTTTTTTGTTTGCCTTTTATTAACAGTTGATTTCAGAGTATTCCAGGGGCATTATTTTGGCAGGCATTTTATTATCTGATATAAACCTGAATTGATAACTCTTTAAGTCCTTCTTGTAGGTGGTGAATATGCCAGGTTCCACAGTGCAAGTGGAAAGCCATGCCAACCATGTGCTAGAGAGGCCATTACAATTGCTCAGAAAGGATAGCAGTGGTGGGGAGCATCAGATGAAACACTGGCGGAAAAAATTAACATGCTGACTTGGGGGATGCCTAAAAGATGACAACATGCATCAGTAGAATTTTACTTAGGAAAAAAGAAGAGCAGAAATGGAGTTTCAAAGGAGTACCAGGCCCTGGTGTGTTTTCTCTGCATTTGGATTGGTAGAGAAAAGCCTGTTCTCTGAATTAAACTAAAATTTGAAATCTCCAAGGCTGACATGACAAAATAGCGCAGACTGGGTGGCTTAAACAACAATGTATTTCCTCACATTTCTGGAAGCTAACTCTGCTTCACACCTCTTCCCTTGGCTTGTAGGTTGTTCTGTGTTTTCATATTATTCGTCTTCTGTAGGCATTGTGTCCAAACCTCCTCTTTCTATAAGGAAACTAGTTATATTGGATTAGGGCTCACCCTAATGGCTTCATTTTAACTTAACCTCTTTACACACCTCACTTCCAAATGCAGCCACATTCTGAGGTACTAAGGGTTGGGACTTTAGCATATGAACTTGGGGTGCAGGGGACACAATTCAGCTCATAAGAGTAAGGGACACAAATCTTCAGTTTGGTATAAGGGATGTTCACCAGTCAGCATGGCGTAGACCCCAAGACACCATCTCCCCATGGACTCTCTCTATATTCCCTTTGCCACCAGAACATTTTATATTCCCTTTACATGAGTTGGGGGGCCTGCCATTCACATTCAGATCATCGAAATCCCATGCCATTCTACCTAAATTGCAAACTAGAAAAAGGCAATAAATCCAAACTTTGGAATAGATCTAACAATAATAGCAAAAATAATAGTAATAGTGATGATAAAATTATAACAGCAGCTACCTTTTAGTGAGTGTTTAGTGTGTGCCAGTCTCAATGTCAAGCACATCCATATATTACTTCATTTAGGCCTCATTACAAACCTGTGAGATAGGCACAGTTACTGTAGATAGGGAAACTGAAGCACAGGGAGGCTAAGCAGGTTATCTGAGGTCACAAGGCTAGTTAGATGCAAAGTAAGATTATTCTTATAACCAACACACATGCTCCGAACTACTACATTTTATTGTATAAAAGCAACCATTTCCTAAATCAGGCTTTTAAAAGTGTCTTTCAGTTATAAAATCCTCAATTTTTCCAACCAAAGTTTTATATTAAACTCTTATACAGCACAGATTTACAACATATAAGAAAAGAAGAGGGGTACTGAACCTTCCCTATGCAGCCTCTTCACTTTCCTCTTCTTGGTGGATCCACCAATTTGAAAACCACCACCCTAAATCATGCCTAAAATTTTGGACCTTTAGACTCTATGCCTTGAATGCATTGAGCTCTGTCTCCTTACAAACCTGATACTGCTGTGTCTCACAAGAAAAAATCTCAGGCTAAAATCCACAGTAACTTGCCCAATGTACTGAAGGAAGCCCTTAGTGGCATCTAGTAACAGTGAGAAAAGAAATATCTAGGTCTTATTAAGAACATAGAATATTGCAGATTATTGCTAAAGAGGATAGAAACATCTAGATCAGGAGACAAATCTATAATTTGTGTCCTAACTATAGGGTATGGTTTGCTGAGGAAGGAGAAGGAACTGACATTTATTAGGCACTCCTCCCTCTAGGCACAATTCTGGGGCTCTGCAAGATCCTTATTTATTTTTTACCATAGCCTATGGGTGGCCTACAGTCCTCCTGGCCCCACGTCTACCGGCTTCTCCTGACATTGAATGCCCAGAAACAGATCTCATTCAAGGGGGAAAGTTGTATCATTTGGAGACAATTTTTTTTAAGTGCTTAACGCTTCACTTGCTGAATCCTGTGCAGAAAAACAGCCTTTACATCTACTTGCCTGGAGAAATGAATCCTGCCACAGAATGTTATCTTCTCATCCTCTCTGCCATATGTTCAAGCAATCTGTGTTTCAGTCTATATTAATACACTGAGTCAGAGGCAGTGGGGTTCAGTGGGCTAAGCAACAGCCTGGAAAATTGAGGGGTGTGAGTTCTAATTCCATCCTTTCCTCTCGCTTGCTGGCTGACCTTCGGGCAAGTTATATCAACCTCATATCAACCTCCATTTTCTCCTCATTTCTCACACAGGATTTATAATGTCTGAGCAAACTGAAGAAAAATACTAAGAATATTGGCATAGAATTTCACAAGCATCTTTGAAACGTTTACAATTCAAAACCTCTACTTAAAAACACAGTTGTAAGGCTGTCAAAGAGCCTTAAATAAATGATCTTTACCCTATAGTTATTTGTAATCTAGCTGGAAAATTAAGCATATATTTGGAAAATTTGTCAAAATTAGCATCTCAATAATTATAGATAGACATTTTCCCTTAAAAGTTCAAGTTATATTAATCTTGATTAAGAAATTCAAGTTATATTAGTCACAATTAAAAGGGCATCAAAATAGGCACTTTGCAACCCCTATACCAATGTTTTTATGTGACACCTCAAGTCCTTCCTAAAATGAGCCAAACTATGTGCGTATGTATGTGTGTGTGCATATATGAATAGATTTTTTTAATGTAAGTATGCTCATCTAAAAAATAAAACAGGCTCACAACTAGTTATGACTACATTCCTGACAAGAGTGGGATTTTTTATATCCCCTTTCATTTGGGGCCAGAAAACCTTCCACCTCTCTTACTCCACTCCTGGGAAACCTGAGCAGCAAACACCTAGAAATGTTGGATAAAAAATAGAGGTGGTATACAGCTAGTAGACAAAAAGCCTCTACAACAAGGTGATAACTCACCTTTGGAAATCCTATGGTTTGAGAAGAGCATGTTTTGGAAAGCTCTTCTGGATAAGTGGGTCATCATATCTTCCAAGAAAGGTACAAAATGGTCTTGCTGTATACACTAAAACTACAATAATGGTACCAGAGCTTTGAGATGGAAGCAAGAGAATCATTACATTCATTGAAATTATACCATGCGGGCATTTGAGGCTGATGTGGAAGATACAAATTTCCTAGCTCCTTTGTCTCAGCTCAAAGCATACAATGGTGACATACTTATCATAGATAGCAAGAATACTGATGAATTAGCTGTTGTCCTAATGTCCCTTTGAGGATCATGTGGTTCCATTAGGTTGCCACAGCTGCACTGGGGTTTAGGTCTTCTCAAATAAGAGATTAAAAAAAAAATAGGTGATGGGGCCTCAGGCTGGTCAGGATGAAGTTTGGGGCAAGGACAGTATTGAAAGACATCATTAAATATTAGTATATGGCCACAACGTGCTTATAAGAGTTTCCGAAACAAACAGGCTCTGTTTTTCAACACGAGCCATTTGTGTAGTGGCTTTAGCCCTTGGAGATGGATGTGGTATGAAAGGGACTTCTACATCTATAATCAGAGGGGCTTCCTGAGTGTCTGATGTAAGTTTTGACCTCTATGGGTACTTGATTTCTTCAAATGAAAATGCCAGGATTCTCATGCCTATCATGGATATCTTTACTACATAAATTATTCAGTTAATTTGAGTTAAATTCATAAGATATTCACAAAGAGGAGTGGAGATAGAATCAGAGTACTTTCATTAAAAATGTGACAAATATAAAACTTTGAGGTATTAGTTTGACCATAAATCATTGTTGGGGTTTACTAAATGGGTCCTCACAAAAAGTCAAAGAAAAGCTAGATTTCAGGTTCTTGAAGCCTTCTGGCACCTGAAGAATGTTGGAATGACTTCTTCAAGAAGCCTGTAAGGGGAGATTAGGGCTGAAGAGATGAAGATCCTAAATCCAAGAAACCCTTGAACACCTTAACATGCTAGGTTATATACAATAAATCCTCATTTAAGATTGTTGATATTGAGGACTTTTGATATGCTGATATCTCTTATTTGGAAATAGTTAAAGAATTATAAAATTTTAACTATATAAGCTTCCAATTTTTTCTCTCCTTTGTTGCCTTTTGGATTTTTATCTTGAAAATAAACTGACATAAACCTAAATCCAAATCTTTAGTGAATTATTTTCTAGGTGATAAGTAAACTTGTCTCAGCTCTCAGGGAGGACATCTTTAAAACATGAGTATCTTCTACCAAAGAATAGTCTGAACTAAGAATAGAGGTGGGCAACCAACCAGATGTTAAAAGTCAGTTGAAGTCCATGGTACAGAAGGAGTGGATTTAATAGGGGTAGATTCTCAGTTGTGTCAATCTGCCATGTCAGAGTTTTTCTCCTCTATGGGGATTAAGGTCACTGAGAAGTGACTAGATGGACTACAACTGGAACTTCTCTCTTCTATAATTGTTTGGTCAAAGTGATGCACAGCTGCTCATTCCTGGATGGGAGGCCTACGAGATCAGATCTGTCTTGCAGAACTCTGTATATGCAGGTTCAGGTCCCAGCCTGATAACCTCAGATACCCTAGTGCTTTCCCAAGTCTTCGTCTCTGGTCAGACTGTAAGTTTCCCTTTACAGCTATATGGAGATAATAATCATGGGAGAGCACACAAGCTCTAAAAGTTATCATAAAGAATAGTATGTCTCTAGGTGAAGTTTTGAGCAAAGAGGTAAATCATGGTCGTCTACAGTTGAACTGAGTCACATTCTGAACTGGTAAGCCTCTTCTAGGGCTCAGTTAAAGTTTTTATCCTTGGCAATAGCTTGAATTTTCTATAAAAACTCTTTTAAAAAAATGCCTGATGCTGGCCTAATGAGGGCTTTGGGAGTTTATTCATAGGACTTCACTCCTTTCATCTGCCCAAATGTTTAAATGAGGGATACCAATGACCTTCTCAGGACCAATAGCATTCATGTTAGAGATTTTTGTTGGAGGCAACTCTAAAGACTCATGAGCTCCCTGCCCAGCTAAGCAGGTAGGGTGTGGGTGCTGTAAGAATAGCAACTAGAGAGGTTTTCTTTTGCTGCTGTCTATTAAAAGTACCTGGGTAATTCTGACTAAAAGTTTTATCTGATAACACACAGGGCACACACACACAACTACCTGCTGGGCTAGCAGACCCTTCTTTACCCATCAGCAGTTAATACAATGGCTTGTTTAAATACCTGTCTCCTACATCCAGTTATAAGTTCCCTAAGAAGAAGTACCATGCTGATTTTGTGTATGGTTATATCCCTAGCACTTAGTACAGTGTCTAGCATACAGTAGGTGCTTAATAAATATTTGGAAAGGAATGAATGAAGTCTAATACCACAACTATTTTCATGAGAAGTGAACACGGTCTGCTGGGATATTTTAGTAAAGAAACTATCAGGAAAAAATCAGGAGTGAGGGAAAAACAAATTATAATACTAGAGAAATATGAAACCTGAAAAATCCTATTTAGGATGTAAGGATTTAGCATGAGGTTTAGGTTTACCAACAAGTTACAAATAAAATATCAAAAACATGGCCAGGCGCGGTGGCTCACGCCTGTAATCCCAGCACTTTGGGAGGCCGAAGCCGGCGGATCACGAGGTCAGGAGATCGAAACCGTCCTGGCTAACACAGTGAAACCCCGTCTCTACTAAAAATACAAAAAATTAGCCTGGCTTGGTGCTACTCGGGAGGCTGCGGCAGGAGAATGGCGTGAACCCGGGAGGCGGAGCTTGCAGTGAGCCGAGATCTCGCCACTGCACTCCAGCCTGGGTGACAGGGCAAGACTCCATCTCAAAAAAAAAAAAACAAAAACAAAAACAGAAAAAACATTAGGAAGCAAATAGGTGGAAGGGTGGTGTCAAATTCAAGCACAGAAAGCCTGGCAAAAATTACCAAAGACTAAGGGGATCCATGGGCTCAGGAATCCACAGAAGCCAATCTGGAACAGGATCAGGTGCACTGAGAAATAAATAATAATGGAGCTATTTTAAAAGCCTGAGCCAATATCTTCCTGATTAAAAACTACTAGAAAAGTGGCATCTAATAAATGCTGGGCTCTAGAGAGAGAACGCCTTTTCCTTGCCAGCCATCTTAAAATCACATTTGGTTAAAAACACATTGCCCTTTTATTCTAATCTATATTTGGCCCCAACATTGAAAGAGCTTGGCTTTAGTGCAAATGAATGCTCTATCTCAGTGCAGCAGCTGATGTGTCAAAGAGGAATGTATCAGACTTTTGTACTTTTTCTGTTTCCATTTGCCATGTCCATTTCAACTTCTGTAGCTTCTTGCTGAAAAAGTCCCTGCAAATTCAGAACTTAATTTTTCTTGCTCCCTATGGTAGTATCCCTGTACCTGTCTATCTAGAGGAGTAGATGGGTCAGTTTCATCTCATCAGATGATCTCACAGAGCTAAGTGCATGAATGGCTAAGCGTGGAGATACGGAGGTAGGGCCTGTCCTTCAGCAAACAGCAGACCCAATGTAGGCTATCCACAGTAAAACTGTGCTCCCAGGCTGGCTGTCCGTAGAAGCCCATATGCCAGAGATGAATGAGGGAAAGTTGCAGACATTCCAAATAAGCAGACCCAGAAAATATAGTAAAAAAATAAATAAGTAAATGGATATAACATACCAACTGGGAATCGGGATGAGGGAGTGGGGAAGAAGGCAGAAAATAAACAGTTAAAAAACAAATAAACAAGATACTCTCAGATCATCATATGTGACAGAAAAAAATTAAAATTACTAGGATGTTATAAGAAGCAGTCAAGAGTGCAGGGGCATTTGCTTTAGCTAAGGAGGACAAGGATGGCCTCTTACAGAACGAGACATTTGACCTGAGAAATGAAAGGTAAGAACCAACCAACCAGGGAAAGAACTGGGCAGAGCATTCCAGGCACAGGGATCAAGACTACCAAAGGGGTCCTAAAGCAGGAAATGACTAAAGAAATGGAAAACTGGACAATGTGGTTACAGCACAGTGAGAGGACTCCCTCTTATGAAAAAGACTTTGGAGAAGTAGGCAGAAGCCAGACTCTGCAGGGTAGAAGAATGTAGCAGAGGAATTTTGCAAATTTCAAGATCTTGTTTTGTCATTAGGATTCCTTAAAACCTTGCCCTTTTAATCTCCGAGTTTTCTTCAGATCACGTTAATGGCAGCAACTCTCCTGGTCACCAGCATTTTGCTCAGTGCATCACTAAGCTTAGTTATCCTGATGAGGGAAAAGTTTGGGGAAGGGAAAGCATGACTGCAGATAATATTGCAGAAAACCCCAAATTGCTGATCTACAAGGAATTTATATTTGGTGTATTTTAGACATTGTGTGTGTGTGTGTGTGTGTGTGTGTGTGTGTGTGTGTACGCACACTACATTTTGTTTCATCCCATTAAATTTGTTTCACTAATCAGTTTTGCTAACTAACATTGGTCTGATTCTACTGCATACATACATTCATGACTAGGATATGTAGAAAATGGCTCAAAATGAGAATTTGCCTTGGAAAATCACCTAAATAATCAAAGCTGGTTACACTGTATCAGCAAAAATAAAATTCAAAAATAGGTGTACATGTGGAAAAAATGGGCAGCAATTAGATGAGGACATCTGAGATGCAAACACGAAGGAGATACCCCATGGCCATCTCTTCTTGATGAGGAGGTTGATGAGGTGCAGTGGCTGAGAAGAAGCTCTGAATCAGACTGAAAAATGTTCAAGCCTCAGTTCTACCACTATCTCTCATGACTTTGAGCAAATTATTTCCTCATCTGTAACATGGAATTAACATTGCCTTTGCCTAGTGTTTTTGACAAGGTTAAATGAAATAATAAAGCACTTTACAAGGAGACAGTATACAATAAGCATTCAGTAATTATTTTTACTATTACAATAATTTTTCTTACATCTTGAACTGATTTTTTTCCTGTTGTTCTTTACTTTTACATATTTTGACATCACTTTATCCACTTCCCAAATGTTTTCTGCAAGAGATCAGGCCCTATACAAGCTTATTGAGCCTAAGAGAACACCAGGACTTCTAGTTTTTTTATTTCAATAGTTTTTGGGGAACAGATGGTTTTTGGTTACATGGATAAGTTCTTCAGTAGTGATTTCTGAGATTTTGGTGCACCCATTACCTGAGCAGTGTACACTGTACCCAATATGTGGTCTTTTATCTCTCACCCTCCTCTCACCATTCCCCCTGAATCCCCAAAGTCCGTTGCACTATTCTTATGCTTTCGTGTCCTCATAGCTTAGCTCCCACTTTTGAGTGAGTACATATGATATTTGGTTTTCCATTCCTGAGTTACTTCACTTAGAATAATGGTCTCCAACTCCATCCAGGTTGCCACAAATGCCATTATTTCATTCATTTTTTATGGCTGAGTTGTATTCCATGGTGTTTGTATACCACATTTTCTTTATCCACTCATTGGTTGATGGGCATTTAGGCTGGTTCCATATTTTTGCCATTGTGAATTCTGCTGCTATAAACATGCGTGTGCAAGTGTCTTTTTCAGATAATGACTTCTTTTCCTCTGGGTAGATACCCAGTAGTGGGATTGCTGAATCAAATGGTAGTTCTACTTTTAGTTCTTTAAGGAATGTCTATACTGTTTTCTGTTGTGATTATACTAATCTACATTCCCACCAGCAGTGTAAAAGTGTTCCCTTTTCACCACATTCATTCCAACATCTGTTATTTTTTGATTTTTAAATTATGGCCATTCTTGCAGGACTAAGGTGGTAATCTCACTATGGTTTTAACTGGCATTTCCCTCATAATTAGTGATGTTGAGCATTTTTCATGTTTGCTGGCCATTTGTATATCTTCTTTTGAGAATTGTCTATTCATGTCCTTTGCCCACTGTATTAGGGTTCTCTAGAAGGACACAACTAATAGGATATATATATATATATGACTTTATTAAGGAGTATTGACTCACACAATCAGAAGGTGTGGTCCCACAGTAGGCCATCTGCAAGCTGGGGAGCAAGGAAGCCAGACCAAGTCCCAAAGCTGAAGAACCTGGAGTCCAATGTTTGAGGGCAGGAAGCATGCAGCACAGGAGAAAAATGTAGGCCAGAAGACTAAACCAGTCTAGTCTTTCCACGTTCCTCTGCCTGCTTTTATTCTGGCCACACTGGCAGCTGATTAGATTGTGGCCACCCAGATTGAGGGTGGGTCTGCCTTTCCCAGTCCACTGACTCAAATGTTAATTTCCTTTGGCAGCACCCTCACAGACACACCAGGATCAATACTTTGCATCCTTCAATCCAATCAAGTTGACGCTAAATATTAACCATCACACCCACTTCTGATGGGACTATTTTTTTTCTTGCTGATTTGTTTGAGTTCCTTATAGATGCTGGATATTAGTCCTTTGTCAGATGCATAGTTTGTGAATATTTTCTCCCATACTGTGGGTTGGCTGTTTACTCTGCTAATTATTTCTTTTGCTGGGCAGAAGCTTTTTAGTTTAATTGGGTCCCATCTATTTATTTTTGTTTTTGTTGCATTTGCCTTTGTAGTGTTGGTTATGAACTCTTTGCCTAAGCCAATGTCTAGAAGAGTTTTTCTGATGTTATCTTCTGGAGATTTTATGGATTCAGGTCTTAGATTTAAGTCTTTGATCATCTTGAGTTGATTTTTGTATAAGGTAAGAAATTAGTATCCAGTTTCTTATTCATCATGTGGCTTGCCAATTATACCAGCACCATTTGTTGAACAGGATCTCCTTTCCTACATTATATTTTTGTTTGCTTTGTCAAATGTCAGTTGGCTGTAAGTATCTGGCTTTATTTGACTGTAAATATTATCTTGGGTTTTCCATTTTGTTCCCTTGGTCTATATGCCTGTTTTAATACTAGTACCATGCTGTTTTGGTAACTATAGCCTTGTAGTATAGTTTGAATTTGGACAATGTAATGCTTCCAGATTTTTTTTTTTTTTTTTTTTTTTTTTTTGCTAAGTCTTGCTTTGGTTATGTGAGCTGTTTTTTGGTTCCATATGAATTTTAGGATTGTTTTTCCTAGTTTTGTGAGTAATTATGATGGTATTTTGATAGGAATTGCACTTAATCTGTGGATTGCTTTTGGCAGTATGGTCATTTTCACAATATTGATTCTACCCAACAATGAACATGGGATATATTTCCATTTGTTTGTGTTATAAATGATTTCTTTTGGCAATGTTTTGTAGTTTTTCTTGTACAGATCTTTCACCTTCTTGATTAGGTACATTTCTAAGCAATTTATTTATTTTTTTGCAGCTTTTCTAAAAAAGATTGATTTTGCATTTTGATTTAATTCTCAGCTTGGTCGTTGTTGATGTATAGCAGTGGTACCGATTTGTATACATTGATTTTTGTATCCTGAGACTTTACTGAATTCATTTATCAGATCTAGGAGGATTTTGGATGAGTCTGTAGGGTTTTCTAGGTATATGATTATATCATCAGTGAACAGCTCCAGTTTGACTTCCTCTTTACCAATTTGGGTGCCCTTTATTTCTTTCTCTTGTCTGATTGTGCTGCCTAGGACTTCCAGTACTATGTTGAATAGAAGTGGTGAAAGTGGGCATCCTTATCTTATTCCAGTTCTCAGGGGGATTTCTTTCAACTTTTCTCCATTCAGTATAATGTTGGCTGTGGGTTTGTCATAGATAACTATTATTACCTTGAGCTATGTCCTTTCTATGGCAATTTTGCTGAGGGTTTCCATCATAAATGCTGGATTTTGTCAAATGCTTTTTCTGTGTCTACTGAGATGATCATACGGTTTTTGTTTTTAATTCTGTTTATGTGATGTATCACATTTATTGACTTGCATATGTTAATCCATCCCTGCATCCCTCATATGAAACCCACTTGATCATGGTGTATTATCTTTTTGATATGCTGTTGGATTCAGTAGTATTTTGTTGCTAATTTTTACGTCTATGTTCATCAGCGATACTGATCTGTAGTTTTCTTTTTTTTTTTCTTTGTTATGTCCTTTCCTGGTTTTAGTATTAGGGTGATACTGGCTTCTTAGAGTTATTTACGGAGGATTCCCTCTTTCTCTATCTTTTGGAATAGTTTCAATGAAATTAGTATTAATTCTTCTTTGAATGACTGATAGAAATTTCAGGTGTGAATCTCTCTGGTCCTGGACTTTTCTGGTTGTTGGCAATTTTTTTTATTAGTGTTTCAGTCTCACTACTTGTTATTTGTCTGTTCAGAGTTTCTATTTCTTCCTGAGTTAATCTAGGAGGGCTGTATATTTCCAGGAATTTATCTATCCTTTAGATTTTCTAGTTTGTGTGCATAAAGGTGTTCATAGTAGCCTTGAATGACCTTTTGTATAAATCTAAATAAATAAATAAAACAAAAAAACTATTTTTAAGAGATAAACAAAATTGATAGACCATTAGTGAGATTAACCAAGAAAAGAAGAAAAAAGATCCAAATAAACTGAAGTAGAAACTAAATGGAAGATATTATAATAAATATTATTTATTTATTTAGAGACAGGGTCTTTTTCTGTTACCCAAGCTGCAGTGCAGTGGCCCAATCTTGGCTCACTGCAACCTCCATCTCCCAGATTCAAGCAATTCTTGTGCCTCAGCCACCCAAGTAGCTGGGATTACAGGCATGCACCACCATGCCTGGGTAATTTTTGTAGAGACAGGGTTTTGCCATATTGGACAGGCTGGTCTCGAACTCCTGGCCTCACGTGATTCACCTGCCTTGGCCTCCCAAAGTGCTGGGATTACAGGCATGTGCCATCATGCCTGGCTAATTTTGGTATTTTTTGTAGAGATGGGGTTTTACCATGCTGGCCAGGCTGGTCTTAAACTCCTGGCCTCAAGTGTTCTGCCTGCCTCAGCCTCCCAAAGTCCTGGGATTACAGGTGTAAGCCACCATGCCTAGCCTTCATTTATATTTTGTATTACTATTATTATTTGGTATTGTTGTTGTTTTAATTTTATTTAGTTCTGCTCTGATCTTTGTTATTTCTTTTCTTATGCTGGGTTTGATTTTGGTTTGCTCTTGTTTCTCTAGTTCCTTGAGGTGTGATGTTACATTGTCTGTTTGTGTTTTTCAGACTTTTTGATGTAGGCATTTAATGCTATGAACTTTCCTTTTAGCACTGTTTTTGCTGTATCCCACAGGATTTGATAAGTTGTGTCACTATTATTGTTCAGTTAAAAGAATTTTTAAATTTCCATCTTGATTTCATTGTTGACTTAAAGATCATTCAGGAGTAGATTATTTAATTTCCATATATTTCTATGGTTTTGAGGGTTCTTTTTGGAGTTAATTTCCAGTTTCATTTCACTGTGGTCTGAGAGGATACTTGATATGATTTCATTTTTCTTAAATTTATTGAGACTTGTTTTGTGGCCTATCATATGGTCTATTTTGGAGAATGTTCCATGTGCTAATGAAAAGAATGTATATTCTGCAGTTGTTGGGTAGAATGTTCTGTAAATCAGGACTTCTTAAATAAATAGAGAAGAAGGGAGGCAGAAATGAACTGGAAACCAAATGAATGAAATCTTCATTCAATAAAATTTTGTCTTTGTTATATGATTTGTTACTTATGAGGATGAGTGTATCTGGAAATTCACATCATTTCGACTAGGGCATGTATATTATTTAGACCTTATTCAGAAGAGATTGAAATGTTCTTGGACTTTACTATTTTGTCCCCAGATTTTTATTGCACACTCTCATGCTAGGGTAATAAGATTATCACCTTTCTGCATAGCTCAATCAAAGGTTTCACCTATACATAGATGTACTTTATTTCTGAGTTTGTTTCTTAACATTCTCTCAAGTGTGCAATTCTGAGACTGACCCCAGAAAGTGGCCCTCCCATCAGCCAGCTACCTGGTTGGAGGTGCCTAAGGAAGCTGTTATATCACAAGAATGCACAGAAACACAGTCAATAATATGTTACCCATGAGGCTGGCTCATTCAAGTTCATCCCTCTCTTACTCTTTCATCAGCTCATGCACAAACTAGTATCACATTTAATTGCCAGTTGGAGTCTTTCAGCATGGGTTATATAGGAATAATTTATGAATTATTTTTGTAAACTTTTTTTATTGAATTATAATGTGCATACAATAAAAATAAAAAATCTCATAATCTTGATGACTTTCCACAAAGTGAGCATGCTGGTGTTACTACAACCCATGTCAAGAAATAAAACATTACCAGAAACCCAAATGCCTCTCTTGTGGTCAGTATCACTTCTCCCAACGTAACCACTATCATAAATACTGTCACCATAAATAGGTTTCACCTTTTTATTTTAATATGAATGAGATTCATAGTGTGTACTCTTTCGTGTTTGACATCTTTCACTCAGTAGTATTCTGTATATGTTCATGCACAGCATCATACCATCTGCAAATCATGGGAGTTTTAGTTCTTCCTTTATAATTCTCCTAATTTTCACTATTTTTCTTGCCTTAATTCATTATTTGAGAGTTTCAGTATAATATTATTAGAAGGAATAGCAGATATCATTGTCTCATTTCTGATTTCTAAGGGAAAACTTTCAATACTTCATAATCAAATATAATATTTACTGTAGATGTTTGGTTAATCCTCTATATCAGATTGTGGAAATTCCTTTCTATTCCTAGCTGTTAAAGATTTCTGTCATTAATGAGAATTACATTTTAATAAATCCTTATTTTGCATCTGTAGAGAAAAATCATATTGTCTTTCTTATTTATTCTGTTAATATGGTGAATTACATTTTTTTTTCAAATGCTAATGCAACTTTTTATTTCTTAGGAAAGAATCTAACTTGGTTTGACATGTTACCATATATATACCATTATACATACCTATATATCTAAACATATATGTTTGACATGCTGATATTTTAGTGTCTTCATTTATAAAAGAAATGGGCCTGTTATTTTACTCTTTATTTTATTCGTATATTTTTGGTCAGGCTTTCTTATTGAGATTATAGTGACCTCAAAAAATAATTTTGGAAATAATTCCCTTTTTTTTTGTATTCTCTGGAAGAGATTTTGCTTCAGATTTTTATTATTTGCTTAAATGTTTGCAAAAATTTTCCAACGAAGGGCTTGCAGTTTACTTTGTAGAAAGATTTTAATTATGCATTAAATTTTGTAAATAGATACTGGGCTATTTAGAATTTCTGGTATTTCTTGTGCCAATTTTGGTAAATTGTTTTTCAAGGAATACATTATTTTCACTCAGGTTTTTTAATTTACTGGCGCAAAATCTCTGTTTATATTTTCTAGCCTCTTAGCAGCTGTTTTCTGCCTGGCTTCTTGGCATCTTGCCCTCACATAGACATCTTGGAAATTGACATCTGCCTATAGGGAAAATTTCTTGTAGATCCCAGGATCACAGCCCACGCCTTGGCTGCTTTGGTAACACTCCATTCCTTTTGTTCTGTTAGTCTTTCCGGCCAACAGAAAGTTTTTATTCTTTGACCTGCATTTCCCCAATACTGCCACCCTACCTACCCACTGAGCCCCTTGGTAACCATCATTCTACTCTCAGTTTGTATGATTTCAACATTCTTACATTCCACACATAAGTGAGATCATGCAGTATTGTATTTATTTTAACCCAGCTTTTATAATTTTCCTCAGTGGGAGGGTTAATGTAATACCAATTACTTTGTCATACCTAGAAATGGGAAGTCTCCTTACGGTATTAATTTTTTATATTGACTGTGATGCTTTGTTCAATCAAAATGTGTTAAATATGTAAGCAGAGTTTTCAAGGGATGCTCTATTTAAGAGTTTGACTTTAAAACAGTCTTTCTTTCAAACTCTTATTGTATTTAAAAACTTCAGTTGAAAAGTACACTAGCTTTGCCTTAACAAAGGATTTAACTGAACTAAGTAGGTAATAATGTCAATAAGAACTCAAAAGCAAAATTTGTTCTTGATGATCCATCTGTGAATAATTGAGAGGTGTCTAGTTGAGCAGAGTTCTAGTGACAGTACAGTCTGTTAGATTGAAACTTCTTTTTAAAAGCTGTTAAACAATTTTTTTTTCTTAAAGCTAAGGTCTGATTTCCTTCAGTTTCCAGTCACATTAGAAGGGAAAAGTGGTTGGATGCTAGGACCAGAAAAATTGATGACAAGATATTCTAAATGTCACTGGTCATTCTGTTTGTGTCAGCATGATGTAGTGAAAAGAATATTGCAGGAGTATGAAGGTGATCTGAATTACAGTTTGGTGGCCCTGAAGCTTCAAAGTTGTGTGACCTTTGGTATTTACTTTCTCCTACCTCCCATTTCTCACCCCTTTACAATATCTGCAGCCTTGTAGAGCCCAGAAACTCGTATCACAACCCTCTGTCCTTCACATCGGAGACAGACCTATAATCCCAGGCTCCCATATGTGAATACCTAATTAGGGCAAGTCCTTAGTCCAAGCTCTGACCTAGATTAATCCTAGGAATGCTTTCAGTGAATTACATTGCATAGATATTTGTGAGCACCTACCCTATGGGAAATATTTGATTTGTCTTTTGGGAATGTATGTAAGCCATAATTTGAAAGTTTATGTTAAATAGCAAAGTAAACAAAGCAAATAAGGGAAGGTATGTGAGCCGTAATTCGAAAGTTTATGTTGAATAGCCAAGAAAACTAAGCAAATAAGATAAGAACCCTATGAGTTTTATGGAAGGTACTGAGATTACTCAAAGATGGAATCCATATCTGGTTAGAGGGATGTAAAGAAGAGGAAAAAAAATTAGAATAAGCTTCCTAGAAAAAAAATGGTACTTAATATCAGCCTTGAAGCAACATATAAATTTTTGATAGACAGATAAGGGGAAGGAAAGGAATATACATAGAGAAACTATTTGGGTGGCACAAATAAACTGAGCAAATGCACAGTGAGAGGGAACATGGATGCCCTCCCAGTAGACTGGAGAGAGGCGCTATACCATAGAGGTTAAAGATCTCTGGCTATGGTGTTAGATATTCTTGGGTTTTAATTCTAGCTCAGCCACCTCTAAGATATGTGACCTTGAACAGGATCTTAACTCATTGGGCCTCAATTACTTTATTCATAAAATGTGAATAATGATAGCTAACACAGAGTGCAATTGCAATTAATAACTAAGATAATTTATAAAATATTTGCCACAGTAAAAAGCATACTTAGTTTTGCTCCATAAAATGGAGTAAATGGCACTTACTGCATAAATGGTAGCTAAAATTATTTCAGAATTGGCAGAACAAGTTACACTAGGACCTCGGAGACTTTCAAACCCACCATTTGTTTTTTCCATCAGGAACAATTAAACTATAAGAGGATGGAGTTTCAGGGAGCTAATACTTAACTGATGTAGTCCCCTTTAAAGATTTCAATCGACAGTCACCCAAAGGTTCAATGTGAAACATGAGGCTGAATTTCAAATAGGCAAAACTGTCATGTTATTGATAACAATGCATGTATCCAAAGAGATTGTCTTTAATTGCCTAGGGTCGATATGTTCTTACTTTCAATGAGAGCTAATACCTCACTTTCAGACCTTCATCTCCTCAGCAGCATCAGCAAGGACATTCCTACTGAGAAGAGTTTAGCAGAAATTCTAAATGTCTTAGCTAGCAGCAGCTTTCTTCCCTAGAGAGCCCCTGGCAAGAGTATACAGTCAGAAATTTATCATTACCACCAGCCATCATCCTCATTAAGTACTGTGGGAAAACTGCATTAATGATTGTTTTTAATGCTGCATTGTAAATCTGTGGATTTGGTTATGTATCATTTTCTTCTTAAGGAATCCCTGGATTTTGAGCCACCAGGATAGCTTCTGGGGACTTGTTTCTAAATCAGCCTGTTACAAGATGTATTTTCCTAGAGGGTGAGAGAGAAGCAGTTCGAAAGCAGTTGGGGATTTCCCCAAAGGCTTGTTTGAGGACTGGTTCAGGTGTTTTTGGTGAAGCAGTATCCTCTAAGAGATACTCATAACCCAGGGTCCTACCAAAGGCTCTCTGGAGGCAGTGATGAGGGCTGATGAAGAGCAGGAAGTTCTAAATCTCCACGTGTACAGTTTAGTTCCTGTTTCGGATTAGATTTCAGAAGGTGAAGTAGCATCTCTTGGGCAAATGCCCATTTAAGTGACAATAGCTTAATCAGGACATGGAGATGCCTCCTAGTTACAGGAAAACTCAGTAGGAGTTTAAGGAACTAAGATCACAGGGAGTTGAGAACAGATAGCCTGTCAGGCATGTGCTCATGGTCTCCCTGATTATAGGAAAAATTAGCCTAACTATAGGAGCAGAGCAGTAAGAAACCAGCATCTATCTTATTCTCTAATTGAGGGTGGTCACCTCAGTGAAGAGGAAGAGAGGTCCATTTTGACTTCCCTATGAAAGAGGAAGGAACTACCAGCTCCCCAACTCCCAAGAAAGATGTATCTAGCTGGTCTCAAGGAAGAGCCAAACTGGATAAAGTATTCTGAAAAGAAGTGAGAGCCAAATCAGGAGACATGAGAATAGACCCATAAAGTAACTCAGCCCAGAAGACCTCCCCAGGCTTTCTTCCCAGTACTCTCTGACACGAGTCCAGTGCTGCTGCCTAACTAGCTCATTGGCTGTACCACAGGGTGAAACCTTCTTCAAGATGTTTGTTCATAGTTTTCTTTGTTACTGAAATGTGCCCCCCTCATAAATGCTCATCTTTTAAGTCCTATTTCCTTATAACTGAAAATAATTTTTTCTTCATCTGAGTTCTTCTTAACGTATGTTGTTCATCCATGCAAGTCACTAATACCTTTTTATTGCATTGTATTGTTTTTATTTGAGCCTAGCTCATCTCCCTCTACTACATTATAAAATTGATCTGATAAAGCACTAATGTTGACAATTGAATGTGAGCAGTCTGTTAAAGCCATGGATGCTTCCATGATTCTGTTTTCACCGTCGACATAAACCTACACATTCAAGATAGGTTTTTATCCAGCTTCCCAAATGTGGTCTGCAGATCACTTGCATGAAAATTTACTGGCAAGCTTTAAAAATACGTATTCCTAGGCTTTCCCATAGATTTACCGAATCAGAATCTCTAAGGATGTGACCTGGAAATATGCATTTTAACAACATTAGCACATCAGAGATATCTAGTACATACTAAAACATGAAATGATGGAATCATCATGTTTATGCTTATAAAATGTAGCAAAAAATATGTGAATGAAACTATAAACATTGCAGTTCAAATTTTAGAGAAAGGAACTCTTTTCTCACATTTGTAGTCTCTTAAAGTACTTATTTTTCACTCCACAGTGTTTCTGTAACAGTGTGAGATAATTATCAGCTTAGAGAGGAGAAACTGACCCAGTCATCACAGTCTGGCTTTGTCTGATGACAAAGTCTTTACAAGTAGACACCTTTTGCTCCTTTGAATTATGACCGTTGGTGATGAGAAATACTTGCACTTTTAAAAGGGATACAGGTTTCTATATAAAGGAGAAATCAGCAAGGACACACACTTGAAGCTGGGCAACATTTATGATGGAACTCAAAAGAGACACTACATTTGTTTGCAAAGCTATTTATTTCTTTGTTTTGCTTCCTTAACTTCTCCTTCCATTTTTGTCTTTTTATAGCATGTATCTAGTACTTTTTCCTTTATTAACTAGCCAACTAGCCAGATTACTGATTCCCCTTTGTAATATATTTCTTTTAGTAAAATTTTAAAAACAATTGTCAAGTAATTGTACAATTAATAGAAAAAATATAATTAAAACAAAATAATTCTTATTTTAAAATATCTAATTGACAAAGATTATACATATTCAAGGTATACAATGTGGTGATTTTATGTATTTATACATTGTATACTGATTATCACAACCAAATTAATTAACATATCTATCACCACCAAGTTGTGCATTAGATCCCCAGAACTTGTTTGTCTCATATTTGAAAGTTTCTATTCTTTGATCAGTATCTTCTCATTTATCCATGCCCCAGCTCCTGGCAACCACCATTCTATTCTGTTTCTATGAGTTCTACTTATTTAGATTCCACATGTAAGTGAGAACGTACAGTATTTGTCTTTCTGTGCCTGGCTTATTTTACTTAGCATAATGTCGTCTAGTTTCACCCATGTTGTTGTAAATGGCAGAATGTTATTCTTTTTTATTAGCTGAATAATATTCTATTGTGTGTGTGTATCTGTGTGTGTGTCTGTGTGTGTGTGCGCCAATTTTTAAATACATTTATCTGTTGATGGACATTTAAGCTGTTTCCATATGTTGGTGATTGTTAATGCTGCAGTGAACATGGCGGTACAGATAACTTTTCAAGGTAATAATTTCATTTCCTTTGGATACATACCAAGAAGTGGGATTGCTGGATCATATGGTAGTTTTGTTTTTAATTTTTGAGAAACTTCCATACTGTTTTTCATAATGGCTATACCAAGTTACATTCCCACATTGTGCAAGGTTCCCTTTTTTCCAAACCCTTTTCCACACTTACTGTTTTTTTGAGGATACCCATCTTCATAGGTGTGAGATGACATTTCAGTTTGGTTTTGATTTACATTTCCCTGGTGATTAGTGATGTTGAACATGTTTTCATATACCTGTTGACCACATGTATGTTTTCTTTGGAAAAAATGTCTATTCAGGAGGTTCTTTGCTCATTTCTTAATTGGGTCATTTGAGTTTTTGCTATTGAGTTGTATGAGTTCCTTATATATTTTGAATATTAACCCCTTATAAGATATATAGTTTACAAATATTTTCTCTCATTCTGTAGGTTGCCTATTTATCTTGTTGATTATTCCCTTTTATGGACAAAAGCTTTTTAGAGAAAAAGAAATGGAACTAGAAAAGACCCTGAATAGCCAAAGTGATCTTGAGAAAGAAGAACAAAGCTTCTTTGTATCACAGTCCCTGATTTCAAACTATATTACGAAGCTATAGTAATCAAAAATATTACAAAGGTATATTAATCAAAACAGCATAATACTGGCATGAAAGCAGACACATAGACTGGTGCAACAAAACAGAGAGCCCAGAAGTAAACCCAAACATATGTGGTTAACTAATCTTTGACAAGGACAACAAGAATACACTGGGGAAAAGAAAATCTCTTTAACAAATGATGCTGGTAAAATTGGATATCCATGTATAAAAGAATGAAATTGGACCCTTGCCTTATATCATATACAAAAATCAACTCAAAATAATTAAAGATTTAAACGTAATATCTGAAACTGAGAGGTGAAGCCAGCTGAGCTTCTGGGTCGGGTGGGGACTTGGAGAACTTTTGTGTCTAGCTAAAGGATTGTAAACGCACCAATCAGCGCTCTGTGTCTAGCTAAAGGATTGTAAATGCACCAATTAGCACTCTGTAAAAATGCACCAATAAGCACTCTGTCTAGCTAAAGGACTGTAAATGCACCAATCAGCACTCTGTAAAATGGACCCATCAGTAGGACGTGGGCGGGGCCAAATAAGGGAATAAAAGCTGGCCACCCCAGCCAGCAGTGGCAACCCACTAGGGTCCCCTTCTACCTGTGGAAGCTTTGTTCTTTTGCTCTTCACAATAAATCTTGCTTACTCTTTGGGTCCGTACTAGCTTTAAGAGGTGTAACACTCACTGCGAAGGTCTGTGGCTTCACTCCTGAAGTCAGCAAGACCACGAAACCACCGGGAGGAACAAACAACTCCAGATGCGCCACCATTAAGAACTGTAACACTCACTGCGAAGGTCTGCAACTTCACTCCTGAAGTCTGTGAGACCACGAACCCACCAGGAGGAACAAACAACTCTGGACACACCATCTTTAAGAGCTGTAACACTCACCGTGAGGGTCCGTGGCTTCATTCTTGAAGTCAGAGGGACCAAGAACCCACCAGAAGGAACCAATGCTGGACACAAAACCATAAAACTCCTAGAAGAAAACATAGGGCCTGTAATCCCAGTGCTTTGAGAGGAGGAGCAGGATGATCGTTTGAGCCCAGGAGTTCAAGACAAGCCTGGAAGAGCTAGCAAGAACCCCATCTCTACAAAAATAAAATAAAATAATTAATCAAGTATAATAGTGTGTGCCTATAGTTTCAGATACTTGGGAGGCTGAAGTGGGAGGATCACTTGAGCCCAAGTGAGTCTCAAGGCTGCAGCAAGCTATGTCACACCACTGCACTCCAGCCTGTCTCTTAACAGAAAGAAAGAAAGAAAGAAAGAAAGAAAGAAAGAAAGAAAGAAAGAAAGAAAGAGAAAGAGAACATAAAGAAAAAGCTCCTTGACATTGATACTGATCTTGACTGAGTCTTTGAGTATAACATCAAAAGCACAGGCAATAGAAGCAAAAATAAACAAGTAGGACTACATCAAACAAAAATAGTTTTTTAAACAGAAGTAAACTATTACCCTTTAGGCTGCCATCTAATGTTGTGAATAAAGTACAATGCTGCATCCCTAGATGAGGTCAATGCCTGCTTGGTTTGTTCTACTTCAGGTTATATATTTTCCCCTTTTTATTATAAAATAAAAAATCTTCTTAAGATGGGGAAACTAAGACTGGAGCTTCAGTGAAAAATTACATCTCGATGGTAAATTTATTTTATTATTTATTAGAACCTGCTTTTTATTAGTTGGACTTTTCTACTCATATACAATAAACTAATCTTGTGACAGGTAACAAGTCATTTTATGACTTTCAGTACCAGTTTCTAAGGTCAAAGTGTATTCCCTTTGTTATTATGTTCCTACATGTTTCAAAAGCCATAGACCCAATATCTGAAAGCCAATGAAACACATAGAATAAAAACTATCAAGTCCTTTATTGTTACAATAAACTGACGTTTCCCAACTACCTGCTCTCTGGTGCTAGGGATTCAACAAAAAATTAGGCATAGTACTGAAATGGATGAATTCCTTGTCTTTTAATGAAGATATTTATGTAAACAAAAAATGCACTTCAGTTTGAATGAAGACGTGTACAAATGCTTGTTTCAGTGGCCTTATGCAACAACATGACTGCAACTGTTGACATACTGAAATTCACTACTTGTCCTTCTATATTGACATGTCTACATTTAAAAAGATTTTGTTTAATTTGTGTGCATTATGCATCTTCTTTCGTACCTGAATTTTATACATGGGAAGTTTTTCTTAAAACTCCTCTAAATCAAAACTCATGTTATTCAGGATTAATTCTACCAAAGACGGAGTGGATTGGTATTTTGCTTAGTTAAAATTGTACTTCCATGTTATAAGGTCGTAAACATAGTTTACAATTTATTCAAAATATTATTTCTGATAAATATGATGCTTGACTTTTTTGTTAAATACTTTAGGTGATACTCATTAAAGAAGGAACTCATTATAGAAAGAATGTAATGGGGAAACTAAATGGTTAAATGTTGGAAAAGTCATTTCAAACATGGAAATAATAAAAAACTTATTCCACAAACATTTCATTATTTCAATGTAGGCAAATGAGTGTACAATGATGTATTTATTTTGTGATTTAGAATCAAGGTAATTTTGGCAAGTATGGGTCTGCTCAGTAGAGTTCTGGGTCATTTTTCTCTCATAAACCACACTCATAATAAATTATCTATTCATTTTCTGTTTTGGACTTTTTTGAATGCAGTGAAAATCTAAAGACCTTTGTAAAATAATATGAATGCAGTGTTTTTATCTATTGTTAGTTGTTTTCATTCTTTTACTGTTGTCTTGCCCACATTCAATACAAGAGTACTTTTTAAGCTACTTGCCTTTAATGAATGCTTTCAAACTACTGACTATAGTTTAAATAAAAACCTTTTCTTCCACACATATATTTCAACAGTCCACACAATAGTAAATTAAATTACTTAATTATAATTAATAGTACAACTGTTAGAGATTTCATAGTAAACACAACCAGATCATAGTAAGTATACATCTTCACTGTGGAAGAAGTAGCTGGCCATACAGGATTAGCCAATATCATTTAGCTGGCCATACAGGATTAGCCAATATCATTTAGCATGCTGCGGGCTTCCCTTTTAACAAAGGAATAGTATGTTTGTTAAGTTAGCATGTGTAAAGAGATGAACCACTGTATTTAAAATTTTTACATAATGCAAAACATTTCTTTTTTTTTTTTCTTTTCTTATTTAGACAGGGTCTCACTCTATCGCCAGGCTGGAGTACAGTGGTGCAATCATGGCTCACTGTAGCCTCCAACTCCTGGGCTCAAGCAATCCTCCCACCTCAGCCTCCCTAGTAGCTGGGACCATGGGTGTGCACTACCATGTTTGGCTATTTTTTTGATTTTTTATAAAGATAGAGTGTCACTTTGTTGCCCAGGCTGGTCTTGAACTCCTGGGCTCAAGCAATCCTCTCACCTCAGCATCCCAACATGCTGAGATTACAGGTATGAGCTACCATGCCTGGCCAAGACATTACATTTCTATGCCACCATGTTTTGATTTTTTAAACTACAATCCATATAAAATCTTATTGCATTGACTATATCCTTTATTCATTGTGCCTGAAATTCTAGAAGCTGACACTAGGTGCTGCTGTTAATGGTTTGGTCGATTAAATGGTAGGTTCTCTTCAAAGAAAAATTTTTTATATAAAACATAAAAAGTAGATAGTTGGACAGATAGAGCACATGTTTTCAGGTTAAATTATACTTTGTGATCTAAACAATGTATTTTTTAATAGGACCTTGCGATGCAACATATAAATCTTAAAGAATACTACAATTTTAATGGTAACTTTATTATAATTCATGAGTATATGAAAGCAATATAGTACAATGTAAAGACAATTTTAAAGTAATTAAAATATTTAATATAGCTTATGCACTTAACTAAATGAAAACTACTATTAATTGCAGCTCTATCTAAATCTGAAGTTACTCAGATCTAGTCTGTGCATTTCCCCAAACTTCCTAGAGTCAGAATTCTCTTACTTTTGCTGACTTTAGTGTGGCTACTCTGCTCTTTGCTCCATTATATGTATTTCCAGCACCCACAACTGTGCCCAGAATATTGCAGGACCTTAATCTAAAAATGTTTAATGAATGAGTTGAAAAAATGAACTTTGGACATGACTTCTTCCTTGACTTAAAAATTCCCTCCAGGTTCCCAAAGGCTAATTTTTTTTAGATTGCTACTTCTCTTATCACCTAAATGTCTCACTTTTCCTCCTTAACTCAGGAATAGTGATAGGTCTTTGTCACCTCCCTGAAAGGTCCAAGTAAAAATAACCTTCTAGCATTACTCCCAGAGTCCCACAATCATTATATGGCCAATCCAGGATTCTCTTTTTATGACACCTCACTCTGTCTGCATTTTCAGAATGGATTAATAAATAGTTAAAGAAAAAGCACACCAAATTAATAAAAGCATGAAGCAATCAAGCTGAGGATTTATTTTGTTCTGAATTTCTGAAGTGTCAGGGGCAGCAACCCAAATCCATGCTAGTCTTTACTAACAATTTAAATACGACCTACAGAATATTTGGCAGGATACACTCTCCCTACTCAAATAAAGATCCACATGAAATCTAGTCCCTTAGCTATTCTAGCTACCAAAGAATACTGACTCGCTAAAGCAAACCTGAGATACTTTAAGTAGGAAAACACTGAAAGATACTGGAAATGTTGTAAGAAAGTGTGGTTCTCTCGGACTTCCAGATTGATTTGCTTGTTTAGAGAGGTTTGGATGTCACTTATAGAGGTTAATGACCTTGGCTTATGGGTGTTCAAGAAATGTTAACTGAACTGAATTGAATTGAGACCCAAGTTCAAATCCAATTTAATACCAAAATAGCAGAAGTGTGGTCAGATCATAAAGTCACAGCTGACAGTATTGCCTGGGACAGGTATTACAGCATGTGTGGTGGGAAGGAAAGGGAAGAGATTGGCAGGACGCTTCAAATTACGTTCCAGGTTCTGAAAGAGTGCTATTTACAGCCAAGAAGTGTCATGACACCTTGCTAGATTTTACAGACACTAAAACATTTTGCTATTTCTTGGAATTGTCATGATGTGAAAAATTTTTGTCTCTTCCTTTTCTGCTTCCCTGAAGACATACCCCCATCCTGCCACTCTGAGATGAGAGTTTCTTTTCATCTAAAAGACAAAAGGTGCAGAGGTATATCTCAAACCCAGAAAGAAATAAGGCAGTGGCTACCCAATCAACTCTCGTAAGATAAGACTTTTAAATCATTTCCCAGGAGAATAGAGAACAGGATGAGATAACTCAGTAGTAAATAGCAGAGCCTCCGATACCTAGTGGACTT
Organism: Homo sapiens; assembly: GCF_000001405.40. NCBI lineage: Eukaryota > Metazoa > Chordata > Mammalia > Primates > Hominidae > Homo > Homo sapiens. Next base: position 115,935,500 of record NC_000003.12, on the reverse strand, counting down.
CCATTCTGCTGGGACGAGCAGCGTGTGAAGCACAGCACTCAGGCTCTGTCCACTGTCCTCAAGGACCATAAAGGCAAGATTGTGGTTTGCCATTGTCTGTAGTTCATTCCACTTGACTCTCTCAAGAGCCTCTTTATCCCCCCACCCGGCCACACCTCTTTCAGAAAGCAGAGAAGTCATCCCTCAGGGCTTCTGATCCCTCAAGTTCATTCATCATCCTCAGGATCAAGTCTTCCTTCCATCTAAAACTGAGCACAGTACAAAACTGCCTGTACGAAATGAACTTTACTACCTCTATCCCCTCTATTTCCTTCCTTTCATATTTTATTCCTTGAGTTACCTTTTTCTTTCATTTTCTTGTTCCAGATTATATTTAACATTTCAGAAGCCATCATTATCTCACCTTTTTTTTTCTCATTATTTGGTGAGGTTTTTTTTGTTTTTTGTTTTTGTTTTTGTTTGTTTGTTTATATTAGGTCTCATTCATGCCCTTCCTTTATTTCCCAATAAATAATTTAGTACTCAATTTTGAAACTTTTTCTTGAAGCTTGACCAGTATTCTAATCTTACTCATCACTTGTACACAGTGTTTTTAAAATCTTCCCCAAAATAGAGCTAGAGCAAGGAAGGGAAGATACATAACATTTCCTAGATGTAATATGCCTAAGAACTTTTCAAGTCTGAAACTTTGATTGTTAGAAAATGACACAGAGGCCCAGAAAAGTCAATTAATTTTCCCTAGGCTTCAAATCTGGTCAGTCACAAACCCAGAATCATTCTTCTACATATGGAGTGAAGCTGATATAAGCAATCTGTGTAGAAAAGAAAATAAATTTTCTCATTTAATGTCAAAACACATGTTCTATCTACTCAAACCATTAGTTCATCAAGTACTGCTATCTTACATAATACAGTGTCCATTTTATCATGATCCAGAGGTTCAAATAAAATATAGTATATATGTATTTTACATAAGATTTTTCTTCAGCCCCATAACACTTTTAAAACACCATATCAACTACAGGACTGAGCACAGTGGCTCACACCTGTAATTCTAGCACTTTGGGAGGCCGAGGCAGGTGGATTGCTTGAGGTCAGGAGTTCAAGACCACCCTGGCCAACGTAGTGAAATCCATCTCTACTAAAAATACAAAAATTAGCCGGGCATGGTGGCGGGCGCCTGTAATCCAACCTATTGGGAGGCGGAGGCTTGAGAATTGCTTGAACTAGGGAGGCGGAGGTTGCAGTGAGCCAAGATGGCACCACTGCACTCCAGCCTGGGTGACAGAGTGACACTCTGACTGAAAAAAAAATAAAATAAAATAATAAAATAAAAATAAAAAATAAAACACCACATCAACTATACATTTGAGAAACCATTTGAGGAAATTATTTTAAGGTAAATAAACTTAAGCTTTTGAGTTGCAAGGTCCCTATCAAAACACATTGATAGAATTATGTTTTCCATAGCAAAAACTTTTCTTTATCAGTGCTATTTCCTCAAGTCACTAGCCAATCCTCCTTTCCTTTTAATGCCAACATTTTTAAAAGAATGAATTACATTTATTGCTTCTGCCCCCTTGTTCCCTGTTAAGTCTAACCTGCTGACTTCTATCCCAAACACTCTTCTATAGTATTTCCTTCCCAGAAGACTGACAACACCAACAGGCACATTCTCGCGGAGGGCACTGCAGCTTTGACTCTGCTGACTCTCCTCTGTTTGTTTCAATAACATCTTACTAAGGTTCTACTGTTTCCTTAGATGGCTGATCATTTTCTTGTCACCACAGTATGGAGATACTCCTTACGTTTCTGCCGCTGATCTTTTCTCTGCACACTCTTCCAGGGGTGCTCCTATGCCTATGCAGACCAGGGCTTAACAACAGGATGTTCTGAGCTCTAGATATAAGTATTTCTGCCTGCTGGCCATGTTATTTGGTGCCTGCTCATGTTACGGGTCTCAATTTCAACATGGCCAATAGAACTTCTAATTTTGTGACAACTAGTTTCTCTTAATGTTAATAATTTTTCCTCTACTCATCCAGCATTAAGTTGATTTTTTTCTTCTTTATTCCCTAAATTTAGTCATTCACAAAGCCTGTGGATCTTTGCTCTGTAACATCTCTCAACCCATTCATCCTTTGCATTGTCACTATTATTACCACTTACCTGAGCAAATGCTGTAGGCTTCCAACCAGTCTTTCAAATCTCCAGTATCTCCCCTCTTGAACCATTCAAAATCACCACTGTAGAGTAACGTTTTTCTAATGCTTTGCTGGTCTCCTATTGTCACTATCCTATGAACAACCTTCAATGGGCTCCCAATGCCTTTTTAAAAGCTTGACATTCCTGACCACAACAGGGTCTCTCCATACTTGTCGAGTGAAACCACTCCCTTTCGCGAGGTCTATGCTCCGACCTTCCTTGACTGCTAGCTCTCACTTCGCTTATTCCATTTCCCCACTTTATTTTCTCTTTCTTCCCCCTGAAACATTATGAGTTGATGCTCAAGAGCTAGTTCAGTTTCGCTTCCCTCCTCTAACACCCAAGTCACCACCTCTTTCCACTGCGTACCCACTGTTCAGCAGGAAGAGATGTTTCTGACAGTGCATTCTCTTCATTTGGATTCTATATTCCTTGGCCATTACTCTCTTATTTATTGAGTTACTTGAACATCATTAGGAATTGGAAAACAATTGAATAATAATTGAATAATATTTCTCCACTAAATGAAGTCATTAGATACATATCATTTTTTAAAATGACTACCATGTTGGAAAAGACTAGTAAAAAAAGAATAACTAGAGATAGTCAAGAGAACCATTCCATGGGTTATAATTCTTCCTTCAAATTGACTACTTTATGATTTCTGTAATGTATAAGTTATACTATACATGCCAAAAAATCTATGTGATCATCTTTTCAGCTTTAGCTTTAGCAATGGACTGTTTCTCTTCTCTTCACATCATTGTCTATTCTGTGATTCTGGAATCCACCTTGCTATCCTATCCCTCTGTACCTCTGCACACATTTTTTCCACTACCTGGAATGACATACTCCCCTTTCTCACCAGAAAACGTTTTTATTTTTTTAAAAAGTATCCATTCATGCCTAACTAAAATTACAATTTCTCTACAAAATAGTTTCTTTCACTGACAATGAATTAGTGTAATGTAAAAGTTAAAAGCACAGGTTCTGTGGTCAGAAGACAAAAGTCCAAATTTCCTTTCTCCCATTTTCTTAATGATTTGGAGTAAGACACAAGTTCAGTATCTATAATATGGGAACAGTCATTGTATCTTTCTTATAAGTTCTTGTCAGGTTTAAAATAATGTAATAAATGATAGCTATTTTATTATCATCTTACTCTAACCTTAATGTTATCAAAGCATTTTTTTGTACTCCTACCATGGCATAACACTTTTCACATTCTCTCTTTTTTAATATATAATTTACATTAATGTCTGTCTCAACAATTACACTGTAAACTGCTTGAGTCCATAACATGGCCTGTTTCATCTTTGAATCCCCCACATCGCCCAGCTCAATGCTAGGTATCTATTGTTTGCTGTATCAGAGGGTTGGGCTTATATATTTTGAAGACAGATTAAAAACTGGGTAAAAATCTCCCTTCTGCTATTTACTCGTCCTTTGTTTTGGAGACAGTTACTCAACATTTCTGAGTCACAGTTTTCTCTTCAATAAACTTAGAAAAGTAACAGTCTACCTCATGGGATTACTGTTAATAAGATAAGGTGTACAGGATGACTGTGATAGGAATGTATATATGATGAGCTAAGTGCTCCAAAGAATAGCTATACATATTAGATATTCCATGCATCTTTCCTGAAATCAATTTAAACATTTGCATGAGAGATCTTTTCCATAGTTTTAAAGATAGGTCATGACAAGGAGAAAGAAGAGACATGATGGGGGTGGAGACACGCTCTAAACAGGACCCTCTCTGACCCAACGGCTCATTTGTACCTGCAGTCTGACCCTGTGCCTCAGAGAATAAGAGCCACTTTGATCCAACCCCCTGACACTTGATTTCATTCTTCTCTTTGTGGAACAATCTCATTAGAGAAATCATGCTGCTGAGAAAGCAGGTCACTCAGCTGGGGGCAGGCAAAGAAAGTCTTTCTCAACTTAGTCATGACCTCCATGAAAAGTGAAGCGTTAGTGAGGGATCCTGAGATTTACAGCATTCTATGGCCAAGGTTTTCACCAGAGGCTGCTGGGATTTTAGGCAGAAGGAAGAGTAATGAAGGGGTTGACTGAACTGCTGCTGTGGGTGTTGGCGTCAGTTCTCTCCTCTGGGTTAGTAATGAGCTCTCTCCCCATCTGGTGGGAAATCCCGGGTGGAAGGAGGAAGTGGGGTGCTGCCAAGGGTTACACTGGCAGTGATATATTTAGAATAAACACCCAATTGGGTTGCTTATCATCTGCAGTCAACAATGACCTTATGACATTTTCTGTAAAAATAGAAGTGTTCATTAACAAACCTAGGACTGGCTTCAATTTACGAGTATTTCTTTTCAAACAATTTATGTAATTTTTATCTTGTTTTTATAAAATGTGATAGAAAAAATAAAAGTAAATATGCCATTAAGATTTTCAGGCTTAGATCCTCATCCCAAGGAAGACCAGATGATCTCCACCAAACAAGCCTGGGAAGCCCTGTGGTGTCAGGGTGTTAGGCAGAGGAACCTCTAAAGACCCAAATTGCTGTTAATCTCCTCTCATCTCCCAAAGTGAAAAATGCAAAGGTTAGCATTTGACCACTAACGAAGTGCTTTACTGCACTTTAAAGTCGTTCAAATCTAAAGATTTATACAGGTGCATGTTTCATTTGGATTGTAGGCTGTTGGATGATCCAGAAGTTAAGAAGTGATAATAATTAATGCTAGTCTCATTTGGTTGGAGTGGATTTTCTTCAGCCATATACCTCTTCTTTCTACTTACTGTGTACTGGGTTTCCCAGCCTGATTTCCCTAGGAATATACTGAGTAGGAGACTAACCTAGCTAAGAAAACTTATTCTCCTTTCCCTAGTAGCAAATTAGCCACGTTAGCCACCTCATAGTCATATTGTTACTGTTGAATTTCCTACTATCCCTCCTCAAGGAGGGGCTCAGATAATAAAAGTGAAAGTACCTAACCCTGTGCCTGGCCCATAATACATGCTTATTGGGTGTTTATTATTTTCTTTTAGCCGTGGATCTACAGGTTAAAAAGTTACATTCTGACTCTCAAAAATAAATCTGTAATTTTGTTGAAGGAGGTTATTTTGGTAATTCAATGTGCTGAGAAGAGCATACCATTGCCCTTCTTTATGGCATCAGAACCAACTGTAAAACAGATGGAGCTGGTATAGAGTTCCACCCAAAGTCACTGGTTATATAGCTAATCCTTTCCCCAGTCTAATTCTCTGCCCATAGGCTTCAATACTTCACAAGACCTATCTGCTGTGTCAAAAAAAAAAAAAAAAAAAAAAAACTTCTGCTAAATTTATAGATCTGGATAATAAACATTTATTGTATGTATCTATTATCTGTCAGTCACTGTCTCTTCCAGAAGTTTTGCTAGAGTTTTTAAGGTGGTCACTAAAATAGAACTATGCTTAATCACAAAAGATTGAAACAAAGAGTAGAACTCCAAGAAGCTAGAGGGTGCATGGTAGAAGGGAATGTCTCAGTCCTTTCAAGTTATTTTGAAATTTGCCACTTTTATTAGAACTAGCCCTGTGAATCTCAGGAGGGGCTCTTTTATGCCTTCATTACATTGTTTTTCTTTATAAATATATTTAGAATTTTATAGCATTTATGAGTAGGAAAGGAATTTACAATCCACCTATTCAACAGGTAAAATTTATTTAGCTAAGGTTAGACACTTGTTTAATGAGCAACTTGCTGCCAACAAATTTTAGAAACCATATTCTCCCTGTTTGATGTGTATTTTCACCTGCCTGCTCAGTAGATCAAGAAAGTTTTTTGTCTTTAGAGCTACCACCAAGAAACTAAAGAAGGGAATTTTTTTTATTTTCTCCACTTATGTACAGGATATTCAATTTGTTGAAATATCACCTATTTGAGAATTGAGGATCAAAGTAGTGTCACAAGTAGAATTCCATGTGACCTTCTAACCTTGCCTAGATTTATAGTTCTCACCAATCCTTTCAGACATTTCCTGCCTCTTGAAATATCTATGCCTCTGCTCCTGGCTCTTTAGGATTAAGGTGGGGTTTTGTTTTGTTAGTTTGGAGTTTTATTTTGTTTTCTTATTTGTTTTTTGTTTTGACTAGTCTTCCTATCTTTCTACTCTTCATTGCAGAGTTAATCAATTGCATTTATTTTCCTCATTTGATGCACTAAAAGACCAAGATGCTTTCCTGGTAGGCTCTAGGGACACCCCTCTATCTAGTAATATTTAGGGCCCACATTAATCAGCCAATATTCACATAGAATATTATTACAGCTAAGCGCTACCTAACTAGCCCCATAAAACAAGCAAAAAAAAAAAAAAAAACAAACAAAAAACCTGCATGATAAGCCATAAGTCACATAGAAAAAAGAAGGTATCTTGACATCCCAACATTTATGAAACTGGTCTTCTTCCCTACGCCCTTAGCATTTCAAATGAAAATACCTTAACATTCCCTCAGAATTCCCATTTTCTCTCAATTTCCTTTCACTGGCCTGTGACCTGGGATCCACGGTTACAGAATATAATTCCCACACCTTGGGGTTAAGTTTCCTCAACATTCTTGATTTATGCTCTTCTTTCTCTCACCCTTTTCCTTTACAGCCCCTCCTCACCCCCTGCACTCTGCAGGACTCTGCAGTCTTTCCTGCCAGGGATCATTTCACTGGGAAATAAATCAACAAATCCTATAAAACATCTCTAGAGATTCACAATATGCACTTAACATTTTAAAGGAAGTTCTCATCTTCTCCCCCAAATCTCTGACTTCCATTAAGCCATTAAAGCTATTTTGTTTCTCACATTTACATTTTAGCAAAGGAAATACGGTGTAAGCCTTTTTTATAACCCACAGTCTTTGAGAAGGAGACATTTTTATCAATGTCTTCTCTTCATATCCACATTGTGAACTACTAGGCACTGTCTTCTTTTACTTTTGCCGCCTTCACAAGCTCAGTGAGATGTTCTATGAACAGTGGTTTTAAATAAGAGCCTTTTGAATAAATTAATCATTAAAGAAGAGAAGCAAATATGAGAAGTAAAGGCGAAAGCTAAGGGGGAAAGGGGAAGCTAAAGTAAAAAGTAAAAAGACCAGAGATTCCCAGGTTTTTTCATTTGAATTAGTGTTATTTAATGAATTTCTTCTTGGTTTTATTTAATTTTGATATATCACTTATTCATTTTGTTATTCAGCAAATTTTGTTGAGCATATACTATATGCTAGGCACTTTTCTGTGCATGGGGATTGCAATTTTAAACAAAACGAAAATTTTTCACTGCCCTCATAAACATTCTAGCAGTTATTGTGGGAAGGCAGATAATCAATTAGGCACAGTAAATGAAATTTAAAAGTATGCTTATCAAGTAACAATTCCTTGGAGAAATGAAAAATGTAGAGCATAGTAATGGTCTCGAGGTATGTGGCTGGAGCAAGGTTGCTCTTTAAATGGTGTTGTCAAAGTCAGACTTTAGAAGAGGGTGAGATTTGAGCAAAGACTTGAAGCAGCGGGAGTGTATGGAGGGGACGAAGGGGCCAGGCGGCCTTCTGGAGAAAGGCCTTTCCTGGCAGCACGTACAGCCTGTGCAAAGCCCTGAAGTGAGCATATGCCCGGCATGTTTAAAGAAGAGCAGGAAGTCCAATGTGGCCGAAGCAGAGTGAGCAAGGGCAGGAGTACCAGAGGAGGAGATAGGACGCCAAAGAGTTAAGAAAAGGAGGAATGCAGAACCTTTCCATCAAAAATAAAATAATACATAACCATGGTTATGTGGGGTGGGGTTGTCTCTTTCTTTTGGAAAGAAGAAGGGCTTTCTGGGAATAGATGGCCAGGCCAGGCAGCAAGCTGCTGTGTGTGGGAGGCAGGTAGGAGGAGGAGGCATAGAAAGCTGCAGATTACAAATGCTCTCACAGATCCCTCAATGAACATCTGTTATTTCAGAGTGTGGTGAATATTTCAACAAGTCAGCTGCCATAGCCAGCTTCTCAGCAGGCTGTTTCACTCCATTGCTCTCTAGTTCCTTCTTAATTCTGCTGTCTTTTATGCCAAGTCTCTCCTCATCTTCTTTTTTCACCATGCCCTATCTATTCTTTGTGGCTGGGAAACTTTTGAGATCAATGTCCTTTATGATGTGTGATTTCTCCCAAAGCACCGTTGCTTGGTCAGCAAGCGTGGGGTTGAATATATTTCCCATAAAGAAGAGTACCATTCAATTTGTCAGTCAAACAGTCAACAAATAAGCAGTCATTCATACATTTATCTTCTCATTAATTCAACAAATGTTTCTTAAGCATTTATTATTTTTCAGACTTCATTCTAAACACTGAATATGCAGCGAAGAATAAGACAAAGTTACTGTGCTTATGGAGCCTATATTGTAGTGGCAAGGAGACCAATTATCAGATAGATGAATAGAATTTTAGATAAAGAATGAGTACAAAAAAGAGAAAGAAAAGTCAAGAAGAGATGGGAGATGGTCCTATTTTAGACCAAGTGAAGTGAGGGAGTAAAACTTTCAGAAGCCTGGGGAATAATGTTCTTGACAGAGAGAACAAATTCAAAGGTCTAGAATCAAGAAATTAATAAGCCTTTAGCATTTGCCAGGTCCTGTATTTCACAGTAGGACTGTGGTTCTCAACTCCTGATGCACGTCTGCATCCTTGTGGAGCATTTCAGGACTCCAGAGGAGCACACCCCCACAGGACTCCCAAATCTGAATTTCTCATGAGGGAAGCTGAGTGTGCCTATTTTTTCAAAAGGCTCCACCAGATGTTCATCCATGTTTGAGAACAATTGCACTGGCGATCCAACTGTGAACACGGCAAAAATTTTATCTGTTCTCATGACACTTTATTGGTGAGCTCTCAGTGCTAGAAAAATGTTTATGTATATGTTGGTTCAAAACCATTTCCGTGTGATTTCCTGTCCTCTGTTCTTATGTTCTCTAAGACTACAAAGTTCAATCCCCTTGCATGTGGCAGTCTTTCAGGTATTTGAAGGCAGCACTTGTTCCAATGAGTTCCCTTAATCCCTCTGTATGAGAGATATCAGACATGTTACCATTCCATTCACTCTCATCTAGCTTTGCCCCATGTGTCCAGACTGTTCTTTAAGTGCCGTGCCCAGAATTAAGACAGAGGTTCCCTTTATGATCATGGAGGCAGCATGTGCCCATCTCCAGACACCTGTTTTCTGTACTTCTTCATACATCTCACATAACAGTTTAGCAAACTCCCTTACATGTTTTTTTTTCTTTTTAATGCTCTCTAGGATGTACTGTTATCCTTCTCTGTTACTGTTTCTTTCTATCACATGTAATCATCATTAATGTTCTTCAATTCTCTTTCATTGTTTTTCCCTTTGGATCTGAAGTTCTCTCCCAAATAGCAAGGTTAAATGCTATTTTACAATTTTGGTTTGCCTTATTAAACCCATTCCATTTATTCAGTCCATCATATTCCTGTTTTTCTGCACTAGGCATGTCAACATATTCTATGCATTAATAAATAATATTATTCAGAAAAAGGTTAATTGACCCAATTAACTGGAACACTCAATCAGTGGCATTCCACTTTTAGAATTAAAAATGAAATTTTAATAAATAAGCCAATAACTCAGTGTTTAATTCAAAGAACTTTCAAAATGTGTTTCAGGGTCAGTTCATATTAGTTACACTCCAAAAATTTTTGCAATGCCTCTGATCCATCATTCTCAAATAATTTTATTGTTATACAGTTTGCAATATCAAATATAGTATTTTTATAATACTTAATATTACCAAGACAGATAGGGCCTTCTATAACATTTGTGAATCTTGGAGCAAAATTGCAAATGGAGGCCCATCATTTAACTGCCTCATACTTTAAAACTACAAATCAAGCTTAAAAAATTCTATCTTCTAACTTATAAAATTATTCCAAAATGGCATAGAAGTCAGGTTTGAATTTATAATTCTTGAATACCTTTGAGTTCTGTGCCAGAAAGTGGTAGTGTTAACAGCTGAATTCTGAACCCTGGCTTGTAGTGATCCCTCTCCTCTTTTTACATTTGACTTTGTCCCACAGCACAAGAAGCTTTGTGAACACATGTGTGGACACCGTAGCCCATGTGTCCAAGCTCCCTCTACACTCTCCAAAAATAGCTCCCCCTTGTTCACCCCCCAGGCCTAGGAACACACACATACCTGGGATATGGCCTACCCCTCAAAGAGTGGACTTGGAAGGAAACCCAGGCAGAACCAAGGAGCAGACTATGAGCCCCACAGGCAGGGAATTTTGGAGTCTCATATACCTAGAACATGGTCTAGAATGTATTGTGGAGTGGGTATTGGCTGTGGGAGGGAATGTCCCAATGGTCTCATGAATTTCTTATAAGAAAGAGCATAGCAAGAGAAAGGCCAGAGCAGGGCCTGTCAAAGTGTAGGGGATTTTCTAGCCTGGATCTAAGTGCACTGTAGTACTAAGGGAGAAGTAGGACCCTATGTTTAGGAGGACTTTAGTTGCAAAGACTCAAATAAAATGGGCTTCTGATTATCCCCAATTTGACCCGACATTTATTTAAGCATAATTTTTAATGTAGGTATTTTTAAGCATATTGTATTTCCCTGTAATGCCTTCCTAAAAAACTCAAAGAATTCTGCAGGACAACAAACTTTCTCCCTACTTTATCAGCCTATCTTATGTAAAAGGAAATAATCTTTCAAAAGTGGCTTCCCTTTTAAACATATAATGAGGCAATGTCTTCTCTGTCTCTAAATGTCCAAGTGATTTTAGACAAGTTTCTCTATCCCTCTGGTAAATATGAAGGCAACATTTGGACAATATTTAAGGTCCCTTCCAATCAAACATTCTCTCTGTGACCCTATGTATTCACTGTTTTCCTAGAGGCCTATAAAATAAGTCCATTGGCAATTGTAAAATTTAATGAAAGACATAAGTAGAAGAAACACAGAAGAACCAGAAGAGACGATGAAAAGGGAAACTATATGTATTGATGAACTTCTGATCCAAATAAAGAAGATTAGATGGCCACAATGGAAGAGGCCTAAGGTAATTAGAATAAGGCTGCACAAATGGTGATTTAAAAGGGCAAGGAGCTTACCATTTCACTCCAGCTAAAAATTTTAGTTAAAGTCAAAAAGTCCAGATTAGAAAAAACAAACAAACTAAAAAATTCAAAACTTTAGTATCTTTGCTAATGTGAATTAGGATCAGGTTCCTAGGAATTCAAGTTAAAGTTGCAAAACTGCTCTACACAATTCACTCAGTAAACATTTAATAAGCCCTTTATACTGATGGCCTTGCTAGATACTGGACGAAAAGAAAAAAAAATAGGCATCATGAATAGAAACAGATAAATTTATGTAGTGCTCCTCTCCTTAAAATGTTTGGAGACACATAATGATAAAAACCTATTATAATACAATGTTATATGAATGCTAATATAAAAATGAAAAAAGTGCTATGAATATTTTAGAAGGGGGAGTAATTCTCTGGTAACTCACAATGCAGGTGAAATTCAGGCTTGTTCTAGAAATCTAAGTAGGAGTTCACTGGGCAAAAAAGGAAGGAAAAGTCATTCCAGGTAGGAGAGACAATAAAAAAAATGGAAGTGTAGTGTATTCAGGAATGATATACATTTTCTTTAAAGGAGAAGATGATTGTGATAATAGTAATTAGCCAATAGGATATACTAAGCAGATACTATATATCAAAAATATGTTAAGCATCTCACATAGATTATCTAAATTAAGACTTACATAGGAGTGATATCAACAAGATAGCAAAATAGGAAGTACCAGTCCTTGTCTTCCACAGAAACACTGATTTAACAATATATGCACCAAAATATCTTTATGAGAAATCCAGAATCCAGTTAAGAAGTTGCACCACCATAGGTGAGCACAAAGCCAAAAATAGATGCACTCAAATGGTCAAGAAGAAGAATTTCATTTTATATGCATCAGCCTTTGCCACAAGCCAACACAACTCAGAACCCCCAGAAGAGAACACACTGGCTCGCAATTTCTTCATCAAGGGGAAAAGGAAAAGTGGAATGTGAGTCCAACAATCTGGCTCTTTGGAGGCTGCCCAAATGATTGGTTTCTGTCTCATCTCACCTAGAGTGTTAACAGAACTGGCCTTGTTTGAGTGTCTTGGGCAACTGAGAACACAGAAGCATGGAAAGAGGCAGCTTGCTACAGCTTTTGTAGTCAGGAAAGAGAACACAATTTGAGGCTTCTCTTTTAAGAGAGAGTAACAGAGTGTGTGTTCAGTGTTCAAGTTTTCAGAGGGTTTCCTGAGGAATTGATAGGTATAATGCCTCACTCACAGTGCTGGCAGAAAGTCAGCATACTTTGGATGTTTGGTAGCTACTAAGAAAAAGGGAGAGCTTGGTAGTCTGCTGCTATAAAACCAGGGAACTTGCAGTGCCACCAACAGACACCAGATGGAGGAAGAGATTATAAACTCCTGCAAAAGAAACCAGCATACCTCTCTCCTCTTCACATGAGAAATTAAACTCACAAGCACAGAGAAGTGGCATCTTCCCCAAAAGATTTCAGAGGCACCCTTAACCCCCAGCCTGACTGATGGGTGAGGATCTTCCCCAGTAAAAGCAAGTCTATAGAGACTGGGTAAGATGGCTGTCTTTTCAAATGTGTGGACCCAAATAAAAAGTTGTAAGACACACAGAGAAACAAGAAAACATGGCCCAAGGAAAGAAACAATATAAATCTTCAGAAATTAATAATTTAAAAATGGAAGTATATGAATCACCTGACAAAGAATTCAAAATAAGCATCATGAAAATGTTCTATGAGTTCAAAATAATAATGATGAACAAAATGAGAATGTTGACAAAGAGATAGAAATATATATATTTGAAAACCAAACAAATTTTGGAGCTGGAGAATGCTCTGAACTGAAATATTCATTAGAGATAGTCAATAGTAGATTTGACCAGGCAGAAGAAAGAATCCATGAACTCAAAGACAGGTTATTTGAAAAGATCTAGTCAGAAGAACAAAAAGAAAACAAGGAACTAAAAAAGTAAAGAAAACCTAAGGCACTTATGGGACTTCATCAAGCAATATAGGCATTATGGAAATTCCAGAAGGAGGAGAGAAGGAAGCAAAAAGCTTGTTAAAAGAAATAATGAATGAAAACTCCCCAAGTCTGGAGGAAAAAATCAGCATCCAGATTCAAGAAGCCCAATGAACTTCAACTAAGATAAATTCAAAGAAATTCACACTGCAGTATTTTACAAACAAAAATTCACACCAAGGCATTTTATAAGCAAATTGCCAAAAGTCAGAAACAGATAAAATTTTGAAAGGAGCAAGAGAAATGCAATATATCACATACAAGGGAGTAATCATAAGATTATTAGCAGATTTCTTGACAATAACCTTGCAAGCTAGAAGAGTGTGAGATGACCTATGTGAAGTACTAACAGAAAAAAATCCTATCAGTAAAGAATACTATATTCAGCAGAAATATTCCTTAAAAATTAAACAGAAATAAGGACATTGCATATAAACAAAAATTAAGGGAGTTCAGCAGTGCTAGACCTACCTTATAAGAAAGCTAAAAACTTCAAATTAGTTGAAGTTTAAGTAAGAGAATGCCATATGACAACATCAAAGCATATGAAAGTATAAAGCTCACTGGTAAGGGTAAATATATTAATAAATACAGAATACTGTAATACTGCAATGGCAGTACATAAATCACTTTTTATTCTGATAGAAGTTAAAATGTATAAGAATAATTATAATTATAAAAATACATTAATGAATAATGCTATAAAAGGATATAATTTGTGGCATCAATAACATGCGTATGTGTGGAGGGGAGAAATGAAAGTATGGAGAATTTGTATGCAATAGAATTGTCAGCTTAAAATAGATTGTTATAAGATGCTTTTTGTAGGCACAAAGAAAATATCTCTAGAAGATACACAAAGGAAAATGAGAAAAGAATCAATGCATGTCACTACAAGATCAATGAAACATAAAGGAAAACAACAAGAAGAAATGAAGGATAAAAGAGCTACAAGGCAGAAAACAATGGGCAAAATGGTGATAGTTCATTATCAATAATTACTTGAAAGTTAATTAATTAAATTCACCACTCAAAAAATATAGAATGACTGAATGGATAGAAAAATGAGATCTAACTATATGCTATCAACAAAACATTTACTTTAGATTTAAGGACACATACAGGCTGAAAGTGAAAGGATGGAAAAAGATATTCCATGAAAATAGTAACTGAAAGAGAGCAGGAGTGGCCATATTTATATTAGTCAAAATAGACTTTAAATCAAAAACTGTCAAAAGAGACAAAGAAGAACATTATATAATGATAAAACTGTCAATTCACCAGGAAGATATAACAATTAATATATATATATATATGCACCCAACATCAGAGAACCCAAAAATATGAAGCAAATATTGATAGAACAAAAGGGAGAAATAGACAGCAATGCAGTAATAGTAGGGCATTTCAATACTCCACTTAAAATAATGGATAGAACATCCATATACAAGATGAATAAGAAAACAGAGGATTTGAAAGACACTATTGCCCAAATGGACCTAACAGACATATACAGAATACCCCACCCAACAGCAACAGAATACACATTCTTTTCAAGTGCACATGAACCATTGTCCAGGATAAATCCCATAATATGTCACAAACAAGCCTTCACAAATTGAAGAATATTGAACTCAATAACAAAAAACCTGATCTAAGAAATGGGCAAAGAACTGGAATAGACATTTCTCTGAAGAAGACATACAAGAAGCCAACAGGTATATGTAAGATGTTCAACATCACCAATAATTAGGAAAATGCAAATCAAAACCAAAATGAAACATTGTCCCACACTTGTTGGAATGGTCATATTAAAAAAAGAGAGAGAGAGAGGAAAAAATAGAAAATAACAAGTGTTGGATAGGATGTAGAGAAGTTAGAAAACTTGTGCACTGTTGGTGGGAAAGTAAAATGGTGCAGCCAGTATGGAAACCAGTAAAGAGGTTCCTCAAAACAATGTAAAAATTAAGAGTTATCATATGATCCAGTGATCTCACTTCTGAGTATTTATACAAAAGAATTGAAATCAGGATCTTTAAGAGATATCTCTACTGCCATGTTTATTGCAACATTATTTGTAATAGCCAGGAGGTAGAAACACCCTAAATATTCATTGAAAGGATAAGAAAAATGTGGTATATATGCAAGAGAATATTATTCAGTTACTGACAAGGAAGGAAATTCTAAGTTACAAGATGGTTGGAGCTTGAGGATGTTATGCTAAATGAAATTAGCCAGTCACAAAATGACAAATGCTACTTCAGTTATATTGGTATCTAAAGTAGTCAAAGGGCTGGGCACGGTGGGTGGCTCACGCCTGTAATCCTAGCACTTTGCCAAAGTGAGTGGATCACCTGAGGTCAGGCGTTTGAGAGCAGCCTGGCCAACATGGTGAAACCCCGTCTCTACTAAAAATACAAAAATTAGTCAGACATGGTGGTGCCTGCCTGTAATCCCAGCTACTCGGGAGGCTGAGGCAAGAGAATCACTTGAACCCGGGAGACAGAGGTTGCAGTGAGCCAAGATCGCGCCACTGCACTCCAGCCTAAGTGACAGAGCAAGACTCCGTCTCAAAAATAAATAAATAAATAACCTGTTTTGTCACAGTTTCATATGCAGAAAAGAAAGAAACAAGCAAGAGATGATAATGTTCACACCCCAGACCCCCATTCACACTCATTTATACATACACACCACGTTTACCTATGCACATACATGCTCAACCCAAACCTGACCTCTAGAATTACAGTGAAAACAAAGTGTTGGCCAGCAGAAGCCTGGGCCTGATGTAAGGCACTTATACCCTCTTTCTCAGCTGGTATGATTAAGCTGCTTTAACTAGTTGAGAAGCTATCTAGTTATTAAATCTTCCTAGACTATGCATTCATGAGTCTGGCAAGCACAAGAAACGTCACCTGCAACTCTTTTGCCCTTAGGGCCAAAAAAGCCCAGGCCTATAGAAACAGGACTCTGAATGGATCATGTTGTCATTTAATTTCTAGATTCAGGAAGCTAAATTTAGAATGTCCTATTGACAACCCAATATCCGGCAGGACAGTGGGGGTGAGGAGTGGGGAGGGAGGAAGCATAATTTTTCAAGTGCTGTGTGGTCTGCCCTACAGGAAGTAGAGAAGCATCAACTCTTCTAGAGCAGAAATTTCATCTCTCTTAGTCCATCTCCCAAGAGATATTGTAGATAGTGTTAAGATTAGAGGTGTGAGTCCATTAGGTCTGAGTTTTCCCTATGCCAGTTTTGTAGCCTCAGGCAATCATTTAGCCTCTATTTCATAGGATTGTTACAAGATTAAATGAGAAAAATACATGTAAGGAATTTAGCACAAAGGTTGGCACACAGAAAACGCTACATAAATGATAGCATTATCTGATCTGGCCAAATTTAACTCATTCCAAAGTCTTTTTGAGACAGTTAAGAGTACCTCCCATCTCTCTGAGCTATAAGTACCATGAAGCAGGGACAAAAAAAAAAAAAAAAACCTGTTCTTTAAGATTTTGTCCCTAATCTAAAAATGAAGCTATCGAGGGATTTACTCTGAGCAAAGCAGCCACTGAGAGTTGCAGTTCATCATCACTCAGCCAAAGCCATAGTCAGGGCCAGAATAATTGGGCTGACTGTGGGGCTGGTTCCTGTGCTTTCCATCACAGCCATGCCAGTGAGAGACTGATGTAGGTAACAGTCTTGGCCAGAGAGATAACAAAATGCCCCCTTCTCCCACCTCAAAATTTAGCAGGCTATTCTAAGAGGTTATCATGATTTCAGAAAGTGTTGCCTGAATGATTGAATCTGGATTTGTTTTACTGAAAGAACATGTAAATATCATAACAGATAACATCATTCATTTCTCAGCTTTGGGAGAAATCTTGTACATTTCATTTCCCTTGGCTATTTTTTATCCAGGCCAAGAAGAATAATCCATAACCTTTGCATCATTTGGAATAATGTGGTCTTATCCTAGATATGTGCTAGTAATCTCCCTACGTAAGAAGCTACTAATAGACCCAGGGTCTTAATGGCACTGGAAAAATAAAAATCCTTCTTTGTCCCCCAGTAAGAAGCAATGGCCAGTGACCTGAAGGATCAGAGGGCCAGAGAGGTCAGTAGATAAAAATGTGCAGTTGAACCTGACCTGACCCCTGCCCACAGCCACAGCACTGGCCCCGATTTCTGCTCTGCTTCTCATGGAACTTTAACTGAAGGGTACTTGCATTTTAAGGACTGTTTCAATTTGAAACAGGAGGTGCTTTCAGAAAATAATAGTATGTAATTAAAATCTTTCTGAAGGACAGAGATAATTTTTATATTTATGGAAGTTGGTGAGGCAGCAGATTTACTAGCATATTTGCAAGGTTAATGTACTATGCTCAATAAAGTGTTTTATAATTTTTCAAGCAAATTGTAAAAATGGAAAAAGTGAAGAAAATCCCATTCCATTTTGAGTATCTAAAAGGCACCAAATTAACCCATCTCCCTACTGGGGGTGCTATATTCCTCCAAAGCGTGTTTTCAGATATTTAGTAGTTATGAACTTGAAAAAAAAAAAAGGTCATTAATTTAAAAGAGTGTTTGATGCAAAATGGGAAGGGATGGAATAAATTGGAAAATATTTAAATATATAATGACCTTTAGGGATGCTGAAAAATAAAAGATATGAGTTATGCAGTTTCTGAGAGTAGGAAAAAGTAAAAGTAAAAGTAAGTTTTAAAAGTATCCGGAAGGAATCAGGGGTGGTAATGGAGCTACCTCTGGAAAAGTGATAAAGAGGAAATCACTGAGAGATGGGTCCTGTTACTCCAGAAGTTCTATGATCTCTGGACTGAAACATTTTATTTCAGAAGGCAGCAACAATATAGAAGCAAAGGTACGTAATAAACAATAGGCTAAAGTGGTAGAAAGGGAAAGGTTGCTTGCAAGTAAGAAGTATGGAAGCAAGTGTCGAGGGATTGCCCAAAGCTATTGAGCATTGTTTAATGTCCTAGTTCAACCCTCACCTTAATATTTTATTTTTCTCTTAAGTTTCCCAACCTAGGAAATATCTGAAACCATCTGCAGTAAGTCATTTTGTGCCTTGGGATGCAATCTTTTCCTTCTTTCCAGCTGCAAGCCCCAGGCAAGTTTCAGGAACTGATTAGCAGAGGCCCTTGTTCCTCTGCTTGGTATTTTGCAGAACTATTGTCCTCTTACTTAGACTTTTTCATAATATACACATTAGGGATCTCATTCATAGAAAAATGAAGCTAGCCTTTGTAAGGAGACTATTACCACTTACTTTCCAACCTACTACTTTCTATTTCTATCCTCCCCAGGATTTCAGAAATATAAAGGCATTCATGCAATGTGTGTAACGCTTGGGTGACAGAGATAGAGAGATAGACTTGAATATGATTCCTGACCTTAGGCAAGTGACAAAATCTCACAGCTTTAATTTTCCCATCTGCAATAGAAGAATAGTATCTACTTGATCAGATTGTTATCATGAGAAATAAATGAAATTACATTCATCTGTTTCTTTACTCAAGAAATATTTTCAAGTTCCTATAGGCTACAATACCTGGAAAGTTGGATTTAAAATGAATGAAAGAATGGATGGATGAATAAATGAGTGAATGAAATAAGTGCAAGAGAAGGTAAAGGTGACTACCACAAAACACCATGGAGATTTTTCTTAATGTGATATACCTATATATCAGTATTATAAGTGATTGGGCCTCTTTTCTCTTGATCTGAGCTATACAGAACAGTTAAGATCTGTTAAATGATGGGAATTTACACTTGAGGTGAAGAGGTGACATTTGGCAGGTATATTAAATTTCTATCTGCTTATTGTACGTTTCATATGTGTTGAATTTCATGTCCCATTGCATAAACATCTGTCTGTTTTTATCTTGGCTGCTGAGCCCCTTGCAGCTCTCCATTGTTTTTCATTCTGAATCCCTCTACTGCTCACACCCCAGCTGATTAAGCAGCAGGCTTTGAAGAGAAAAGGCAGGTGGGAGATATCCCCTAAGGTGGGGCCAAGCACTCTCTGTGGCCTTCTTTGTCTGCTTGCATTTATCTCTCTATTGAATGATCGGTGTTGGACTTAAGCTTTAATATTCCACATTTCAGATGTAGCCTATTCATCTATAAAGTAAAAAAAAATCTCACTCATGCTCTGCCAAGTGAGTCTGACTGAAAACAGGATGGCCTTTGCAAGGCATTTCTGGTAACTTATATGTTAAGCACTGTTCCTTCTAGGCCAAAGTCAGCATAGTGTTCTAGGGGCTATATCTAGTAAAAGATATTTCAGCACTTTGGGAGGCCAAGGTAGGAAGAACATGAGGTCAAGAGATTGAGACCATCCTGGCCAACATGGTGAAATGCTGTCTCTACTAGAAATACAAAAATTAGCCGGGCGTGGTGGTGCGTGCCTATAGTCCCAGCTACTTGGGAGGCTGAGGCAGGAGAATCGCTTGAACCCGGGAGGCGGAAGTTGCAGTGAGCCGAGATTGCGCCACTGCACTCCAGCCTGGCAACAGAGCGAGACTCTGTCAAAAAAAAAAAAGGATATTCCTAATTTCCATCCACAGATCATATCCCAAGACTGCCACTTAAAAGGCTGCAGCAAGTGAACTCAGGAGCTTTATGTACACCGATGGGAAGAAAATCCTGAGTAAGAAGTTACAGATTCTTAAATCATTCCAGCCTTTAACTGCTGGGAAATCTAAGTTATATTGTTTCACCTCTCTAAAATTCTTTTTCCCATCTATAAAAAAGGAAGGAACTGACCTAGTTGATATCAAAGGTCTTTTCCAGCAGAAAAATTCTGTAGTCAACAACACCTTTTACAACTAGGCAAGCAGACACTGGAGAAACTCCATCTCATTTCTCTACTTCTATATTTATCACCTCAGTCATCAGCAAGATATTGCCCAATATAAGTGAGCTGAGTTAGCCATCTTGAATAGCATGGGAGTTGTCTCAGAAAAGTTAGGAATGTCAAACTTCACTGGAGTGTTTGGTCACCACTGAAGAAAACCAAAGGGAATGGAAAGGTGCAGCAAATCCCAGGTGCCCCAATTTTAGTTTAACTTACATAACAGCAAGGAAAGGGTAAGAGGACATCCCTTTTCAAACCGTTTCTATATCGCAGCAAGATGCCAGCCTCTGGCTGCTTTCTGGCTTCCAGGAAAATAAAAGAAGTACCTAACACACCCCTCCCCACCTTGCCTCTTTCAATGTGATTATTCTTGCACCCCCTTTGGAGTCTAACCCAGGATACAGACCTTTTAAGTATAAAAATGTACTTCCCAATTCCATCTTCCCAGCAGTGCAAAAGAATCCTAAAAAGTCAGGAAGAATGAAGAAGCCTCTAAAATCTGTGTGCTTGAGAGTACTTAGCACCACATTCTTCCTGACACAACAGGTAGGGTTTTATGTGATATGCAGCTAAAAGGAAAGATCTATGGGGAACAAGGAGCAGTTCTGCCTGTTGATGAGAGAGATGCTTATCTCTTCAGTTTTTCTAACTATTAGAGGTAAAAGAAAGAAATATAATAAGAGAGGGATGGAGGAAAGAGGAAGCCTCTCTAGTCCACTAGTAAACAAAAAAATTATCCCGGTACTTGTTAAAACAATGTCAAGACTATCGCAATAGGGAAGAGAGATTGGGCTCAACTCTGAATGCAACAAGAACAAGTGGAGATTTAGAGACACTGGGTGGAAAGCACAGTCAGTGTATGGAAAATTATTGAGAGGAAACACCAACGATAGGGGGATTCTTGCTAAACTAACCTAACAGGATTCCTGCTGAAGACAAGCCAGAGTGAACAGATATTATGGTTGAGGTGGTGCGGGATGAGAAATTTGATCAGCTATTGAGGGTGATTGGATAGTGAGGGTTAGAGGATTCCCTCTAAACTGGCTTAGCAAGATTCTTGCTAAAAGTGATCTGTGCAAGCCCTGCAAGGGGAATGGGTTGTGGAGGTGGCAGAGCAAAGTCAACATCGACGCAAAGAGGGCTCAGAGGAGCTTGACTAAAGTTTGGTCAAGGATCTCTAGGTCTTCCATTTTTTTGAGGGCCTATTTTTCTTTTGATCACTCTAACTTGTATCTGCGGAGCTGCCACAGTCCTATGATTATCTTATGAAACTTACTGGTCTTAATGGTCTTTGGTTTCTGTATCTTGACTTTCCTTCTTTTCTTTTTATCTTTTTATTTTTTTAAAGATTTAATTATTCTTTTGGATTTACAAAATACAGTTCCCTGGAACTCTCTTTTCAAGGTCTACACAGGGTTTAATACATGATTCGTTTAATACATGGTTCATTCAGCGTGACATAGATGGATTTCGGCCCTTACTCTGTGCCAGGCATCATGGTAGGCACTTGGGACACATGCATGAAAAAGACATAGGTCCCCTTCTTATGGAAGAACCTCATGGGAAAACTCAGGTTTTGTCACAGAGCCCACAAAACTGAGGCATTACTCTTTTTTCTCTTTCATTTCCATGTCAAAGAGAGATTCCTCATCAATTAAGGTGAGTGTACTTATTTTTATTTTCTTAAGATAATACTCAAACCAAGCTTCAAAAGAACTTTGTTGAAGAAAGGCATTTCCGGGGCATTTTCTTCTAACCTAAAATACCTGTACACCCTTTAGCTCTCTGACAGTCCTTGCCCTGGGGAGGCTGAGGGCCATAGTACACCGGCTCCTGCTAGTCTGCTAAGCACCCAGCAAAAGTCTCTACCCTGTGGTGCATTCAATAAATATTTGTAGCCTGTCAGAAGCTTGCAGGTCAAAAAGACCATGGCTTTGTCATGCAGCCAGGTGAGCTGGAGATGTCAATAAAACCAACTGCATGAGAAACACTGTACTACAAATGTAGAGGAATATGAAGTCAGAGAGAAACATAGTATCATTTACATTCTCTCCACTAGGTGTCATTATACAGGCAGATTATACAACTGATAAAGACCAGTTTTTTTCTCTTAATTTAATCATCAACATTAAAATTCTGTAATTTATTGATGCATCTGTCTTCGCTATAGACTTGTGCTATGGACTTTGAAGAGCATATTAAAATAATAATTGCCTGCCAGAATAAACATCACGTGTTTTCTAGACCATCAAGTTTTACTTAAAAATCTAACTTGGGGAAATCCACTTTTGAGGAGATGGAATACACATATTTGTCCCTATACTTCTAGAAAAACACAACTAAAACCCCTGAATATTCCATATAAAACAAACCCAAAAAGATTCTGAAAGTTGGAGAGAAGAACAGACTAGGTAGGGACCTCAGGATGTAAGGAACAGCATGGCCATAAGTTCCCTGGGTGTTCTTTTTGTCTCGTATATCCCAGAGTTGAGGAAGCCAGCAATCTGAAAATGCCAATGGACACAGACAAAGGAAGCCTCAACAAAAGCCTGCCTTCTAAAGCCAAAAGACCAAAAAAGAGGCAGAATAGGAAGACAAAAAATTTTTTAAACAATAACCACACTAGACCAGCCAAATACCACAGGGGAAAACAAACAAACAAACAAAACTGGCTACAACTCCACTCGTGCCAGCAAAGGTCAAGTGTGGAGCCCAGACTTCTACACTCATGTGGCTGCAATGACGCAACACAGTATCCCTTGCCAAGATGGTGTCAGAGGAGGCCAAGGATGGAGCTGAGCTTTTCATATCCCCTGACCAGTAAGGAGCCACCTCTCACTCTGGGTTTCAGTAGAGTCCACATGGAGAGTCTGGCTTTCCACACCCACCCAAGAGTAACAAGGGGTCCCTCCTCCTCCCAGTGGGGTTGGTGTCAAAGAGGTTTGCAGCAGTTGGACATGCATGCACAAAAAGAAAAAATTAAACATTGACCTACGTCTAACACCTGGTATAAAAATTAACTTCAAATGAATCACAGACTTAAATGTAAATGTAAAACTGTAAAACTTTTTAGAAAAAAGTCTTCATGATCTAGGGTTAGGCAAAGTGTCCTTAGGCTTGACATCAAAAGCATGGTCCGTAAAAGGAAAAGTCAATAAATTGACTTCATCAAAATTAAAAACTTCTGCTTTGCAAAAGACCTGTGAAAAGGATGAAAAGACAGGGTACAGAGTGAGAGAAACTACAAATCAGGCAAAGGAGTGATAGCTAGAATGTATAAAGGACTCTCAAGACTCACCAGCAAAAAACAATCTAATTTTAAAATGGACAAAAGAACCAACCATTTCACTGACGAGGTTATATAGATGTTAAGTAAAAGATGTTTAACATCACTAGCCGTTTAGGGAAATGCAAATTAAAGCCACAATGAGAGATCACCACACACTTATCAAAATGGCTAAAATAAAAAATATGGCAACACCAAATGATGAGAAGGATGTGAAGAATCTGAATAATTCATACTTTGTTGGTGGGAATGTAAAATTGTATAGCCATTTTGGAAAATAATTTTGGCTTTTGCTTTAAAAATTAAACATACAGCTACTATATGCTCCAGCAGTTGTACTATTGACATTTGTCTCAAATAAATGAGAGAGTTATGGTCACACAAAAACCCATACGTAGGCCAGGCACGGTAGCTCACACCTGTAATCCCAGCACTCTGGGAGGTCAAGGAGGATGGATTACTTAAGCCTGGGAGTTTGAGACCAGCCTGGGCAACATGGTGAAACCCTGTCTCTACAAAAAATTAGCCAGGCGTGGTGGCAGGCACCTGTAGTCCCAGCTACTCAGGAGGTGGGAGGATCACCTGAGCCCAGGAGGTCGAGGCTGCAGTGAGCAGTGATTGCTCCACTACACTCCAGCCTGGGTGAAAGAGTGAGAATCTGTCTCAGAAAAACAAAAATGAAAACCCATACACAAGTGTATATAGCAACTTTATTCATAATAGCTATAAACCAAAAACAACCCATATGTTTCTCAATGATTGAAGAAACTGTGGTACATCCATTCCACAAAACACTACATAGCAATAAGAAGAAACAACTGTATATATTTTTACTATAGCTGTCATTTATTGAGCTTTTACCATGTGTAAAATGCTTTATATATAATTTCATTTAATTTCACAACTCTTCAAAGTACATGTTCCTTTTAAAAATTGATGCATGACATTTGTACATATTTATGGGATACATGTGATATTTTGTTACATGCATAGAATGTGTAAATGATCATGTCAGGGTATTTAGGCTATCATCTTCTCAAGGATTTATAATTCCTAAGTGTTGGGAGCATTTCAATCCTTTCTTCTAGCTATTTTGAAATATACGTCATTGTTAAGTATAGTCACCCTACTCTACTATTGAACATTGAGTAGTTCATTAAGGAATGAACTACTGACAGATGCAGCAACCTGGGTGATTCTCCAGTGACTTATGCTGAAAGAAAAAGAGTCTATGCCAACAGTTGCATACTGTATAACTTCATTTATATAATACTCTTGAAAGGACAAAATTATAGAAATGAAGAAGAGGTTAGTGGTTTGCAGTGTTGAGGAGGGCGTGAGGACAGGAGAGAAGTGGTGTGGCTATAAAAGAACAATATGCAGGATCCTTGTAGTGATGGAAATTCTGTATCTTAACTATATCAAGCTCAATATATGCTTTTTAAATCCTGATCTTATGATTATGCAAGATGTTAACGTTGGGAGAAACTAGGTAGAGGATACAGAAGGATCTCTGTATTATTTCTTAAAACTGCATGTGAATTTTTGTCTTTTTTGCTGTCTCAAAATAGAAAAATTTAATTAAAAAATCAAATGGGGGTAGAGTAGTTAGCTAGAGAAGGCATTACTTATATTAAAACACACACTGATACATTATGGGAAGAAAGCAAAACTTGCCTGGTTTTTCAAAATAAAATATAAAACATCAAAGAAATTTTACATTTGCAACAGAACTTTCAAACTATATTCCAAATTCTTAGGAGCAAATATTTGCATAACTCTGTTTCCCAGGTGAAAAACTTTGAGGAGTGCTTGGTGGAAAAAAGAGAAGATTGAGCAAAAGACCTGGATTCTACTTCTTACTAGCTATGGGACTTTAAACACTTTGCTTAATTTTTCTGATATTCTGCTTCCACTTTAAACTGGGAATAAGAACAATGTTTTCTTACCTTTCTCCCTGGGTAAATATAATGATCAAATGAGAAAAAAATCCATAATCTGAAAAATATTGTTATGATTGAGACCAACAACACTGATATGAGCACATTGCGTCAATGACTTACACGAATTTGCAAGCCCAAAATAACTACCATAAACATATTTGCAGAAACAGGATAAATTTTTGTTTTCTTTTTAGAAGAGTGAAACACAGATATTTTAAACTTATGTAAAGGAGCTAGATTAGAGCAAAATTATCACCTCACTAATAAGGCAAACTTCTCATTAAAGTATATTATCCTGACTGGCTTCTTACTACTCCCCACCCAAAACTGAGAGAGCACAGATTATATTATCTCTTTAATTTGCAACACGTCAAGCTTTATCTTTGTGGCACTATCCCTCAAAACTCCAATAGAAGAAGACATTCAAAATATTGGCCTGATGCTCCCTATTTTAACAAGTGATGCATTTCTTGATTTAAATAAAAGAAAAAAGAGGAAATAGAAACCCACAGATTAAACCAATATCTAGCAATAGGAGTTCCCAAACCAAGATGTACTGGACGGGGATTGGAAGAAGCAGGATTCTTACATTGCTGCTGAAGAAAAGACAAGAACTAATGTAAGCTAGGTGAATGATGACACCAAGGGAACAGCAACAACAACCACAGAAGATACCTGAGCATTTGCCATTCATTTGGAGCTCTTCCAACTGGTTCTTATACTCATATCTCAAGACAGAGACAAGCATGAAAGGACCACTTGCAAGACTGTGCAGACTCAGAAAAGCCTAGATGGAGAACTAGCAGAGATGTGATGCCTGGGCAGGTAGGCAGAGAATCAAAACTCTAGAATCAAAACGTGGAATTTCAGAAGGCATCTGGGATCTGAAATCTGTGTCTTTGGGATGCCTGAAGAAAGATCAAAGCTAAGGATGCAGGAGGAGCAAAGACCATCTATAATAAAGCCAATTCCCAGCCCTAGACAGATATTGAACCGGACGGGCATTAGGACAGGGAAGGCAGTATAGCAACAACATAGGAATTCAGTTATTTTTCAGAATTAGTCTCTAAGTTGAGACTTTGAGAAAAAGCCAAAAGTTATGTTATCTAAATTTAAGTACATGATCATGGGATACAAGACAAACAGCAAGGATGACTTGGTTTGGAATCCTAAAGAGTGACCTAGAACAGCTTATGTCACTCTTGACTGAAGACAGAAGTGCCGGACAGAAGGTCAAACATCTAGACAGGTTGGAGATGACGACAGGCAAGCTGCAAATAAGAGAGGCTTTTGTAAAGAAAGCTGTAAAGTCTCTGACACCTATACTTTATTTCCTGCAAATTCCATGTCTAAGATGACTTAAAACTAATGCTTTTTGCACTAGAGGTATAATGGATTAACAACAATCAGAGTAATAATGCTACCTCTTGTGCTTTTCCTCCTATGTTCTTCCTTTGTGCTCTGATAACAGTAGGAATAAGTTCTATATAAATATCAGAGGCTGCATATCTGTAACATCACAGAGTAAAAAGGTCAGGTTATAAGCAACTTCAGAATCAGGCTTTTGGAGGATCAGAACAGGACTCCACTTCATCTTCCACTTTGCTGAATACCAAGGTAGGGTCCTGTGTTCAGGTTTTTGCAAATCTGGCCATCTGCAAAGTTTTGTTCTGAGCCTTGCAGGTAGACAGATATACTAAAGCTTCTCTGTTAGCTAGATAATAGCAAGATAAGATGTACTAAGTCTACAGTTGAATAAGCTTGCTACAATATTCTTTTGTAAAGTTTAGGGTAAACTAAAATCATTTGATTGGATATTGAGGGGTAGGTTTTCAGTGACAGGTGATCTTTTTCCACTTATATATATATAAACTGAGGGGAAATTAAGTATCATCTCAGCACCATGCCTAATAAATGTTGGTCTCAGATAGATGAAACGGCATAAATAAAAGTAGCATTAGTTTCTTCTGCTCTCCCAAAGTGACACATATTATAAGATATATATATATATCTTTCTTATCTTCCCTGTATGGTCAAACACCAGGATTTCATACATTGGGCTCAAATCTCCCCATGATTTAAGTGTAGATTACTAGCACTATTTCAACATTAAAGATCCTACTTTAGATAGATGAAGTCATCTGTGACATGAGATGGGGCTATGTTGCCCATTTGGAAACTGCCCAGTAAGTGGCATGTTGATCTTCATAATAAAAAGGCCTTGAGAAGCCCCTAAATGATGTCACATTTTACTCAGCAATAGCTGGTGCATACAACTCTCTGTTTCTTCAGCAAGATACTTCACACAAAAATCTGTGATTTTACTTTGATTAAAAACTAAATAATTACAATGAAAACTTTTTATTTTTGAGTTTACTGTAGACTCATAAACCATTTCTCAATTATTTGAGAACTACTTTTTGCTATTTGGCTGTTCCTAAGTGAATTTTCTTTCATGCAGGGTCAGATGGGTCTGACTGGGGAAGTAGCCCGAAGAGATCAAAGTCAGGAGATGAATATCTTAGTCTGTGTAGGGTACTATAACAAAATACCTTAGACTGGGTGATTTACAAACAACAGAAATTTATTTCTCACAGTTCTGGAGGCAGGGAAGTCCAAGATGAAAGTGCCAGTGGATTCGATGTCTGCTGCAGGCCCACTCTCTGCTTCATAGATGGCATCTTCTTGCTGCATCCTTACTTGTGGAATGGGGCAAACAAGCTACCTCTTTCTTCATTAATCCTACTCATGAAGGTGGAGCCCTCATGACCTAATCACCTCCCAGAGGGCTCATCTTTTACTGCCATCATATTGAGGATTAGGTTGCAACATATAAATTTTATGCGGGACACAAACATTCAGACCTTAGCAATGGATAGGCAAAATCAGGAAGAAAAACTGAAGCCAATGTCAGAAACTAGACAGGAATTAGATCCAAGTGGGAACAGGCTGGAAGCAAGCAACAAGGCTTGAAGGAGACTGTAGCAAATAACACTGGGTATGCTGGAGTTGTTTAACAGTCCAGGGTTGAGATGGAAAACCAACTGACTGGTGCAGTTTTTAAAAGAAAGGGAGTTTGTTTTAAATATTCAAATTATTCTAGTATAGGACTAACATTAGGTTATTAGGATTGTTGTTTACCTCTTGGATTTAATCTATGTAGAACCTGACCAAGAATTCAAACAAAGCCCCAAAAGTTATACTTCTCATTCTCTGAAATTAAGCTAGCAAAGATATAATTAGCTGCCTCTAATTCAGTTTAATATGTAATAAATACCTGCTTAGTGGACCACATCTTTTCCCTGAGCTCTCTTAGCAAAGTATGTCTTAAAAATAAGAAACAGGACTTAACATTCAATGGGCACCTGCTGTGTGCCAAAAACTGTGCCAAACGCTTTGTAGATAGCAATTTATTTAAAGCCTTCAGCAAACAAAACTATTAGTTTTACTTTACAGATGAACAAATTAAGGCTTTGATGGTGGATATGCAGCCAGTAGGAAAGAGAAATGGGACTCTAAAGTTAATGCTTTGTCTGCTCTTCCTTTTTGCCTCCCTTCTTTGGATTCCAGAGCTGTCAACTGCCTTCTCTTCGAAGTCTAGTCTGCAGGAAACTAGATGTTGCAATAACCATGATAACAACTAATAATTAAGTTGGTCTCTTAGCAATACCTACACCCAGACAATATCTGATTCATTTAAGTCATTTGCTGTCCAAAGCAGTATTATTTTTCCCAGGACTTACATGCAAAAACAATAAAAAAGAACTGAGGGGAAATCAAGTGTCATCTCAGCACCATGCTTAATAAATGCTGGTCTCAGATAGATGAAACGGCATAAATAAAAGTAGCATTAGTTTCTTCTGCTCTCCCAAAGTGACACATATTATAAATGGCAGAACTCCATCATTAAATGCATTTCTGGCACAATACTGAAGAAGAGAGCCATAGTGTGAAATTCCTCGGGCTGGTAACCTTGTCATCTTTTTGACATTGGCAAAAGCCTGTAGTCTGGATGGAAGCTCTAATTGCTTTCCATAAGGTTCCAGCACCTGTTTTCAAGGTCCAGTGGTCAGAGGAACAGACTGAATCCCAAAAGTCATGTTTGCTGTTTCCAGTCTTGTACTAGTCTCATGTCCTTGGCATTGTAGTGTCCCCTAGCCTCATCCCACTTCTTCAGCAGTCTCCAAAAATAGGAATACCCAGTAATTCCCCACTATCAAGACCCCTCACAAAAATATCCTTATGTATTTTGAGTTCCTGATGCCCTAGAATGAGAGATGCTCCTGAGAAGCAGCCAGGATGAGACCCCCTCTTCCGCTGGGAACTGTAGGTACCAATGCAAGGGGAGGGGAATGAGCATCTTAGCATCTTTTATCGGCCTTATAAGTGACTTCTTTATGTAAGGCTGTGTTTTCTACAGCACATGTTCTCAAGTATGTCCTGTGCACTGCCTGTGACTTTAATAATTCTTAAAGCCTTTTTTTGGTTTTGTGTTACTGACTCAGTAGCAAAGGATCAATTTATATTAAAGGCCAAATATTAAAAATTCTAGGGAGGACTCTGGGGTATCTATTTTGGATTTAATTGAAATCAGTGTTGTTCACAGATGAAAAACTGAACAGGTACATTTTGGGGGCTTATAATGATAGTTCTCTATTGTGAAATGAAACTCAGCAGGGAGGAAGGTAAAACATTGATTTTTTTTCAGGATGCCATGTGTCTGTGCA
Source organism: Homo sapiens (assembly GCF_000001405.40). Lineage (NCBI taxonomy): Eukaryota > Metazoa > Chordata > Mammalia > Primates > Hominidae > Homo > Homo sapiens. The sequence continues at coordinate 115,905,370 of NC_000003.12, read as the reverse complement.
CTGAAGAATGTTTCCCAATATCATCGGTATCTCATATTAGAGCAACTGTGAGTTTCCTGTCTTTTGAAAGTACCTAGGAGAGAGAGGTGATGCTTTTATTGTCTCTCCATATACCAAACTTGTGAGAAACTTTTCATCACTAATAGAGACAGACTCTGACTTAAAAATAGGTTATATTCTAAAAGAGCAATTTTGGCTGTTCATTGTAACCTGGAGTGTATTTTCCCATAGATACAGGATTCTACTTGATGATGACTGACAAGCTGTGCAAAAGAGCATTTTATCCAAGATATGTCTGAAGTAGAGCCTGTACCCCACCATGTGCCAGCCATGTGCTGGACCCTAAAGACTCACAAATTCTTCAAGGAGTTTAAAACATCATGAGGAAAACAAACTGTTATAATAAGCAGAGTTCAATAAGATGGGATAGGTATTGTGAAGACAGGCAAAAGTTCTCTACGGGTCCAAAAGAGGGACCAACAAAACCTAGTTTTGAAAGGCAGGAGTGTGAAGTCAGAGGACATGTAAGTAAAAATCAGAGGCATCTTTTAAAAACTGCAACAACAGCACAATAGGAAGTGGTAAATTACGAGGTTGGAAAGGTAGGCAGAGATGAAATGAGTAAGACAGGTTACCAGAGGAAGGAACGTTGATGTTCTGTTCTGGTGATAATGAAGAAACCCTGAGTGTCCCTAAAGGACTGGAGTGATCAGATTCGCATTTTAGAAAGATCACTCTGAGAGTGAAGGGTAGATCTGGGAGAGGTGAGAGAAGGGACAAGGACACAGGTTAGGAAGAAATTTTAATGTTTTACTAGCCTAATAAAATAAGTTGTAAAGTGTTTGGTTGCTATTTTTATAAACGCAGGAGTTGTATGGTAAATTTGTATTGTTTTTATTATTTTTTCCTTCAATGTTGAGTAGAACTCTTCTATAATTTTATCTGGGACTGACGTTTTCTTTGTGGGAAGATTTGTATCCACTAGATCAATTTCTTAAGTTACTATAAAACTGTAAATATTTCCTATTTCTTCATGGATCCCTTTTTCTAAGTTACATTGTTTTAGAAATTAAAATTTTTCATTTACATTTTTAAAACTATTTGACATAAGCATTTTTAATTTTCCAATAAATAATTCCTAAAATATGTTTAATAGCTCTTTATCTTTTTAAATCTATAGTGACATCCAATTTTTGACTAACATCTATAGTCATGTCCACTTCATAATTCCTATCTTTATTTGTTGCTTCACTTTTTTTGACTACCGTCGACAGATGATTCATAACATCTTTCAATTTGTGCCATTCACTAACATCTACTTTTGAGAATGAGTTTTATGTTTCAGATAGTGAAATTCAAACCACATCTTCAACTTTCTGCAGTAATGTGTCATTTATCTGGAATCACTCATCAGTGAGCTATGCAAACCCAAGACAGTTTTTCAAAAGAATTTTGGAGGGAAGACTTTATTTTTTAAAAACAAGTTATAATATAATGTCTGCTTTAAATATTAAGTACCATTTAAATAAGAGTTTACCAAAGTGTGTCTTAAGGCATAGTAATCCCATAGGATATTATTTGATAAAATATATTGTATTGCCTAACCTATTAAAACCTGTTAAACCTATTAAGATCCTGTAAAATTGTTCCTTTTAGAGATACATTTTTATCAGAGGCTAACTTACCTTATCCTCTTTCCAAATAGCATCTCAATAAGGTAAAATTTATACAGGAAAAAAAGCTAATGTATCCAAATGAACATCTCTGAGAAGAAGATATAAAACATCTCCATCCTCCTGTGAGGGTTCTTTATGCCTTTTTCCAACAAATTCCATCTCTCAAGCCAACCACTTTGTTGACACCTTTTTTTTGAAACTTTTATTTTAAATTCAAGGGTACATGTACAGGTTTTTTATATAGGTAAACTCATGTCACTGGGGTTTGTTGTACAGATTACTTCATCACTCAGCTATAAAGTCTAGTACCGATTGGTGACTTTTCCTGATCCTCTCCCTGCTCTAACCCTCCACCCTCAGGGATGCCCCAGTGTCTGTTGTTCCCCTCTACGTGTTCATGTGTTCTCATCATTTAGCTCCCACGTGTAAGTGAGAACATGCAGTATTTGGTTTTATGTTTCTCTGTTAGTTTGCTAAGGATAATGGCTTCCAGCTCCATCCATGTTCCTGCAAAGGACATGATCTCATTCCTTTTTATGGCTGCATAGTGTTCCATGGTGTATTTGTACCATATTTTCTTTATCCAGTCTAACCATTGATAGGCATTTAGGTTGACTCCATGTCTTTGCTATTGTCAATAGTGCTGCAGTGAATATATGCGTGCATGTATCTTCATGATAGAACAATTTATAATCCTTTGGGTATGTACCAAGTAATGGGATTGCTGGTTGAAGGTAGTTCTTAGCTCTTTGAGGAATTGCCACACTGCTTTACACAATGGTTGAAACTAATTTACACTCCTACCAACAGTTCATAGATGTTGCTTTTTCTCTGAAACCTCACCAGCATCTGTTATTTTCTGACTTTTTAATGATAGCCATTCTGACTGGTGTGAAGTGGTATCTCATTGTGGTTTTGATTTGCATTTCTCTGATGACCAATGATGTTGAGCTCCTTTTCATATGCTTGTTGGCTGTATGTATGTCTTCTTTTGAAAAGTGTCTGTTCATGTCCTTTGCCCACTTTTCAATGGGGATGTTTGTTTTTTCTTATAAATTTTTTTAAGTTCCTTATAGATGCTGGATATTAAACCTTTGACAGATGCATAGTTTGCAAATATTTTTTCCCATTCTGTAGGTTGCCTATTTACTCTCTTGATAGTTTCTTTTGCTGTGCAGAAGCTCTTTAATTAGATCCATTTGTCAACTTTTGCTTTTGCTGCAATTGCTTTTAGCATCTTTGTCATGAAATTTTTGCCCCGTTCCTATGTCTAGAATGGTATTGCATAGGTTGTCTTACAGGGTTTTATAGTTTTGCATGATTCATAACCTTTTTAAAGAGTAAACTTTTAGTTGTGCTAATTTTTATATTGTTTCCTATTGTTGTCTTTTCCAATACATGGGCACTTATCTTTATTATCATTTTCTTCCTACTTTCAGTGAGTTTATTATAGAATAATAGTAATATATGATACTATATATTTCTATGAGCTATTCTTTTGGTAGCTTCTAGAATGCATGAGCTCATTTTTAACAAGTATTTCTTTATAATATAAACACTTAATGTTATAGATTATCCACTAACATCTGCTTTAACTAAAATGCACAAGAGTTGATTTGTATGTTTTTATTATTGTTCCTCTTACTTTATTGTGATTTTTTTTCTGTTGCCTTTCAGTTATTTAGTTTCTAAATGGACAGGGTTTTTTCTTATCTAGTTAAATTTTATCATTGATTGCTAGTGTAATTGCATTTTTACCAGAAATAGTTATCTGTAGATAACAATTCTGTTTATTGGTATTTGCTTTTTTATTTCTGAATGTGGTCAATTTTTGTAAACAACCCATATGTGTTTAAGAGAATCTATGTTCTTTACTTGTAAAGTGTGATATTTTATATATGCCCAGGAATTAAATTTTATCATTTATATGAGATAAGATGTTGAACTAAAGCCTTGATAAGGGAGAAAGGAAGAGAATGTATTGGGGTGGTATTTGGAAGATTTTATTTGGTAATTAATTGGATGTTAAATATTATGGCAATTAAAAATCCAGGATGGTTTAACAATATTCTGACTTCGATTACTGAGTGGATTTAGATGCTATACGTTGAGATAGGAAATACAGGGAGATACGCTGGTTTTGTGGGAGATAAACTGGTTTGTGGGAGTAGAACAAAAAGTTGGGTTTTGACATGTTGCTTTTGAAATGCTAGTGTGTCATCCAGGTTAATATGTGTAGGAGACAGTTGAAAATAGGTATCTGTAATCTGGACTTGAACACTATTTCGGGAAGCATCTACATCAAGGGAGTAATTGCAGCCCAAGTAAAGTAGGTAAAATGAGAAGAGAAGGCAGCCAAGGACACACTTTGAAACCTACAAAAATGTATTATTATACATATTACCTCCTCACATGCCTTCCTATCTAGTATTTTACTGCTACATTGTCAAAAGCCAGTGATTATGTAAGTTGCTCTTGGCTGCCATAACTGACAGATTAAGCACAGACTCTCAGACCCCAAATGATTCTAGAGGCAGAGCATCCAAAGGTCTGTCCAGAGCAGCTAATAGCAGAGAATGTATCCATAAGCATGCTCCTACTGCTTTACCTTCTCTTACTCAGCATGTATAGCAGAGCCTGCTACTCACTACTAAGCAAAGGTGAATATAGGAAGGGCAGGGAGAATATGTGTTGGTGGAGGAAATGAAACTTGTTTTTGCCAAAATTGAGAGGGAAGAAAGTAAGAATCTCAGAAAAGAAGAATACTTCCAAATAAATGAGAAAATTGTTTGTGCTGCTTTAGACATTTTTAACTCCAGGATCTATAGCCATGAACCAAAATCAGCTGTTTTCATCCTGATGCAGAATCCACTGTGAGTGCCAAAGGCCCAGTAAGGTACCTGAAAGCGAATAATGGTTTTTCTCCATTTAACCATTGTTCTTTCACTGTCAACATTTCTCTTGATGCTGAAGACAAGAGACAGGAAACAAAATAAATGGAGCAGCCAACTTCTCTCCTTTTGGTTGTATGCCTGCTCATGTACCCTTCCATCCTTTCATGATGCAGAACATTAGCAAATATTGAGAGTTCACAAATCTCTGGTCTTTTAGCCTTAGGGTCAGAGTTTGTGGCAAAAGCTGACTCTGGTATCAATTAGCATTTTTTTTTTTTTTTTTTTTTTGGACAGTCTCACTCTATTGCCCAGGTTGGAGTGCAGTGGTGCTATCTTGGCTCACTGCAACCTCCGCCTCCTGGGTTCAAGAGTTTCTCCTGCCTCAGCCCCCCAAGTAGCTAGGGATTGCAGGCATGGGCCACCACACCCAGCTAATATTTGTATTTTTAGTAGAGTTGGGGTTTCACCATGTTGGCCAGGCTGCTCTTGAACTCCTGACCTCAAGTGATCCACCCACATTGGGCTCCCAAACTGTTGGTATTACAGGCATGAGCCACCACGCCCAGCTGAAATAGCAATTTAAACTTAAATGAAGCTCTTAGTTTTGTCCTGCCCCAGTTTCTTCATCTATAGCATTTGGACCTAGAGAATAATATCTTTAAGGTCACAACCCACACTGAAATTCTCTGATGTATTGAATGTAGGAAGACAGGTAAAGAAACAAATATCCTAAAAGCAAATAGTTAAGTGTAATTCTACATCCAAAATTATTTATCATGCTTACAGCACCACTGTGAGGACATGAAGGATTATAGTACATAGAGGCCATTCAACTTCTTTTTTCCTTCACATCTTAAGAAAGCAGGCCATTCCTAATGGTCATCAGGAAGACGATCTTTCAATTTGGAAACTGGGTCTGTCCCTCTGAAATAAATTAGATGTGAATAAATATAAACTCCGATGCCATTTTTAGAGACTTCTGTTGTCGACAGTAAGCACAATTTAAAGCAGAGCCAGATGCCATGTCCCCTTCTCAGGATATTTAAGAATCTAGATTGTTGCTGACTGTGCAAAGTTGATGTTTGGACTATGTATAGAGTTAGATACAAAATCATTCTAATCAACAGAATAAAACAGCATCACATCTAGATTTTATGGCAATTTGACATATAAGATTTAGTGGATGTGCAGGATTGAGATATTGGAAGAGTTAAGTCTACATCCCTTATTGAATACTCATTGTGTTCCAAGGACATGGTTTAAAAATAGGCATCAGGCAGTTATGTATACAAGGGTAATCACAGCTCTTATAATAATAGTTTTTTAAAGTACCTTTCTCTTATTCACCAAGGAAAGTAGACTTGGTGATTTATAGGAATTGTGAATGCTCTGCACTGCCTCATCTTTCCAAACTAAAGCATCCTTTCTTTATGTAATTCCTTTTCTGGAGTGTTTCCTAGGAAGGCAGTGCCCTCTGAAACAAACAGGTGTTAAAGAAAATCTGATGCAAATAAGGACTCCTGCTGCCACAGAGACACATGCTTTGTACCTATATAAATGCATTTCTCAGAAAGCTCTCACTGTTGAAAAAAACTGTTTGAAAGGAAGCCGAGCTAGCTAAAAATGTTATTCTTTGTACCCTGAATACATCTGCTTCTGTTTCAGATTGGCTGCCTTAGTTATGTGTGTGTGTTTAACATATTAAAATGAGGCTTCTTTATCCTTTTCCATGATTTCAGCACAATTCTCTCCTTTGAGTTCTGGATACTGAACTGATTTGACTATATTTATACTGTGGTGCCATCTGAGACACCCATGGCTGTACACGTTGATGCATGGCTTCAAATGGTCATTGCATGACAGCCCCTTGGCCACTGCAACCCAGACTTAAGTGTGCATGCTCATAGCACCCAAAGAGAATTTACCACACACTAGTCCCTTTCTTCCTTTTCTCGAACTTCCTTTGTGGCTATGTAGTGGGTGGTCACCACTGGAGATGCCTCACAACCTTCAAACAAGGAAGCACCATGCTCCCCATCCCCCATCTTTGAGCTTTCTGCTAAGTGAAGTCTGCCTGATTCAGTCATAGCCAGGGAGGCTGGACCATTGGCTGGGTACTAGGTGAGTCTCAATCTAATTGTATCTTGTTAAGATCAAAGAAATGTCTTTTGGGTGCATATATATATATATATATATATATATGCATCTTCATGCAAATGAGGCAATCATATATTGGTACTAAAGTGGACTGAGATGCAACCTCAATAGGTTGTTCAGATTTCAGCTGAATTCTCAAATCTACTTTCTTGGCTCTTCTGGAGATTCAGCTCTTTCTAGAAAATCCTTAGGATGCCCAAAACAAAAAGAAAAATCTGTAGGTGGCCCCAGAACAGTATTTCCCAAAGTGCACCTTATGGCTTGCCCTGATGAACACTCTGTAAAACAGTTCTATAGTCAAATAAATTTGGAGAACACATTGTCTTTATCTTTTGGAAATGTACAGCTCACATTAACATATGAAAGGTTTTAGGAACTCCTACAGTTGAAAAATATCTGTTAATTTTTTTAAATCCAGTGTTTCCTAAATTTATCTTGATGTAGAAACTATTTTTTGCATAGCATTTATCATCATCCAAAATTTGGGGAAACACTAAACCCTTAACACCCTGAGAATGAGCCAAGAGTTCCCCATTGTCCCAGGTTTCTGAATATAAATCCTTAAGCAGATGGTCTTTCTTGAGCTTATCCTAGCCCCTAGGACTTCCTCAGGAGGGATATCATGGACTAGCATTTTGGATCTGGAGTGAGATTTGAATTCAGCGTGGAAAGCTGAGCTGGCCAGAGCTCACGAACTGCTCCCACATGAAGCGGTATTTTGCCTGCCAACATGGCTTCTTGACATTGTTCCTCTCATATACCAAATTTGCCCTCCCAATTTAATTAACATAGGAAATTGGAGGTGGGAAAGCCAGTGATTTTTGCCAGAGGCACTTCTGAATCTGTTCTAACAGAAAGTGAGTCAGTGCTCATCTTTTTATTTTAAAGAAAGTCCAGACACTCTTAAAACACGTTCTATTTTTAACAAAACACTATTAAACTGTCACACACCCTTCTTTCTGTTTTCTTGTCCACCGCTGCTGATGGTGACCAAGATATTTGTATGGGAATAAAAGCTGTCTTCTTTATATTCAACTGACATCTCTACTTCCCTGATATTACTATTTTGCATTTCTATAGACTTTATCTTTCTGAAAGGCTTTACAATTATTCATTAGTTATTCCCCCCAGCTTCTTGATCAGGTAGAACACTATGGTTTACCACTTTTCCCATTTCATAGCCCTCCATTCAGTTCCTCTCCTCTTCTCTTCATGGAGAGAAGAGGGAGGTAAATAACTAAATAACTGAGGGCCTACTGTATGTCAAGCTTTTTTAAAAAAAATCATGTAATCACCATAATCCTCCAACAGTAATAAGATTTCTTGATGGAATTTAGTGAGTTTCATGCTGCTCTGCTTTTCTCCTTCCAAGTTAGCTATAGAGAAAATTATATACAACAACAACCCTGGCCAAATGAGGGGAAAAATGATCAGCTTTATTAATAGCTGGGTGAGCATCTAAGCAATACCTCCTCCCTCCCCCTGCCACACACATACCATAGCCGAACCCTACCCAGTTCAGAGATTCTCTGGTAAGGGTCACCAATGAGAAGCTTAATCTTGGAATCATAAGCGAGGCTTCTTATTCCTTCCCCATCAGCTAGCCTTCATACCTAAATGTCTAGGACTGCATTTACCCATCACTGACAGAAGAAAGGAGTGGGAATAGATACAACCCCAAAGGGCAGGCCTTGCTCAGAATGTGTTTCCAAGGAGGACAAGAAGTTCTCCATGCATGGGCACATTGGAACTTAGGAACCCATGTTCAGGGCATAGAAATCCTGCACTTATGAATCATGACCATAAAAAAAAGAAGCCCTCTTCCCTCAAATTTGAAAGTCCTTTCACTGAGGATAACAATGTGCGGACCACATGTAAAAATAGTAAAAGCTGCATACCATGAGACCAATTTAGAAAAATGAGGAGAACAGTAGAAATTATCCTCACTTCCTCAATACCTAAATCAATGGTATTGATTATCTACATTGTTTTGCAAATGAGAAAAGCAAGGCACAGTTTTGATTAAATGAATGGTACAAGTTCATAAAAGCCAGCAAGAGTCAGATCTCATTCTACACTGTTTTTGACAGTGCAGGATGACCCCAGTATCTTGGATCCAGAATCACCTGCCTTGCAGCTACTGATTTCATCTTTTTCTACTCTGATAATAATTTTTATCTCAGATACCACTATATATATCCACAAGGAGTATATTACACCTCACTCAACTACCTGGGAGTTGGCCACCTTATAACTACACCTACCTGGAACTGAGTAGCAATCAATTTCAGTTGAATATGTATGTGGCAAACTATTTTAACAGCTAAAGACCATTATTTTTAGCTACTAGTGTACTTTGTTCACATAAACCCTGTTTGGACCTTAAATTGGGTTTTTTGTTTACAAACAATCCTAAGAACTGGATTTATTTCCTTGCTGTCTTATTTATAAATCTTAGCAAGGGGTAGAGAATTTTAGAAAAATTAGAAAGGAGAAAGAATAACAGTTAATAGCTTGACTGGGGAGAAAACATAAATGACAACATAAAAACATAAACAACAAAAGCAGATGCAAAAACTTAAAGCTCACACAAGCATAGGTACATTTAGTGAAATGGCAAATAGCCCAGCAGATGTTTCAGTTAATTTTAATGGTATCAATGTTGTACAACAATAGATGTTCATAATAATAAACTTGGCTCTTCAGGGAAAAATAAATAGCAGTGTTTTCTTTTTGAAATGGCAAGAATATATGTGTGACACATTTAAGAAAGATTTTCATCCCTAGAAGTTAGAATGTAAAATGTTTTACTACTTAAAGAGGTAACCCCTCAACAATTATGAAAACAAACAAAACATTTCTCTACAGAATAAATCATTTCCAAGGAGCCCTGGATAAATATGGTCTTACAGATACACTTTGTATTCTGCCAGGAATAAATACAATGAAAGGAAATCACAAATTTGTCACATATTCTTCTTATGTATTAAATGCACTCATCCCTCCTCATCATACTACTCTCCTTCCATTCCATAGATCCGTTCAAAGAAATATTTCCCCTCTTGATGCACTTCCAGCAAAGGGGTCTTATACTGAAAAATTATTTGTTTTTACCTGAAATTCAAATTTAGCTGGGCTGTTTGTATTTTTGTTTACTAAATCTGGAAACCACACTCAGGAAGTTCTAGTAATCAGCCAGTTTGTGAAACCAACAGCGTTTCTGCCATCCCTGTGGAGACCCTTGCTCCCAATACCCAAAACTTGCTAGGAGTCAACTGACCCCATCTGTTTGGTCCTTTAATGAATGTTTGGTCTCTTGCCTGTCAGTAGAAGAGCTTTGACCAACAATACCAAAATGATACATCCCTAAAGTCTTCAGTGATTTTTCTGTCCAGCCTCTAAACCCTCACAATTCACAGTCAAGAGATTGAACTGCTCTGATAACAAGAGCTGTGACTAAGAACCATGGAAGAACAATCTGATAGTTAAAGGACAAAAGCCTGCATTTATACCTGATGATTCTGGTAATTGTCAATGGGAGGGAAGCATAGCAAGAATTTTTTAACAGGCCGTGAATAAACACATCTTTTTTTTGTTTGTTTGTCTGACTTTAACAAGGTGTATTAACCCTTAATTTTTCTTCCTTTTTATTCTCTATTCATCCGCATTTGGTTCTCTTGAGAATAATGAAAGGAAATCAAAGTGCCTTTGTGAGTTTTGACAGCCAAGTGCAAATAGATTGATTAAAAACATGGTGTTTCTTTTTAAAATTTAAATAAAGGAGAGATTTGTGGGTAATATGCATAATATGTGTTCACTGGTAACAAGCTAGCAGTGGGAAGAGGGAGGAAATATTGAGGCACCATCAGTGTTGTTCTGCTTTTAAGCACAAGATTGATTTTAAATTTTTCCTGCGTGTCAGTTTCATTACAGGCAAATTAATTCTTTCAGTGGCTTGAGATTTTTTTCTGAACATCTCATGGAAAAAAATATGTTATCAGTGGTTTTCATTTTTCATGAACAATGCATTAAATCTGAATGCTGAATTAGTGGGCTTAACTCAGAAGATGGTATTTCTGAATAAGATGGTCTGCCAAAGAAGCCATTTTCTTCTTACTTTATTATGTTTTCTTCATCCCCAAATTCTAGCATAAAGGTAGAGAGCTCAGAATGAGTTCATTCTCCCATCTCACTCACATGGTGTTTTAATAGAAGAGTATTCCTTCATCCAGAGAGTACCGAGGGTCTTGGGCCAGTTCATGCATTGTGAGCACATACTTTATTTCCCTTTGCCCTTTAGGTGTTGCATGTAAATAGGGACAAAAATGCTAATAGAAGGAAGTATTAGGATATAGGCAGTGGCCAAAGGCAAGGAATTGTTAGTGGTGAGTAAAATGTTAAAGCTCTATTTGACAAGTCAGAGATCTGGGCAAGGTTACCCTGGATGAAAATAGGTGCACCATAGACTTTTGTCCAACCAGGCTAGAAGACAGATGGTCTAAATTCTTGCAGTATGGTTGATGGAATAAAGAGTTATGCGTATTTATCTAATTCAAATAATACTGCAGAATAAGATTGTCTAAATTAAGAGTAAGAAAGTGAAAAGGGAGAAAGCAGACATGAAAAGGAGGTTTGACCTGTGTGACACAGGAGGGGTCAGAAGCTGAAAGGGGATTTGAAGTGATGACAATCTGTCTGCCAGGAGACAGTCTTGCAACTGGGTCACATGGCTACGGAGTATGCATGTTGATTCCCAGCACGGTCATCTATCTCGATTCTGTGGTACCTGAAAGTTCTATAATTTGTAAGTCCTCTCGAAAAGAAGAACACAAATTGGGTGTAAAAGTCCATTTTTATTTAGAGTAAAAATAGAAGTTAAACATAAAATCGAGAGAATGTTACCATCATTTTATGAATTAATTGCCTGATATACATCTAATACTTTTATTCCTGATTTTTTCGTTTGAACATTTTTGATTGCTTCTTCATAAGACTACACTTTTATAATATTTTATAGAGCAAATAAAGAGACAACTCAATTTTTCTCTACTATGATTGATCAAAAATTGTATGTTAAAATTGATAGTTTTAAAAGGTCCTTTGATTTTTATAATTCTTCCTGCCAATATTATGCAAATGTTTAGGACTGTCATCAATTTGGGGAAAAAGAAACCTCTACTGAGACTCTTCTGTATATGAGCTACAACAGCTAAGTGCATTTCAAGTTTTCTTTTGTGCTGATCACTCTTAAATATTATTTGAGTTGACAATATTCATTAACCAGTTTGTCGTCAGAGTTCTCATTCTAGTAGCAAGCCAAAAGTTATTTATTCTTGTTGATTTCTTTATTATACTTTAGGTTCTGGGATACATGTGCAGAACGTGTAGGTTTGTTACATAGGTATACACAGGCCATGGTGGTTTGCTGCACCCAACAACCCCTCATCTACATAAGGTGTTTCTCCTAATGTTATCCCTCACCTAGTCTCCCACTCCCCGACAGGCCCCAGTGTGTGATATTCCCCTCCCTGTGTCCATGTGTTCTCTTTGTTCAGCTCCCACTTATGAGTGAGAACATGCAGTGTTTGGTTTTCTGTTCCTGTGTTAGTTTGCTGAGATTTTTATGTTTTGTATAAAGTTGATAAGAAATTTAAGTATTTCCTGATTGATACAGTGAGATTTCACATACAGCTTCACATACTCCCATACCCAATATTTGTAGTTCTGTGACAGATTTCTGCCCTAAAAAGAGATTCTGACAAATGCCATTTCACACAGTTTAAATTAAAATAATATATATTATATATATAATATAATTGATGTATATTATATGCATACTCATATATACTACTTCATCAAGTATATTCCTGAAGGTAAAGTTTTTCCATTTTGATGATAGCTATATCCTCTGTTTATAATTTTTCAAATATTTTATTGAAGTATATACATACTAAAAAGTGTCTGTTTTAATTGTATGGCTCAATGAACATTCACAAATATATAGCATGACACTGATATCCAGATCAAGAAATAGAACACTACTAGCACTCCCGAAACCCCCCTTATGCTTTCTTCCAGTCCCTACCTGCTAGAAGGGTAACCCCTGTTTACCTGCTTTTGTACTTGACATAAGTGGAATCATACCTATAATACTTCTTTTTGTGTCTGGCTTCTCTCACTCAACTTAGTGTTTGTGATATACACATAGTTTGGATAGTTTATCTTATTCTGTATGGTTTTCCAATGTGTGAATATACCACAATGTTTAGAGTCTATTCTACTATTTATAAACATTGGGTGGTTTCTATTTGGGGACTATTGTAAATAGTGCTGCTGAGAATGTCTTGGACATGTCATTTAATGAACATATGAACCTGTTTCTGTTGGTTATGATGTTTTTAGAAGTGGGATCACTGGATTCTAAAATATGTAGCTATTCTGCTTTAGTAGAGTCTACCAAATAATTTTCCCAAGGGTTTGAACCATTTTGCTTAAAATTTACAGGTCTGATGCTTGGAAGAATTTTTCATTGACCAGCTTCTGACTTTATACATTTTATCCTCTGCTACTCTTATAATTCTTGTACTGGGTAATCTAAGACATGTTCATATCATATTACAACCTTTGTTCCTGCAATGTTAAGTGATATAGTACAGTGAGAAGTAAGTACATTCCAGCACTGGGGTACTAATAATAACTTACCTATTCAAAGAACCGACTGTGAACATCATAATCATATCACTTTCTACTTAACTATATGCAGAACCAACTGAACTTCCCTTTAGCAGGATTCCCAAGATAACCGAAGCCACTAAAATGCCACCTACTACCAGGAGAAGTGTGATGGAAGAGAAGAGGGATGGTGGGAGGCAACAACTCTAATCCTGTGATTAAAATATCATATTTTTGCAAAATTTACAAAACTCTGACCAAATTGAACAAATAGTTAAGGGCTCTCCTGAGTGGTTTGGAATAGGGCCTTGGCAAAAGACTGGCCCTGAAGCTGAAGCTTCATTAGACTATTCATTTTCTGTTGCTTGAACCCTGCCATATAACAAACAACTATAAAAACTCATTGGCATTCAACAATAAGCATATTGCTCATGTGTCAGCACTGATGGTGGGCCAGGTGACTGCTGATCTCACCTGAGATCACTCATATGTTGTGAGGTCAAATGATGTAGGAAGGCTTTGACTGGGATGACGTGGCTCAGCTCTTCGCATGTCCTTTATCTTTCATCAGGCCAGCCCAGGCTTGTTTCTTCTCATGACATTATCAGAGAGCATGAGAAGAACAAGCTCCAGTGTGCATGCCCATTTTAAGCTTCTGTTTATATCACATTTACCAGCATCTTGATGGGTACAGCAAATCACAAGGCTGAGCCTAGAGTCAGAAGTGGGAGGGGCCTACAAACTTCCATTGCAATGAATATGTATACATGGATGGAGGAAGACTGGGGCTGTTCCTGACATTATGTCACAACAATGAGGTATCCAGTAAATCTGCCTCTGGTTCCCAGCCTTCCCTTCACATATAACTGAAAGTATTGTTAGGGGTAAGCTACAGTTGAGTGAGCAAAGTTTACAGAAGGCAGAAGTATAGTACAATTTGTGTCATAATGGAAACACTCCTTATCAACCTTATTCCTAGCTAAGCCTCCCACAAACTTTTTCCCATCAGGGCACACATGGAAAATGTCGGTATTTTTACAGGATACTGAAATGGGATGCTCATGATGCAATGCAAATTGGATAGATCCTCTAAGGGCTGAGGATCCCAATATCTCTATATATCTAGGATGAATTCAGACTGAGACTGCCCTGGCTTTCACCACAATAGCTATCCTTTGGCTGCATGAAACTCTTTTCACATAGAAGCACCTCTGGAATGATGCAACATAAGCCTCATCAGTCAATGAGTACATGAAGGCTTACTGGCTACATCTTTTACTGAGGTGTCATTTTCATTTGTTTTGTTTCCTGGGAAAAAGGGAAACAGAAACAGGCGAAGAGTAGGAGAATATGTGTTTTGCAAATGTAGAGAAGAAAGAATGGATAGAAAGTGAGAGGACTTAGAAGGCAAATCTCTCCCATAATTCAGATTCAACTTCAACCGGCTGTGAGAACATCTTATTCTTAACTGGAAAAGTAAGGAATATCATCATTCCAAACTAGTAATGTGGTCTGTAAGAGAGGCTTAACCTGAACTACTAGTTCCATGTTGATTAATAGACAGATTAGAGATAATAGAGGAGTAAATTGTGCTTGTTGGATTATCATGTAGAGTTACATGACTATTATATGACATATAGTTACATGACTATATGACTATCTGTTAGGTCACTGTAATTTTAGCTGGTTGATGCTCCGATATTCTTTGTACAAGTTCAGAAACTTGTTTGCAAAATGTCCCAGAGAGATCACATTAACATTGTCTGTATTGAGCCAGCATATAGAGCCGTGGATGCTTTTGAGATTTAGGAATTCATGTAAAATCTTATTTTAACCAACCTGAAAAGAAATCAAAATTGCTGTACTGAACTCAAATCTCATTAAAATAGAAGTTTACTGCTATAGAGAATGAAGGGATATACTGTTTATTGAGTTTTTTATTTGTTTACATAAAACAAGTGTTAGGTATGCAGTGTCTGCAAACAATAACAAATGGGAGAGTTGCAAAAGAGTGTGTTTTTGCTAGTTCTGAGGGAGTAACTAAAATTATCTCTTCCACTGTTACTATATTTAAATGCAATATAAGATGCTCTTAATATGATTTGTATGTTTTTCGCATTGTTTTAGTAGTGATGGAAGCACAGACAGGATTCGTTTTGCGGTGCTCAATTTTTAGGACTATGTCCTAGCCTTGCAGAAATGCCTAAACACAGTCATTAATGCCATATTGTTTATAGAGAATTCAGATATAGTAAAGAGGAAAACTTCTCTTATAGGGTTACCTTATAGAATTACAGACTATTAATCTCTAAGGTCACTGCTAGTTTTTACTCTCAAAGGTCATTCCGCTGATACTCCAATGCCATCTTCTCCATTTATGTTATACATAACTGGGGGCCAAAGCAGGACTGAAAACCAGTCCTTCTGAGATTTAATCCAGTGCTGTGTTCATATTAGAAATATCAGTTTTGCCTGGACTTGGATCTACCACCAGACTCTACAGCATGACTCCCCTCTCAAGTTCTTAAGCCTTACCTAAATATAACCCCAATTGGAGCACCAGAATCCCAGTTTCATTCTTTAGTAACCCCTGCACACACACAGGCAAACACACCCATTCTTATGAGTTCATAGGTCTCTGAAAATTCACCAACACATCACCCAGCATAAGCGCATTTAGATTACAGATATTCCACTTCAAGTTTTATACTTAATTTCAAAAGAGTAGTATTTTCGTTAGGTAGAATGACAACTAACTTCATTCATATCCAGTTTTTAAACACAAGGAACCTTGCCCATCTTCAGGCTCACCTTTCCATTCCAGCCCTGTACTGGATGAAAAGGACCCCAACTTCCTACCCAACTGGAACATGTGTGCTCTGAGTGCTTTAGAGAGAGGGAGAACATTCACAGGAATCTCAACAGATGGCGTAAACAAGGCATGGTTCCACTTCACTGGCTTTCTTTCCCTTCCTGTCCATTCTCTCTGCGTGGTTGAAGAAAGAGCCTACCCCTGAGAGGGACTAATATCTTTAGGGTTGGTATAGGGGGCTGTCTCTTTTTCCTCAGAATTTACTTCTTCTAGCCACAGACTTAGAATAGACTAGGATTCCATTCTAAATAATCTCACCAGCCAAATTTGCCACATAGTTGACTTTCCTCTTTTCTGCACTTATTATACTTCCAAACAGTCTGAGATCAGGATAGTAGATGGGAAGGAACTAAGAAGAAAAAATAGAAATTTGTTCAATATAGGCACTCCCTGGGAGAATTTTTGAAAACAACAAAAAGAAGGGTTATGAGCTTCAAGAGACCAAGCAATAAGTGTGGAAGTCTGGTTCTCAGAGAAAACAGTGGACCAAACATTGGAGTGGATTCGGATCAGTTTGAGTATATCCCTAACTTCTTTTTGAAAATGTAATTGGAAGGTGTTGATTTAAGACTGAAAATGGAGATGCTTGGAACTCTGGACAGCATGGGGGATGATTTATACCAGAAGACTGGGTATGATGTGAGGTCAAATGCTGTGTAAAGTAGTGGAGAGGTGTTAAAGAGGTAATTAACAACAATATTCCAAGTAAATCTAGGTTTGGGAGCATATGGGACTAGAAGCAAAAGAAAAGGCCTGGGGTGGTTATAGAAAGATAAACAGCAATGTATTAAGGGATGGATGTTTTTCTACAGTTATGTTAATGACAAAATAATTAATTGACACTTAAAAAGCATTTACTTATTTTAGTCTTGTGGTGGTATTTCATGGTTTATGAGAAGAAAATGGAACAATGATTTTTATGCTGCTTTCTAAATCAAAGTAATTGTATATATAAATAGTTATACACACATACCCACACAAGTAAATGTATTTTGAGTGAGAATATAAAAGGACAACTATTTGCCTTACTCATCAATGCCTGACATAAATTCAATCAGTGACAAGATGAGGTATCACTGTACTTTGCTAAAATGTGTCCACTATTTAGCCATTGAGACATGGGGATCTGACCTCCTTTACTGCCCGTCAATAGTTTGATTTTATATTTAATGGTAAAAATATGTTAAAATACATATTACTTCAGACATATCAATGAATACTTCATTCTGCGGTCTTTAAGTGGGATTATGCTCTCACTGTAGCCAGGTGAAGCAGATTCTGTGACTTCCCAAATCTCCCCAAGGTCGCCTGCTCTAAATTTCTACCTATTTTCTTCCCACTGCTCCTTGTCACTAAAAATATTGTGGATATATATAGATACCCAATGCCTGCTAAACTGATAATTCATTAAATGACAGGGTGGCCTCAGCTTCTGCCTGTGGCTCTGAAAAACGCATTTCAGAAAATGTTTAATCCACATCTTATCTCTGTACCCCAACAAATTAACAGAGAAACAGGTTAAATGTAATTAAAATATGCATCTTCCTGCATGAATTCTTTCAATATAGTTGTTCTACTTAATGCAAAACCAAAAGAGCAACATTTGAGTCAAATAAATTATTAAACGGCAGACACTTGTTGAAGTATTTCATTCATTTCATCAAGAGCAAGGTAGTGGTCTTAATATGCAGAACTTTGTTATTGCTAGTTATTAAAATATTTCTTTACTTTGATTTCATATTATAAGATAAAAATTACAGCTGTTCTTACATATGCATAAATACATAGACATAATAAAATTATAAAATGATATATATAATGGGAAAGAGAAAAGTTGCTCTTACATAGTCACCCCTCTAATCATAATCAGTCTCACCATAGAATATTTATTTAATATCAGAAAGTATTAAGAGTCACTTGAAAAAAATGAATTTGCTAAAACATGAAAATTATTTAGGCTTTCCTGTTTAGATAGGCTATTCCTTTGTCCCATGTTTTAAGGTCAAGGGGGTTCAAAGAAAATCTGTTGTTCTAATATCGAGAACATATAAAATGCCTTGTATGTTAATTATTGCTGATGCTGGCATAGCATTTCATATTAGGTCTCCGTCATGGGAGAATAGTTTTTAAAAAATAATTAAAGTTGAGCATGTTTATCCAAGAGAACATTATTGCTGAACTCTGTTTACATAAGCAGCAATGAAACACTCAACCATTTGAACAAAAAGAAGTAGACTTGGTATCTCAAGGTGGTTTCCAATTTCCAAAATACAGAAAAAAAGATAACACATTGTTAACCTAAGATGATATCCCATTCTCAGAAACAACTGCTCCATTTCATCTTGGGCCATAAGTGAAGTGGGTTTGTGGAAATGCAGCTTTAGCCTATTGAGCTGGCTCTATTTTCCCACTTTGTTCCTGACAAACACTCAATAAAGGATAAGGACTAGATTAGCTAGAGGCACTAAAGTCAGAAGTGAAAGCACCAATAACAATTTTGTTTAGGGAAAACCTAGGAATAAAATACTTACCAGTATTTCAAGTCTGAAAGAAAAACATGGAGAATTTAGAGTTGAGTTTTGGAATTTTGGAACTTCATTTGCTTGGATGTAGATTCTTTCAACTAAATAACCACCTTTTGTTGTTCTGATTTTAAATAGTGCATATTGTCATTTACATCACTGCCACTTGAAGTGTAACCCATGGACTGGGTCATGGCCAATTGGTAAACTATTAACAGTTCACAATAAGATAAATATAGAAATTAAGAATACATGTTTGGATAAGCATACATACCTCGTGCACTGTTTAATTTTATGTGTCAGTTGGACTGGGCTTAGGGGTACCCAGATAGCTGTTAAAACATTTTTTTCTGAGTCTGTCTGTAAGGGTATTTCTAGAAGACATTAGCATTTGCATTACCAGTAAAGAAGATGCCTCCTCACTGATATGGATTAGTATGAAAAGGCAGAGGAAGGGCAAGTTCTTTCTTTCTCTTTTTTTGAGCTTAAACATAGCTGTTCCCTTGTCCTCAAACACTAGAACTCCTGGTTCTCTGAAGCACAGAGAGAATCTGTGCTCTCAAACAATAAGTCTTTGCCAAAGACTTAAAGAAACCAATTAACCATTAAAAGTCATATCTGGATAGACAAACCTCTGTTGCAGATGAAAATTCCAATGTTGTCTTTTATTCAGTGCTTTAAGAGGTCAAGTACTCACTTTGTAGTTTTGGGGATCATTGGGCAATGGTTTTTTTTCAGGCTCTCCAGCCTTAAGAGAGCTGTCCGTGGTACTGTTTCAGATCCTGGTAGCATTAGCCTGCATGAGTATTGACTCTAACTTAAGCCTTGCCATTTCTAAGTTGTTTCCAGTATTCCGATTGATAAGAAGCATCTAAATGCTTCTTGATTGATAAGAAGCATCTATCTTGCTTTATGCAGCAGATACTTGTCCCCCCACCCACCCCCACACACACAAAAGTTGTTTACCTTTCACATTGACCTCTGCTGATGACAGCATGAATCCAGTCTGGATTCTGACCAGCTGCCCAAGACTTTAGCTGATATTAAACTTACCTCTTTCAGTCTGTCCTCATATTTTGTTGGTCAATATAACCTAGCTTCCCCACTAGTCTTCTAGTTTTTCTTCAGAACTAATAACCATGAAATTGTAATATAGAAGGGAACTGAGATTATCTCTCCTGGGCACATAGACAATCTCATAATCATAATGAACCTTGGATCTCTGTCACTCCAACTGTCCTTTTTGCAGTTTCCACACTTACAACTCTTAAAATTCTTTAACACAAAATAGCTTCTGTTGTGTATAAATCTCTCTCCTAAAGAGGAATGAAACACTGAAGGACAGGAACAGACAAACGCAAATTCTGCCTTTTTCCCACCCAGAACACCAGCCACATGGCACTGCACATTGCAGGTGTTAAATTTAAGTACTTGTTGAATGAGTTTGCATTATTCTTGCACTTCTCCTTCTCATTTGTGTTTTTCCCTTCCTCTTCACTTCTGTAAGTTCCCTAAATGTTTTTACTTGGATTATAAAGATACCAAGTTCAATTTTATATATTTAATATACTTTCTTCTGTGAACGCCTTTTTTAGTATTTTGTACATACTACCTATTAATGACATTTCTTTTCAAAATCAATTTGCCTGACCTTTGAAGAGTGCTTCCTTACACTCCACATCTAAAGGAATACCTCTTTTATTACATTTGCTATATGCAGAATATACTTGTGTTTCTTATAATCATTCGTGTTTATTCTTTTTTATGTTATTGACTTCCAGGTCCATCTTGTTAGTGAATATGTGTGTTTGTTAGATTGTTTTATCCTCTGCTAAAGCGTGTATATTTCAAAGCTCAATCTTATTTTAGATGACTTCTGCTCGTATTTGTAAACTTGTTGGCATTCCTTGCATTGTTTTCTGTTCCCCGATATTTGCAATATCTTTACATCCAGTGCCATCTGCGAGCCCTCCGTAGTCATCTTCTATACAGTGATGAACCTTATAATAGACTCACTAGAGAGATCACCAGAACCACATCTCTAATCGTCCATGATCAACCTTTACTAATTGCCAATCCAACAGCATTAATTTCAGATTGAATTTGAATTGAATTAGAATATTTAATGTCTATTTTACATTTATTGAAATTCAACTATGAGTTGCCCTTCGTTGCCTTTTATTACTTCCTTAGAATTCTGTCCATCTTAAAGCTATCAGAAATGATGTCCACCATTTGTTCTTCTCGAGATAATATTGCTTACCTGTCATCTTGATGTTTAAGATTGTTCTCTAAGAACATCTGTTCCTTTCAAAAACTGCTTAATTCAGCCTCCAAAATCATTCTCTTTATGTATTATGAAGATTAGTTCCATTCACCCATTATTACTACATCTTTTATATATACATAGAGCTCTCTCTTTTCTTCATCCCTTTGCAAAAATCAAATTCAATCACTGTGACACCCTACTATCAAGTCAATTGTGGGCATCATAGTCCCAGAATCATTGATTTGTTAATGTTCAAATTTTCCAATTACTACATTCTCTGCTTTTAGAAGCTGTTTTTGCAGAATCTTAATTATATCCTAATCATACACAGTAATTGTTTTCTTATTAAAGCAAGATTTAAGAAATTAGTTGAGTTTCTTAGTTTGACTTATCATTAATGTCTTTCATTTTTTTCTATTCCATTCACTCTCTTATTTTATCTTTCACTGTGTCCCCTCATAAGATAAAAATATTTCTTTTTACCTTTAGCCATCTGTGCCAAATCCTGATTCATTCTTCTTTTGTAAGGTTCCATTTTTTCCTATGGTATAATACCCTACCATTTGTGTATAAATACATCTACAGTAATGCATAAAAAGAGAACAGGCAGGATTACTCCCCTTCACTAGATTTAGATCTGGGATTCCTACAGATGTGGATTCAATGGTTGCTTGAGGACCCAATCAGTTACAACTTGAACCTGATTTCCATGCATCTACCATCTATATACACTGCCTACATTATATACACTGTCAGCTCAATAATATGCCCATCCCTTCCAGTGCATTCAGAGTGATTATTGCGTATTTTCCAACCCTGGTTCCATCAAAATATATCACATTAGGACTACTGTTTCAACCTCCCTGAGGACCACCACTGGCCAAGTGCAGGTTGGCACTAAGGCATCTACATCTACTAAGGCTCCTCTGTGTTCCTTATTATTGATCCTCACTCTCTGTTCCCAATCACTTTTTCTTCTATTTACCTTTCTGTTTATCTTCTCACCTCCTTACCTTTACACTTCCTATCCCTTTTAGTCACTTCCCTGTTCTCTAACCCAAATGTGTTCTAATAGATGGCAATGTACAAAATCCTCTGTTTAATCAATGTGTTCCCCAGGCCTACCCCGTTGCCTTCTTGTTACCAGTGGCAATTGATGAAATAAAGTTTTAAGAACTGAGAAAAATATAAATAATGCTTTGGAATTTAGTGGAACAGGAATTGACCCCTAGTTCTCTTTCTCCTTCAATCTATCTGCTTCATTCTCTCTGCACAAATTCTTCCATATAGTTATCTATATGGAAGATTGTAACTACAGTATCTATAGTATCTACAGTAACTATAGTTAACTATCGTCCAGATAGTTATCTATCACATAACCTGAGCATAAGGATACAAGTGGGGGAAAGCTGCTAGGGTTTTGTTTTGTTTTTTATCAGCATGAGGTAAACTTGGCTGGATGGAGGAATTGGAGCCAGCTTGTTACAACCATAAAAACAGGTATAGGAGTCCAAAAATAAGAATGGGGTGAGGGTGAGAGATGAGGGAGAGAAGATGCCAGAAAATTCCTTTGGTATCAATGCATTATCCAGTAAAGTAGTCCTTTCTTTATGTCAATGTGACATATGAAAATTCATATTTCAAAACAGATGAGTTTAGTGATTAATAATTCAGTTTATGGAAAAATTAACAAGAGTACTTAAATAGTATACTCTCTTATGCCATTTCAAATATGAGTCTATGGGAACTCTATTATGCAAATTTTTAGGAGAATGGCTCTTGAATAAAGTAAGGTATATCAAAAATGTATGGATTCAGAGAAATTGGAAATTGTGAATCAAGAAAACCACTTATTATTCAGCAGTTACTGAATCAGAATGTATCTGGAAAAATTCAGAAGGAAACCTCAAGCCCTTGAATGAAGGGACAATCTTATTGGAAAGATTGTCTTATTTATAAAAGTCTTAAAAAGATCCTTGAGCAAAAATCTTATTAAAATATTTAGCCCTAGTCCAGCACCTGGTACAAGGTGGGTAGTTGTCTTAGGTCAGATTTCTTAATTACAGAGCCTGAGACAGTGTGTTAGGTGTATGTGAGTTATTGAGGAGTGTTGCTCAGAAAAACCTATAAGCAGGAGAGAAGTGGGATAGGAAAGAGGAAAGGTTCAAAAAAGAATATTGCCTTAGGAAAACTCTCACCTTGTCCTGATACATGGTGATGCTCTATATTGTAAATAGCACTGCAGAGTTTTCTCACCTTGAGACAAGGGGCTTCACTTTTTAAACCTTGAAACAGTCTATCATTAATCACTTGGGAGCAGGGAAATTGTAACCAGCCAGGAATTTCTGGACATATTGGCTATCATCCACCAGCAATTCTCCAGAGAGGGCCCCAGGTGGATGTTACTAATCACAGTTCTAAGAACAGCTGAGAGACAGGTGCACGTTCAGGAAAGGGAATCTGGACTGGGTATTTAAGGCATCTACTGCAATAATCAATAAATATTTATTAGATGAGTGAAGGGATGGGTATGACCCAATCTGACTCTAAAACAAATTCACATTTTATGGGAAGGATGATATTTTCCAATTTGTCTTTATGGCAATGAATCTTATTCAACACACTGCACATATCCCATCTGGCTTAATCAGTGTCATTTTAGAACCCACACTTAAGTAGCAAGTGAATATAAACAACCGCCAAGTCCAAGAACACAACCAGTCAAGAAGCAGTAAAAGGATGCTTGCTCTTAATATAGCTCTTATTGACAAGGAAGGCAACACTATTCATAAGCAACTGTATGGATGAGATGATTAACAAGGTCGGTGGAAGAAATACTAACCTAGCACACTGCAAGGCTGAAAACAATGCAGAATGACTCTATAATACTCACAAAAGAATTGGAAATACAGAGTAGACAAGTAACATCCAAATATGGATTGCTTTTTCTAAATGGGTCCAAGCTAGTCCTCAAATGTTAGAAGGCACAGGTGTGACAATTTGATTTACTAATGCTCAGGAGGTTTTCAAGAGTGTCCAGGCTGGCAAAGAGCAATGGTTATGTGCATAACACTTTTCATGAACATGGTCACATGCCACCCTTAGCGGCAGCAGCATTTATGAATGCAAGTGGCAAACTGTAAAAACACTACTTGTTGAAGTATGATATTAATAACTTGGGTGTAAGGATGACAGATCTTACTGGAAATGGCACATAATGGCACTATGTACAGTATTTTATTTATTTATTTATTTATTTATTTATTTATTTTTGAGACAGAGTTTTGTTCTATTGCCCAGGCTGGAGTGCAGTGGCACAATCGGTTCACTGCAACCTCGGCCTCTTGGGTTCAATGGATTCTCATGCCTCAGCCTCCCAAGTAGCTGGGATTACAGGTGCCCGCTACCACACCTGGCTCATTTTTTTGTATTTTTGGTAGAGACAGGGTTTTACCATGTTGGTAGGCCGGGCTGGTCTCGAACTCCTGACCTCAAATGATCTTCCCGCCTCAGCCTCCCAAAGTGCTGGGATTACTGGCATGAGCCACCACACCCAGCCTATGTACATTATTTTAATATAGCAGATTTTTAATGTTTAGGCCTCAAAGTAACCATGATCTTTTAATCTGATTTTCAAACTTATTAAAAATATTCTCTATTTACTCAGTGGTTACATTAATTTTACTCATAATCCTGACCTTATGTTTTCCCAGTGATTTAGAAGTTTTGGTAAACAAACAGAATTTTCAGCGTAGTCCTTTATTAAAATAGAGACCCTGGGATATTAAAGTTGTTTTCAAGAGCATCTCAAGAGGAAAATTTGGTTGTCAAATATTTATATTTGTTGGTGCCCTTTGATTGTAAACAACAGAAACTAACTCGCCTGACAAAAGGCAAAACAAAATTTAAGAATTTGAAGTAAATTATAAATTTAAAGGAAAAATGGAACAATATATTCTTTATAAGGCAAAATAAGGCAACTCTTAAGAAGGAGTTGTTTGGGGAGTTTCTCTATAACATGATGCCATTAATGAAACTCGTTATCTGAGACACTCCATTCAAGTTTCACATTTCCAGGAGAGAGTTTTATTAGTCTAGCCTAAGTCATTTTTCTCTCTTGGATCAATCAGTGTGTCCAGAGAATAGTGACACAGAAATGGTCACCGGAGAAATCACTGATATCCACTCTGCTATCCCAGTGTATGTTGGTTTAGGCATTAGAGTTTGTCCTTGGAATATCTGTTGCATTCAGTGTATTCAAATCTGTAAGATCTTTTTATTTTTACCTTTGTGTTTCTTTGCTGGTTCTTAATTCTTATACCTAATTAGAATTTTTTTCAATGATAAATTGAATGAATTCAGATTCACAAACACCAAGCTTATGTTTTATGCTAACATTTTAAACTCACATTAAGGGTTTTGATCTGTGATATAGGGATTACCATAAAAATTTTTAATAAAGAACCTGAAAAGGAAGGCTATATTTGTAGTACCCAGGGCTTATATCCCATGGCTCTGAGTTTTACCCAGGCCTCTTTTGTGAAAAGTTAGTCTCTTTCTTAATAAGATGCCATTATTTCTCATCTACACATTGGCTTAGCCAATTAGCCAATTTTAAATTGTTCAGGGGTAACTACTAGTCTTAAAATTGTCACTCAACTGTGAGCCCCTGAAGGACAAGAACCCTGCCCTCCATTGGTACAGCCCATGCTTAATGGAGCATGTTATAGGCACTAATGATATGTTTTCTTGATGGATGAGTGAATGACTACGTCTCTTTCTACCTTCTAATGTCAGCTTTTTATTTATTATTTACAGTATAAACCAATACATACAACATCTATATAAATTTATAAAACCCATATTAGTCAGTATTTCCACCTGATATAACTAATAAATGTTTCAGTGACTGGAGTGGAACTTGAAATTCTTTACTAGTATAAAGTTTAAACTTTATCTTTGGGTTTTATTTGTGTATTTATGATATTCCAAGTCTCCAATGGCTTGGGTAATTTGAAATTGACAATTTCCATTAATATTGTTAAATGTACACATTTGTAGATCTGTGTCATGGGTAACAGAAAAGGGTAGATAAGTGTATCTTCACAATAAATCTGAACCCATTTACTTGCTTGGCTGGATTTGTACTTCTTGGATCATAAAATTTGTCCTCTGTAAGCCCAAGGAATGGTAATAATGACATAAACTTGACTGAACTTGCAGCCCCAAAGGCATGAGAGTGATTATGTAGGGCCTATTATAAATTTGCTGTCATGTAACTTTCATCAACATTTTGAGACATGTGTCCTGCAGCTTTGGAGTAATGTATTCAACTTACAGACATGGCAAATACCAAGGCTTCAGAAGCATCAGTCTCCACTACTCAAGTTGACCCCATAATTCACCAAAACTAATCAGATCTATCATATCCTTTATAGCTGCCATACACATAGCATTCCCAAGTAATTCTAACTCCTGGAATTGGTGACATGGGCCACCATTGTTGTTGTTATTATTATTACAATTCTATTAGAATAGCATGTTCTCACCTGAATGTGGTGGCTCACGCCTGTAATCCCAGCACTTTGGGAGGCTGAGGCAGGTGGATCTCTTGAGGCCAGGAGTTCTAGAGCAGCCGGGCCAACATGATGAAATCCCATCTCTACTAAAAATATAAATATTAGCCTGGCATGGTGGTGCATGCCTGTAGTTCCAGCTACTCTGGAGGCTGAGACAAGAGAATCGCTTGAAGCCAGGAAGCGGAGGTTGCCGTGAGCTGAGATCGTACCACTGCACTCCAGCCTGGGTAACAGAGCAAGAGTCTGTCAAAAAAAAAAAAAAAAAAAAAAAAAAAAGAATAGCATGTTCTCAAAGTATCAAGTAAATCTTTTATTGGTTAATAATGTCTGAGGCAGATGCGTTTTCTTATCTCTTCCTTGTTTGTCACTCTTTATAACCAGAACAACAATACTTCATCATTGTGTTTCTTAAATGTAACATATCCCATAACCAGTGGTAGTAGGCTTGGTACAAAGTGCCCTCCTTCACCTTTCCCTTGGTCTCCATCTTTCTAGATGGCCTCATGCTAAGAGATTACTGTTCTGGGAGGACATTCATCAAGAGTCTCACTTTTCTGTGATATTCCCCTTTCTGAGTTCTGATTACCACATTTAAGACTGTGGATGCCAAGAATCCTCATCTTATCAAATCAGCATTGGTACTCCCACACTTCACATATACTGCAGAACAATCGTGTCTCCGCGTATGGCCCAGGGAGATGGAGCTCATTGGCCTGATGGCACACCTTCTTTCCTATTAAGTTTAAAATCCTGACTGTAGTAGGTCAAAACAGCTTGGTTACTGTGCTTATTGCTACGTGTCATCATTTGCTTGCTTAGCTGTCTCTTCAGTAGCCTGTGATCTACCTAAGGATGGGAACCACATTTTAAAAAATTTTTGCAACCCCCCTCCCCAAAATATCATAGCACCAGATGCATAGTTTCTGATGCTCCAACAGACCAAATTATTCCCTTGCTGAAGGACACAGAAAGCATGCCCACGTGATTAGAAGCTTTGGCCAGGATATCACATTTGTGGCAGCAAAGTGAAAATAAAACAAAGCTTCAAAATATTTGAGGGAAAAGAGAGAGATGTGTTAAAAGTCCAGAAACTTTCCTCTGCTTCTAGTAGGGAAGGGATGCCTTTTTTTGAAACAAAATACTACACTCTGGGCCCGTGCTCTTGATGAGATTAGCACATAATGCTGATAAGATCTGAGCTACATTGTCGTTCTGTTTTTATTTTTTGTAGGCATTACGCTCATGTATAAATGTTTGAAAAAGAAAAAAGCTACTCATTTTGAAATGTTATGTCTGTGAATAAAATATGTACATGTATTTGAGACTCGGTTTGACACTACAACAGTATATTTAAGATAAACTATTTATCTTCCACAAACACATTTCACTGTTTTAACACATCCATTTGTTTCTGGAATGAAGGCAGAGGCATGAGGGTGGGAGGGAGGAAGGAGGCAGGAAGGAGAAAAAAAAAACAGGGAGCTTTGTGTTGTGATATTTCAGCTTTTCTCTTGATGGCAAAATTCTAACTGGAATAAGGTTTTGTTATCCCGGATGTCAGTTCACAAATCATGAATTAAGAAGCTCAAGCCAAGTGGCACCTAGCAGTAAAACTGGCATTTCTCAAAATATTGGCAGATCGAGCAAGCAACTGTTGATTTTAAATGTTTAATGAGCAATATGTTACTTATTCCGGTAATATTGTTGTGTTTGCCTAACCTTTCTCAGACTGCCTCCTTCTGCTTTATTGCTGGAAAGCTTCCAAAATGGAAGGGGCGAGTTAGGGAGGGGAGAGAGTGTGGACAGTTCTTATGAAGAAAAACTATAAGAAGAAAGAATTCATTAATATTGCTCTCCTGATGATGAAGAACTATCCGTGTCTTCTCAGAATCATAACTCAGGGACTTAGATGGCATTTTAGAATCCCAACATATTTTTCCTCACACATGTATGATCACAATGGATAAGAGAAGAATATAGGAAGAAAAAAATAGAATGAAAGAGGGGTAGATAAACCTGCTGAGGGGTGGTTGTAACAAGAATTCTAGAATAACTAGAAAGCGCTGGATGAGGAGATCTTAAGAGTAAAATCATGATGACAGAAACCTGGGTGAAGTCACTGCACATGGTTGTGATGGCAGAGTTGACCCAGAGAATGAACCTGTGGCAGAATTTTAATAGAAATCAAATCAGTGGAGTAAAAGAGTAAGATAGAAATCAATAGTAACCTCGTACTCAGTGGCAGACAGTGCTTGGCTTCTTGGTCCCATTTTACAGTTAAACACTACCAATACACACTCATTTCTTAGCAGGACTGGTTGGTGAGTCTGAATGCATTACTGGTCAGAGTGTGTAAAATGTCTGATGGAAATTAAACCTCTGTCAAGGAAAGTTAATGATCCCTATGCAAACTGAGGGTATTATTTGTAGCCTTAAAAAAAAAAAAAAAAAGCTTTTTCCTTTTTTTTTTTTTAAATCAGAACAGTTTCTTTTAGCAAAAGTGAATGAGGAACTGCAGGCATTACTGAGTAAGTTTGAAATCCTCTACAGGACTAATGCAGATAATTCATGCAAAATATCTGAATCAGTAAGGGTGTTAAAATGAAGATAACCCTATGACTGATAAGCATGAAAAATTAGCTACAGAGACAAATCTCCTCAACAGAGCTCTCATTATAGTTGGGAACAGAAAGAAATTTCTCAATGCTCTAAGAATTAAAATAAAAGAAAAAAATCAATTACCTGTTTGTGGAAGTTAGGGGAGAATTTTGCCTTTATAAAAATACATCAGAAGCCTGCTGTTAATGGTACTTAAGGCATTGGGGATGTTGTTTCTAAATTTCAGTAGAAAAATATTGTTGTATAGAGCTCATTCAGGATCACATTTTTAAAAGTTATTTCAAAATATATATCTATTTCCACTCTTCCAAGCTTGTGTTCATGTAGATGGGAACTATGATTTTTTTTTAACACAATCATAAGGCCTATTTTTGGTATTGGGCTCAAGAACCCTGGAAATAATGCTAATGAGGTAAGAACAATGAGGACAATTTCCCTAATCTAGCGAGCTTTGCCTGCTCCTTTGACCACAGTCTTTAACCCTGGAAGTGACCCCTCACATGAATATTCAGTCACAATAGCAATAGCTTGTCAAAGAAAAATTATTTGAGATTCATCATTAAGGAGTCATCATTTATTGAGTATCTACTATGTGACAGGCCTAGCACATAGTGATATTTGGGATAATATTGTAATTATTCTGAACCCTTTAGTAATAGGTTTCTATTTATAGAGAGACGGCTACAGTGCAGCAATTTTGATAACCCATCACATTCGTTAAAATAAAATGCAGCAGCCACTTATCAAACCCCTACTTTAATATTTCACTCAATTAAATATTTCGGTACAGCAATGAGTGAGAGCAGGAGGAAAATCTTATTCAGGAAGTGAAGTTAAAGAATATATTTGGGACAAATACATTCAAATGTTAGGTTAAGGTTACTCGCCTCGCTTCTTCTGATGGAAAGGAAAAAGATAACATCTCTTCTGAGGAAAATATTTGGGTAAGGACCTCTAGAATAATTTGTGATTGGGATTGAAAGTAGTAGATAGTTTGTGTTACCTTTTACTCACTATCCAATTCCTAATCTATCTTTTGAATTTGTTATAAAAAGAAATAAAAGAAACGATGTTCTCTCATATGGTTGAGAATTACCTGAGATAATATTGATGTGTGTAGAAAGCCTTAGGTAAATAACAGCTATTTTTATTAAATGTGTCTGTTTAATTTGAGGAAAACGTTCATTCTCTTTTTTTTTTTAAAGTACCTTCTATGTGCTGAAAATTCCTCATTTGAGAAGAAAATACTTCTCCTTTGGATCTCCACTTCAGTGGCTTTTTCTTAGGTGATCCTTCTTAACCTCCCTAACCAAGTGAAAACTCTCTTTTATCCACTCTTTCACTCGAGATATCTTGCCTGCTTCACACTGAATAGAGTTATAACTTAGGCTTAAATAACGTACATACATACATTTAGATGGTAGCTTCATGAAGTTGAAGACAGGCTGGTTTATTCACCACTGTGTCTTCACTCAGCATCTAGTGCAGGGTCTGGCCTGTAATAGGCACTCAATAATATATTTAATTGTATGTATAAATAAATGTACAAGTCAATGAAGCAATGGGGGAATATATAGATAAATGGGCCTGGAGCAGAGACTTTACAAATCTTATGGTATAGCTGGGGAGACAAAATGTATACAAATGATGATAGTACAGCCTGATTTGTGCTACAATCACCGCATGAACAAATTTTTTGAGAGAATAGAGACAAAACAAAACAAGACAAAAACCTAGGGGTTGAGAATAGGGATAGTTTCAAGCAGGGCTTAGGAAGAAGAAGCAGGAGAAGGAAAGATGCTGAGACAGACTTCCTAAAGGAGAGGGCATTGGAGCTGGTTCCCAAAGACTGAGGAGAAGGAACCCAGAAAGAGAAAGGAATGTCTTTTTGGAGGAGGAGAGACAGCATGTGCCGTTTACATTAATCAATCTACGTGCTGAAATCTAAAAGCTCCAACTCTGTTATATCAAACAAAACTGATGTTTTGCAATATTCAGAGGCAATATTCAAGTCTTCATTAGATGTAAATATATAATAAAAACTATGAAAAGGCTCCAAGAGAGAAAGATAAACTTAGAAAAGGGCAGAAGCTCAGAGTGTAATATATTTCTTATTACATAGAGGCTCTGCATCCTGCAAATGGGTAGTAGTCAGTGCCTTCAGAAATGCACCATCATAGACTGATTCCTACGTGGAAGGTCAAATCCTGGGGTGATCTTTAGAGGGAACAAATGGGAAGCAAGCTAGAGGCTCTCCAGCAGGCTAGGACAAGAAAGCTATTAAATATAACTGTGGGCATTTACTTACAGATGTGATACCTGGTAATTTGCATGTATTATCTCTTTTGAACTTCTTAGCAATCTTATAGGTCATCACAACTGATATTATAACCTCGATTTTACAGCAAACTAAATTATAGAGATTTTCTGTAACTTGGTAAAAGTTAGCGGCAAGGTATGAACTCAGGTTCCCCAAATTGAGTTCTAATACTCTATTATACTATACAGGATTAATTATTTTGTAAAACAAAATGAACAGTAAAATAAAATAGAATGACCGGAAAAATTAATTACTAAATAGCTCATATTTTGGAATACTTTCCTCTCCTTTTTTCTCTTATTTTCTAGATTTGCTCTGTCTTATGCCATAGATCTCCTTTTAGCCTAGTCCTTTCTCTGAAACAGAATTTCTGCCCTAGTCTAAAAAAGCATAGACTTTTTTTTTTTTTTTTCAGAGCCTCACTCTGTCATCCAGGCTGGAGTGCAGTGGTGTGATCTTAGCTCACTGCAACTTCCACCTCCCAGGTTCAAATGACTCCCCTGCCTTAACCTCCCAAGTTAGCCTCCTGAGTAGCTGGGATTACAGGTACATGCTACCAGTCCCAGTTAATTTTTGTATTTTTGGTAGAGACAGCGTTTCGTCATGTTGGCCAGGCTGGTCTTGAACTCCTGACCTCAGATGATCATCCTGCCTTGGCCTCCCAAAGTGCTGGGATTACAGGTGTGAGCCACTGTGCCCAGCCTGAATTTAAATCTTGATTCCACTAATTTGTAGCTTTATATTTGTGAAAAACTAATTCGGATCTCTGTCTCAACCACATTTATGAATGGGAATGTTTACATATATGTATATATGTGTATGTATGTATCATATATGTTTCATACATATGTTATACTTCCTTAATTAAACTAGTATTAGCATGTGTCACGTTGCTTAGCACATGCCTAGTTCATAATAAATTCTCAGTAAATATTTATTTGGTGAATGAGTATTAGTTCTCTTCTCCTTTCCCACTACCTGTGTGATCTTAGACCAGATACTTAACAGCTATGAGCCTCAGCTACCTCATTTGTTCAGGGATTAAATATTTGTACTACAGAGTTTTCAAAATGGTTAAATAATATAATTCACGTGAGAATTCTTAGCACATAGTTTTCACTAAATAAATACTTACGTTCTTTCCTCTTTGTTTCTGTATTTTTATTCTGCATACCATTTAAACACTTCTTTCCATTCTTCCATTCTCGGGAGGCTCAATTCTTTTTTCTTTCCCATCTCCTATCGGCCTCCTGCTGTCGGCATTCATACCCCTCCTCTTTTCTAGACTTCTACCTGCTATTTTCTCCTGCACTCTCTTCTGTAGTTTTCCCTCTTGATCCCCTTCTGCCTTTCCTCTTGCCTTTGCTAATTCTTTGAGCTCTATAGTAAGGTGCAGGTGATGCCGCAGGGTGGCACATGGGGCAGCCAAACCTGCCCAGAGGACTCTTGAAGTAGTTATAACAACTAAAGGATAAGTGATTTAGATATCTTTGATTTAGGAGAATGGAGGCAAGAAAATATATTTAACAGTAGAAATGCTGTTGATCCATAACCTTTCCCATTAGCATACACACACATGCCCACCCAAGAGTTATGCATTTTATCACTTCTTCACCCATTCTTGTGGGTCCTTTTATCTTTATCTTTAATACTAATTCACTCATTTTCAGAGCATCAAAAATAACTGGGCCCATAAATCAACAGAAATCTAAGAAGAGAGAAAAAGGAGATAAAAAGGGAAATGCTGAGATGTAAATGACAACTAGACATGAATATTTTAATTCTCTGAGAATCAGCACCCTCTTAACTATACCAGCTGAATTGTACACTTGTTCTAAGCTGTTTGCAACTCTTTCTTCTTTCCCACAAGGCCCTCTGCTACAGAGTGTAGGAATATTTTTGAGTCCAGTTGGTGATCACTTTATATCCTGAGGCAAAAGGATTGCTGGTGTGTGCTATACTTTTTCTAGCTTGTATAACTCAGATGGTATTCCTGCTTTGCTCATTTGCATGGAGGTTTAGTTCTTCCTAGAGTCTTACAAAGCTTCAAAAGTAACCAAGGAAAGTCTAGCAATAGGGAACCCTCAGGTTAGAAAAAAATGTCAACGAGTAGGAGGTTGAAGCCCTCTATCTCTCTGCCTCTCTCTCTTTGTCTCTCTGTCTGTCTCTCTTACACACACACACACACACACACACACACACACACACTACACGTTGGTTTTCTTTAGGTAGCTTTGTTCTTTGTACACTGAAACAATTTAAACAGGGGTATCATATCTTTGTATCTTTCATTTCAGCACTGCACTGCTAATATTTTTTTCCTCTGACTCTGCCTTTCCTGAGGCCTTCAAGGGCCTCTGAAACCTTCAATGGTAAGGTTGATTTCCCAGGAATACACCTGTCTAAGGATGATTGTCTTCTGATTCCCTGTAGCCATTTTTTTTTCTGTCTCTGCTGAATAAACTTAGTCTTGAGTCTTGACCCTGGGTAAAGAGCACAGTTTAAAAGAAGGGAGAAAAATGAGTATCTCTGTGTTTCAGGTTTAAACTGCATGGCCATTCTAGGCTGCCAATCCCTATGAGAATGCAATGCCATTTTCTCTATGGTCTATCAATTTTAAGAACTCCCAGGCAGCATAAAATGAGAAAGAGATTTACTGTGAATTTGGAATAATACTATTCTCAGAGGAAAATCTTTTCAACTATTGCAAATATAATTTCTAGTTCCGTAATTTGAAAGCTCCATGGCTGATTCCTATGTATTTCTTTCCCATCTTCTTGTTGGGAGCTTGCCTGTGATTTCATGTAATGAGTTTTCTCTTCTGTGGGAAGCGAAAACACTGTGCACCTTACAGGTTTGTGATCACCATCTCCCCAGCAAGCAAAAGAAATGCCTGGGGCCTTTTTAGGTTTTTTAGAAAGAAACAAGTATAAGGCTGTTAGTCTGATTCTAAACTTTTACTGCATCTCTCCTGGGAACAACTCCACAGCTAATGCAGCAATCTCTTCCCTAGAAAGTCTCAGGATACATGCTGAAATAGTTCAGTTCATACCAGCAGCTGGAGTGTTTAAAGCTTTCTTTACAGCATGGCTAGTTTGTTGAGGCCAGAGCAAAGGAACCAGTGAGTTGGGCCACCTTGGTGAAGCTTTTGCAGTGAGTGTGTACATCAAAATCACCACCAGAGTGTTAAAATGCAGATTCCTGGGGCTTGCCCTAGACATAATGGATTAGAACTTTTGGAGGTAAGCCTGAGAATCTTCCTTTTCAAGGAGTTCCCTAGGTGATTTTTCTTACTTTGGGAGCCACAGCCCTAGAAAAATATTTAGGAAGAGCTAAAAATGTAAATGTACTGACAGGTACTGATATTGTAATTATTTGAAAATAATTTATTGGAGCCTAGGTCATAGAATGTTACTTCTGAAATATACTTTTGTTCTCATCTACTATATTCCCCAACTTAAAAAAATGGGAAGCACAACAGCCCAATCAAAAATACACTTCTTCAGACTTGCATGTTAGAGCTTGTTCCTCTACACCATGGGTTAACAAACTTTTCCATGAAAAACAAGGTAGTAAATATGTTAAGCTTTGTGGGCCATAGGGTCTCTGTTGCAATTAAATTCTGTCATTGTAACTGAAAGCAGCCATAGACAATATAAAAATGCATAGGCATGGCTGTGTCCAAGTAAAACTTTATTTATAAATACTGAAATTTAAATTTTATATAATTTTTATGTGTCAAAAAATATTATTTTAATTTTTTAACTTTAAAAATGCAAAATTCACTCTTAGCTATGAGCTATACAAAATCACTCAGATCAAATTTGGCTCATGGGACATAGCTTGCCAAGCCCTGCTCTATAATGCTCCTGGTTCCCAAATTTGGGAAAAAATAAACAACAATCTCAGGAAATAATTTTATGTATACACATATATATAAGGATATACATATCCTTATAAATGTCTGTGCCTAGCACTACAGGATTTTTGTTCGGAAAAGACGTATGCATTTAATCTACAATCTAACATTTTACAAGTGATTCACCAGACATAGAAAATGTTTCTCAAAGTCTAAGAGGTAAAGACTCTTGAAAATGATTATAACAGAAAGAGAATGAGAGATTTAAAAGAAATTAATATTTAGTGAGTACCTACTGTGTCTGGGCACTGTTCATCATATTCAAAAGTAAAGTACTAGAACATCTGCAAGTAATGAATATTAATGGTAAGAGCAAATTTAATTTATTACTAATTAATTGTTATCAATATAATGATAGTTTCCCAGATAGTGGCATCTTCTTTGCTTTTTAGTATTGTCTAACTATGCCTTGTTTTATCTCCCCAGCCTAGTGCTGGACATATAACAGTTGTCAAGTTAAATTATGTATTATGTTTTTTACTCCAAATTGCTGGTACTCATCAAGTAGAGATTTCAAAGGGAGAGCCATTCTTTTTGTATTTGTAGGCAGTCTCTCTCTCTCAGTCAGTCTCTCTCTCTCTCTCTCTCTCTCTCTCTCTCTCCCCCTCCAAGATAGAGGTTATGAAGGGAACCAAGAGATGTCAAATGATCTCCTGACCTAATCTGGCTTTTTGTTTATGGCTATCAAAGTTTGAACAATTGTCAGTTGGTCTATGCAGCAGTCATATTCTTTACTATACTTCTGAATTTTTTATTTTAGCGTAACCATTGAGCATAGTTGCATTGATTTCTCTTCCTGGAAATGAGTTAAATGGTTTTCAAACTGTGTGCTAGAAAACACTCATATTCTAGAAACTGAGCTTAACAGCTTTGTCACTAGGATAAAATATGGGTTTTTTTTCCTGATTTATAAAAGACAAATATTACTGAGTAGAATTGTGTGTATTGAAGTTTACCATAAAATATTCTTAGTTTTTTTACTGTCTGCACCATTTTTCTCAATTAAAATCTAACAATCTAATGTAAAAAAGCACAATCAAATATTTTCTTCTTGTATTTGGACCTACCACTTGAACAATTTTGAGAATCTGTCCTGGATTGTATTTTGGAAAAGTTAGTATCTTTTCTAGAAAAAGAAGATTAAATCTTTATGGTTTTGATTAAATTACATTAGAGCTTTCCTTCAACCTCATTTTAAATATGTGTCAACCTCATTTTAAATATGTGTATTTAAAATGAGTTAATTAAGTTTCATATCTTCAACTCTTTAGTGAAAAATATATTTATGCTCGTTTAGGGGAAAATTCCATGTTCCTGAAAATCCAAGTTCAGTCAGGTACCATTCTCTAACTGGCTCTAAATGTGTTCCACCCATCCCACATACACACACATACCTCTGTTTTCTTCCAAATACTTCTCATCCTTAAGTTGCTTTATAATATTCCTGTTTTGACAACTTGATGGAGAGAGGGATAGATTTCTCAATGGCTAGTGCTTGGATTCAGGGAGTGGGAGGTCAGACACATGACTGTTTTGGAATTGTGTCTTCTGATTAGTGTGGATCCAACCTTGCCATCCTCTAACCAATGGCTAACTAGTCCCATCACAGCACATGAAGTTTAATACGTAGCCAGCACCCCATTTCCCATGCCAATGGCCCACAGCTCTTTCTGTGATAGCATTCAACAGTTCTCCAGGTAGACAGGACACTAGCTATGAGTTGAATGTAGGAGCTAAATTTTCCATTATCCCTGATGTGCAGAAGATGCCTTGATAATCTGCCCAAGCCTAAATCTAAAGCCCTTAGACCAACTGTAACTATATTAGGACTAGGAATATTGGTTAGAAACAAGTAAACAAACATATTTTGGACCTCCAGTCCTTTAAAGAGGACAAAAGCTTATCACTGTATTGTCAGGAATGAAAACTCCCGTTTTGTGAATTGTAAGTTTTCCTCACTCAGCTGCCTTTGCAATCACATGCTCATCTATTTACTTACTCTCAGATATGTAGAGTGCCAGGAGAGCACTTCTTAGAATGATTATTATATGTCATATCAAAACGAAGTCTCTTAGCAAATAGACTTTAGACTCAACCAACCAAAACAAATCTCTCTGTTTGCCCTGACCACCAACAAAACTGATTTCTTTTCTGGAGGCATCTGTGAGATTACTTTAGGCTCTTGCAATTCTGGTGGCATTTTCTTCCTGCTCTTCTTCTTCCCCGTGGTTTGGCTGGCTTGATTTCTTCTGTGATTTTCCTGTGTCCCACCCTATTACTTTCTTGTTTGCTCAGGGCTTCTCCCTCATGTTTTTCTGCTTTCACATCTTTTCCTGTGTCTCCTCTGCCCCTCAGCACAGCGGGTCAGATAATGTTCCCTGAGAGCCACTGCTAAGTTTGCCTTCGGGTAAAGCCATCTGTCAAAAGGGGAGGATTTGTGGGGCTTAACTTTTTCATCTTGAAATTGTGAAGTTTTTCCCACTAGAAAATTAAAATTGCATCAGTATATGATATGTTGAGCTATTGATACAATAAGGTTTACCCTTCCAGAAACCGACAGTATTTTAGATTAGTATAGAAGGTTGGGAAGGCTGAAGAGATTTGAAAGCCTAGGAATTTATTGAAAATATTCCAAGGCCTCCTGCTCATAACTTACCCAATTATCTTCTGAAAAACTGAGCATTAATGTGCTTATCAATATTTGGATTCAACAAGTTTAAAAGACCACCAAGACTTATATGTTAGTGAGAATGATTTTCTGTCTCAGTGTTTGCTACTCAATTCCTAGCTACCCCAAACAGTTAGATACACTAAGCCAGCATTGTGTAAAATGAATTTATGACCCCCCTCTTCCCCTAGCAGCATCCTCTTCTTTCATTCCAGTCTTTTTCCAGTTCCACAGAACCTATTCCCACAAGTACCCATTCTGCTTGCCTGCAGGCTGTGAAATCCCTTAGGTGTTAATTGAGAATTAAGACGTTAGCTGATAAAAGGTATAACCACTTGCATTAATATTTGCATTGCAAAAGGAGTCTTAATGGGAAAATAATTAAGCTTTAAAGTTTGATATCTTTGAGGTAATTTATCCTGCTTGGCAACCTGTCAATTCTGCTCACTTTACATCAGCTTCCCTTTACTGCACCTCAGGTTGGCCACATGTCATTTGAATGTAACTTTGCAAACCAAGACTTGAGTGTGGGGTAAGAGAGCTCAGAATTCTTCATAGCATGATGCAAAGAAACTTTACATTTCTCATCTATTTACAGATTAACTTACTCTTAATGATCTTCCAACACTTGAGAAGGTCAGTAGCCCTCCATCTGTCATTCTCCAAGTTCACCAACAGCTTATCCACCCATCAAAGGTGCTTTTGTAACAAAATCCATGCATAATGAAACCAAGAAAGGTAACGTACATTTTCTTATTCAACTTTGGGTGTAAATGACCTATTCTCAGTGATTTTTACAGTAAGGAAATCTAGTGATTATACCAGGCAACACTGAGAACTGTAGGATGGAGAGGAAAGAAAAGGGTAACCCACAATTGGGAGTTGAGATCCAGGCTTTTTTGGAGTTCCAGGTAGGCCAGAAAGCAGTCAGCATTGGCTTTTGTCATGAATCTAGTGTCTAGAACTGGTAGGCAAATGAGGATCAATCTCAGGAACAGAGCTGAGACTTTACAAATATGATATGATTGATTAAAACACCAGAGTCACACAGGCATCTTAGCTCTGCCATTTACTATCTGTGTAATGTTGGGAAAGTTCCTTAACTTTTCTAAACTTCACTTCCTTCATTGGTTAACAAGAGACACAGAGAGAGAAAAGAAGAAGCCTATATAGATAAACTAGAAGATGTAAAAAATCCATGTGACACGAAGTGCTACCCAACAAATGGAGACTGAATTGTTAGTTCAGAAATGGGAATTGAGCTCAAGGCAGAATGTTGATTCTCCTCATAATTTAACTTGTCTCCTTCAGTCTTTCCTGATCTAAATACTGGATTGATCCCTGATCCCGGGTCAAGATGGCTTCTGTGTCTGGGGTTAACCTAACTCCCTTAAGAAAAGAAAAGGTATATGTTTCTGAATGCCAAACTAGTAAGATCAGAAGGATGCTTACCAAATGTAGGTGTTCTGGAGTATCACCTGGTAGGTTTTATAAACTAATGGATTCCTGAGCCTCATCCCAGGAAATTCTGATTCAGTAAGTCTGTGAAAGAGCCCAGTGATCTGCATGTATTAGCAGTTTCCAGTGTGATTATTATATAGGTGGTCCATGGATCACAGTTTGAGAAACACCTGTACAGATGCTGATCAGAATTTGAGATAAGCTGATCACATCTGGATACTATATCTGTGTAATTTTTTAAAGTGAAAGCAAAAGGGAAAATAAATAGATTCACATAGCTTCTTTTTTATTTCAAAATAGTAGCAAGAGTTGAAAAAGACATCTACAGAGACTTATTTTCTGGAAACTAAAGAATCCTTTTATAAAGGGTATTGAGTAATATGTTAGACAATATGTTTGACTGAAATTTATGAAATGCATAGAAAATGTGTTCAAAGGGGTAATTTTTAAATAGTCTTTAGAGAAACGTCCATGGTCTCACTTCAGTGAAGCCATTTCTAGGAAGTACTGAAATAATTATGGTCAAAATGGTCTGCTTTCTAAATATGTGATTCTTGGACAGAATCCAAAGACTTGAATAAACTGATAGTAGCATACCAAATAGATATGCCTTGCAATTATTAAGTGTCTTAAGCATTTGATAGGTTGTACATTGACATCCATTAGCAAATTATCTCTGGACAGTTATTCTGAGTGGTTGCAATGAGATCTTATGTGATAGGTACAGGAGGCGAGGGGGTCAATCTTCTGGTCAACTACCAAGAATAAGATGAAATAGCTTCAGCACAGGGCTAAGACATTGCATAATAATGTATTTCTCTCATATAAACAAATGATTGAGTACATTTAAGTGCTTGTTTGAGATCCTAAGTTCTGTGCTATTTATATTAGAAAAATACTGCACAGCCTGACCGTTTGTATGGCAGGTATTAGTTAGCTCTCTCTATCCATGAAAATTCTCCATGTACACTCTATTAATCATACACTTTCATGAAAATCATTTTGCGGTTCACACTGTTTAGGCTGGGAGGGTTAGGAGGTGGTGCGAGGACACTAGGGAACTTAGAAGTTCCCCACGAGAAAGGAAGATAAGCTGAGTGTTTCCTGGGCTGAGGGAGTTTAGAAGACTTGAGCTAGAACAAAGGATGAGTTCTTTCTACCTCCACCTCAGAACTTTTCCCCTTTCCTGTAAGATTTATAGTTCATATCATTAGGGAAACTCAGGTTGGGCTTGTTCTCAGAATACGCAGATCCAAAGGGATAATACCAAAGCACAGAGATTTCTAGGGAATGATGCTGCACCAATGTGAGCAGGCTATTAGTCAGCTATAAAATACAGCAAGAAGGGTCCAGCCCTGTAGGAAAAGTGATGGTGACAACTAAATGATGGGTCAAGTTTATAATTTAGCTCAACTTTAGTCCCAGCTGGGAACTGGAGTGCAATCTGACTGCCAGTAACAAGGATCAAAGAGCAATCAGGCAACGTGCCATGGAGTGGAGAATAGTGAGGAAAATTCATTTGAGTGCACATACAGCTACCTGTCACCTTCAGAGTCAGCACTCTTAAGTCCAGACACCTCTCAATCATGGGCAAAGTGCTTCTAACAATTGGCCAGGCTCAAGTCTCACTGCTTTGGGGGCCAAGTGGACTGGACCTGTGGTTACAATTCTTTAATAGCCACAGTTGAACAGTACAGGAGGTAGGTTACAACACACAATGCCCATGGATAGTCATGAAAACTTTTTGTCCACCTAATTAGAAAATTGTTCTGATTTTATATAATATCAACTTGCTTATTACTATGCCTCCTGTCATTTGGAATTGGTGTCTAATTTTCCTAATCATTCTTTTTCCCTTATGCCAGAAATAGAAAAATCGTAGAGATTTTCTTTTTCATTCTGAGAAACCTGCCCTTAGGATACAGCCAGAAGAATAGGTATGTCTTTCACTGACACTGCAATTATTAAATTCAGTTTTCTTTGAAAATATTGCATTATAAAGGTAATATATATATAATCTATGTCAGAAATTCAAGCAGGATAGGAAGGCATCAAATGAAGAGAAGTTCCCTAACCGCACACTTCTGGGCCTCCTGATCCCATAACCCAGAAGTAAGATTGTTAACATTATGTAAACATTTATTTATATATATATACAATATATATGTATATGCAAATGTGTTGTATATGAATAACACATATACAACACATTTTTATCCTTTATTTGAATCCCATTGTTTAGAAGGAATCTCCATTTGAATGTCCTTTAAGCATTCCAATTCAATAGATAAAAAAACTCAATTATTACCCTCCCACCCCTCCACCACCACCCATAAAAATATCATCCAGTACACAGATCAATCAAACCAAAAACCTTGGGGTCATCCCTCTCCCTCACTTGCCATTTTAATTAGAGGTGAGTGTGTGAAAGTAGCACTCTCCCTCTGAGGTCCACCCCTCAGGGTAAGAGAGTCTTGTGGACTTTCTTTATTTCAACCATTTAAACCTCTGAGGTGGCCTTTTCTTCTCCCTTTGTTTTTATTTAAAAAGGAGTGCAGGAAACATCCTCATGCAGCGCTTTTTAAATGAAGTGACTTGTCAAGTTCGAGACTATAGCAGTAATCTGAAAGGCAGTAAATTTAGTGACCCTCACTTGCACTGACAGCCTGTCAAGCACTTGAAACATAAATAGCAGTGGAGACAAATCGCTGCTGTTTTCCTATTAAGCTTTGGCCCACTGGCCTCATAGCCTTCTAGGAGCGCATGGGCCCAGCCTGGGAGAGGGACTGCTTTCAAGAACAGGCAAGTGCTCTCTTCTTTTCTCTCCCACGCCACCTCTACCTGCGCTCCTGACACTGCAGCTGGGACCCCCACTCCCACTGTGATCCATCTGCTTTACAGAAAGGCTAAAAATCCTGAGCCCAGATTGAGGGGTGCTGGTAAGCAGAGGCCTGCAACCTAGAATGAATGTTGATGGAGTAATTTTTAGCTTGTACCTTTAGGTCAAAATGAAGAAGCCAATGGCTGGACCCTTTAATTTGTTTTGACCCCTGAGCTACCCACCTTATGTTGAATGGAAACATTCCAAGAACATCACTTTAATTCATACTTAAACCTTTTCCTCTTCTGCCCTGCTCCCACTCCTTACCATTCTTTTCTCTTCATTACTTATGTATTGACTTTAAGCAAGAACAGTTCTCCAAATTGGATCAAATAACTCATTCAGCACTGGGCCTAGCTGAAGAAGTAGATCTGGGATTTTAGGGTGAACCTATATGAGGTCATTGCAACATCAGGTTCTGTTAAGAAAGGGTGAAGGGCTAGACGGGGTTATTGTCTGCTTTGTTTTAATTACATTTCAAAGGCTTCTGTGGCAGCTTCAAAACTCTGCCTAGCAATCCTTCCATAGTGCAATCACCCTGCTGAGTTTAACACATTCACTTACTAAATGCCAATTGATTTATGTGACTCTTAAAAACAGCAACTGCTGCTCTCATCTCTCTTGATATTTAATCCTGAGCCATGGCAGAGTTGCTAATAACAGGTCTGGTAATACCCCCACAGTTCTGATGACAATGGTGAGTGATCTTGTTTGTTACTGACTCTGTCCAGCAATTCTAATATTTGTCCCTGCCAAACAACCCCCTGCCCCCAGGTTTTAAGAAAAAGTCTAAAAAACAATTAACATCTGCAGGAATCTTTACTTCTATTTTATTCCCAAAGGACTCTTTTAAGTATATGGGGCTTTTTCAATCCTTTGTTTTCAGTTTTGCTCTTCTTCCCCGCACCCGAGGTCATAAAAATGAAGTAGGAGAATGGGTGCTGGCTTTAGGAGCTACATCCTACAAATGTTCTGCAGTCCCTGCTCCAGTGATTTGAATTACAACTCGTGTAGATTACAAATTTAAATCCACAGTTAGCTAAAATCTCTTACCAACCCCATATTTCCAAGTACCTATAGAATATACTCCACAGTATGTCCCAGGAAAACCTAATACCAACCATATTAGAATGGAACTCATTATCTTCACTCCAAAATAAGTACCCCCTCCTAATTCGCCAAGTGATTCCACCTGCATTCACACTTAGGAAGTCATTAGCTTCCAACCTACACACTGCATTTAGAATACATTTCTTCATACCTGAGAAAACCAAGTGGACTACAGGAAATTCAGGGCAGGTGAGGGTCTGTGTACAGGGTCCACATTCCTTCTCCTACCGCCAGGGGGACAGTGCCACTCTCTCTCATTGAGCCCAGACACCGCCTCAGAATCCTTCTCAACATCATTCCCCAGGCAGCCACCGTCAGTTAAACAAGGTTGATCACAATTTTTTGAAATCTTTGAAGAGCCCATCTCCACTTTCACAGTAATTCACAGGAAGGCTCATCAAAATACACGTTAGTACTCAGTGTCAAGAAACAGGCACTGAGAGTAAATAGTGTTGGTGTATAAAGGACTTTAAACAAATAGAATTTTCATACG
The DNA here is from genome assembly GCF_000001405.40 of Homo sapiens. NCBI lineage: Eukaryota > Metazoa > Chordata > Mammalia > Primates > Hominidae > Homo > Homo sapiens. The sequence continues at coordinate 115,861,258 of NC_000003.12, read as the reverse complement.
ATTTTATGCTTACACATCATGTTTCCTATATGGTGTGTAGGGAGGAAGGAAAGGAAGGAAGGAAGGAAGGAAGGAAGGAAGGAAGGAAGGAAGGAAGGAAGGAAGGAAGGAAGGAAGGAAGGAAGGAAAGAAAGAAGGAAGGAGGGAGGGGAGGAAAGAGGGAGAGAGGGAGGGGAGGAAAGAGGGAGAGAGGGAGGGAGGGAGGGGAGGAGGGGAGGAAAAAAGGAAGAAAACAAATTACAAAATAATGCCATTGTACTCAGTACCCTGTGGGTGCTGGCAGGCTTAAAGGAGATGTAGTGGTACCTCACATAGCAAATCCAGAGTCCTCAAACCACCCGTCACATCCCAGTGCATGTCCTCACACATCACCATCCTCATTTTTCCTGCTCGGAGACTTCTAGATTGCCACACCCTTTTGCAATTTGCCAGCCCTAATTTTTTCTCCACTTGCATTTCTTAAGTTCCTGAAAACTTATTTCTCCCAGAAATCTTCTCTAGTACTAAGTCTACTCTACACTGTCTCTGTAGCTCCTTTGCTGGTTGCTGGCATTTTTGTGTACCAATAGGTTTTTATTGCTAATGGAGGGACTCCTAAAAATAAATGGTTAAGAGGCTAAATTTTTAAAGATCAACTTTTTTCCCCTCATTTATTGGTTCATTTGATCTTTTCAATAAGGAAGTTAAGTGAAGTGGACAAACCTCATAAAAGATGAAGCCTGTCTTTTTACCTTCTTTATCAGTAATTGAGCTGCATTGCTTTGGAAATTTCTCACATGTCTTATTCTCAATCTCCCACTCTATACTTGAAAGAAAGAAATAAAGCAGATTCTGAGAGCTAAGAATCCAGCCAACTGTAGCATCCTTCAGCATTCTAATGATAAAAGTAGGCATGCTTAGTTCGGAACATGAGTCCCAAACGTCCACAGACCTGGGTCAAAGCTCATGTCTTCCTTACTAACATTATAAGCTTGGGCAAGTTTCTTGACCACTCTAAACCTGTGTTCCTATGTGTTACACATCTGTAAGCAATCTTAAAACTATCGTGAATTAAATAAGATAATATATCTGGGTCACTTAGCACAGTGCCTAGCAAGTGTTTATTAAGAGGTAGCTCATACAACACTCACTCTACAATATTTCTTAAACTTTTAATAGGTTCCGACATTGTGCTACACACTAGGGAAGGGATACAGTGATGATCAAAACCAAATGTGGTTTTTACAGTGGTAAAGCCTTACAATGTAACCATAGCTATTCTCAGTACAATCCCCTTCAGAGAACTAAATATAGGGGATTCTGACTTCAAGCATCACATTTAGAAGGGCAGGGCAGTTTCTAAAAACTGACACCAAGTAGGGGGTAATGGTTTAGTATAAATACAATAAAAGAATGTCATGGCCCAGGACTGAAAAAAGGATGCATGCATGGCAGCCTCAGGCTGGAAACTCAGCTCAAACTATTTCAGCTGGCTTATTTTTTATATGTGAAAGCAAAAATGCAAATCATAATGAATTGGATCTCTCTGGATGCCAGGAAGAATAATCCCAGGATGTTCTTTTTCATTTGGCCCATGCTCATTCATAGAGCCAAAGCCAGTTGTGAATCTTCCCTGGCATTGTTCTTGTCACTGGTTTCTGGGTACTAACTACATCCTTTGGGGTTGCAGAAGGCATGGGGCCAATTTGCATAATCCACCCCCTGTTGTGTCTTATTATTCAAATAGGGAACATTTCTATAGCAGAGTAACCCACCCCTTCCCTTGCATGCAGCTCAAATGTCTAAACAGTCATATGCCTCTTTCTTCAGAAAACTCTCTCTCCTTTCATTTCCATTCCTCCAACTCTTCCCTAAAATCGTTCTCATTATATCACATCTCTCCGTTTTTGTTTTTGTTTTTGTTTTCTTCATCCCCTTCAATACCTTGTTCTTCCCTGTGTCTCCTTATCCTCCTGTGGTTGTTGCTTTTGACGACTGCATCTACCCCTTCCCTGCCTTCTTTCAATCAGGGATCATTTTACCACTCTTCACCCCTCCCTTCCAGTGGTGAAAAGTGAGGATGAGAAGTGGTTTCAGCCTTTGGACAGCAACATTGTCAAACACTAAGGGGTCTCTCAGGTGGAATGTGAAGCGGAGAAGCAAAAACCTCAAATAATCTGGAGAGACACATGGCTGGAAATACAAACAGAACCCTACTGCAGGCATCTTTTCTAGATTTCTTGTGTTTCTTTCTCTCTTCCTTTCCTTAGCATTTTTGTGTAGAACGTGATGTGCAGGAAAGCAGGGAAGAAAGCAAAAACAGGAATAGGTGAGAGCATGTCCTTAGGGGAAAACAAAAGCAAAACATGAAACATACTGTAAGAACAGAAACATGGTACAGCATTTGAAGTTCTCACAGGAAACTTCAAATGGCATCACTGATTCGTGATCTTTTTTCCTTTAATTTTCTTAGGTAGAAGTTCATAGCTTGCTTTTCTTGCTTACTTACTTCACTCACATTTCCAATCACAGACCCACACAAACACAAATATACACACATATACACCTTGCAAGATAAATTCTAGTTCTTTGCTTTTCATTAAACTGTATGTATGTTTGTGTTTATAGCTAGTGTGTTTACAGCCACTTGCATGTAAATATTCAAACGTAGGTGAGTAAAAGGAATAGCAACCCCATTTCAAGCACATCTTCCTATCTGTGAAAGATTGATCTACCGAGATGCTATACTTATAAAAGTCTTCTCAGAACAGTGAAAAAAATGATCCATTCATTTCCTAACATACTTTCCTTGGAATTCTATATTTTTAAAGTCACAAAGTGCTCCAATTTAGCAAGTTTCCTAAATTGTATTCTTTGTATCTCAAATAAAAGGAAAGACAGGTACTATAATGATTATTAGAGCAATAGTCTGTAAAAAAATTTTTAATTCCAAATATGGGGCTGGTTGTCATGTCCTGGGAAGTTTTTGAGGCTAGTCCTGTTCTGCTTAGTGAGCAAATATTTGAGGGTGAGGAAATGTGTGTGCTGCTCACACACATTTAACAGTAAAATCTTATATGTAAATAACTAGCTTTTTGTGGGGTGTGTGTGTGTGAGAGAGAGAGAGAGAGAGAGAGAGAGAGATGGGAGGACGGAAGGAGGGAGAGGGAGGAGAGAAAGAAAGGGAATGAGAGAAAGCAGCACCATGGAAATATATTTAATTTCAAATGGCTCCTTTTTACAAATGCCTGGTTGACCTTATAAATCTAAATCAGTCAACATTTTGCATAGCAACTACAGGGCTCACTAAAGCATGGAACTCCGAAGGCACTGTACTCAGAAGGCAGCACCTGGCATGCTTTAATTGGAGTTATTCCTGGCTGATTTGCCTCCACATTGGGGAACACAGGAGAGAACACTTTTCTCTTGCCATTAGCTCTAGGCCCTTCTTTCTGACTTATGAAGAAATATTAAAAGAACTAATATGTACAACTTGAGTAAACAGTGACTAAGAAGGGATATGCTAATTATGTGCAAGAGTTTAAAAGGTGCATACACTGAGGAGGATGAGAAGTTATTTAGCCTGGTAGCTGAATATTGCCAGGAGACACAAAAACACATTAAGCAAAGGGAGATTTAAACTAAACACTAGATCCCAGAATAAACATAACACTCAGCGATGTGAGCAGGCTTGTGGAAATTGGTTGAGATGTTTAAAATACCAAAATACTGAAATTTGCATTTCAAGTAAACATTTCTGTAAGGGCAAAAAATAATAGATAGGGACAAGAGAAAGACCCAAATTGTGGCCATAGAACTCGTCTACCAGAGAACTTAAACCATAGGTTTTGTGTCCATTTCTGGCCTGAGAGTCTTTTTAAGGTTGAGAGAATAAAAGACATTATTGGTAGGACCCTGGGGTTGAGAGCAGCCAGTCAGAGAGAACTGAAGGAAGTGGAGAAAAGTTGCCCTCTTGGGGACAGGCTCGTGGGGGCAAAGGGAAAGAAAGGAACAGGAGAATCTGAGTGCATTTTAGAATTTTGTGACTCAAGATTCAGCTGGTGTATTCCATGCCTTAAAACAAGAAACGGCACTTGCTAAGATTGTATCGTGCCTGTGTCCACAGGGAGCTCTGTTGGTTTCCAAAACGATAACTCCACATGGCAGATAATTCCTCAGGACATGGCCAGAGATGCCCCTGTGCAGTCCTTCAACAGCAGAGTATGCAGCACACCCTTTCTTCCCCAGTAAAAGAGAACTCTATTAGGGTCATTAAAAGGCAGTGGAGTTTTATGCCAACTTCTCTGACAGAAATACTTAGCCACTTTTCAATACTTAGCTCTATTCTCTTAAACTACATGAAGTGCTGACAATGACTCTAGTATCTCTTTGAATTTCTTAATTCAGTTCAGCTTTATCTCAGTCCATTCAGGTTACTATAACAAAAATACCATAGACTGGGTAGCTTATAAACAATGGAAATGTATTTCTTACAGTTTTGGAGCTTGGGAAGTCCAAGATCAGGGTGCCAGCAAATTTACTGTCTGATAAGGGCCCACTTCCTGATTCAGAGACAGCTCTCTTTTCTCTGTGTCCTTACGTGGCAGAAGAGGCAAAGGAACTCTCTGGAGTTTCTGTTTTCTTTTCTTTTTTTTTTTTTTGAGATGGAGTCTTGCTCTGTCACCCAGGCTGGAGTGCAGTGGCTCGATCTCAGTTCACTGCAACCTCCGCCTCCCAGGTTGAAGCAATTCTGCTGCCTCAGCCTCCCAAATAGCTGGGATTACAGGCACATGCCACCACACTTGCTAATTTTTTTGTATTTTTAGTAGAAACGGGGTTTCACCATGTTGGCCTGGCTGGTTTTGAACTCTTGACCTCAAGTGATCTGCCCACCTCGGCCTCCCAAAGTGCTAGGGTTACAGGCGTAAGCCACCATACCCAGCCTGGAGTTTCTTTTATAAGGGCACTAATCTCATTCATGAAGGCTCCATCTTCATGACCTAATCACCTCCAAAGACCCCACTTCCAAATACCGTCATCACTTTGGGGCTTAAGTTTCAACATATGAATTTTGGAGAAGCACCAGCATTGGGTCTGTAGCAAGCTAACTCAACAAACATTTATGGAGTGACTAATCTGAGCCAAACTCTGTGCTAGTTCATGAGGATATTATGAGTAAGGCATGGTCCCTGCAACACTTACAATCTGGAGCTTTGGCTTTCCAACAACAGAAAAGCTCCCATTTCCTGTTAAATTTCTGTGAATTGGTAAGAAATTCTCAAGTGAAGCAGTAGAGATAATGCATTGTGGGAAAAGTCTCCTGGGTGTGACTAGAACAGACTAATCAGGAAGGGCCAGGGAATGCAAGAGTTTCAACTGGAGGATCCAGGGAATAGGGAAAGGAAGCATGACAACAGGGAGGGCCCAGGGGTGTCTCTGAATGTTTTAAATTCAGTTTCTGGCTTGAGAGTCTTCTTAAGGTTGAGAGAATAAAAGGAAATATTGGCAGGACCCTTGGGTTGAGAGCAGCCAGTCAGAACTGAAAGAACTGGAGAAAATTTGCTCTCATGAGGACGGACACACCGGGGCAAAGGAAAGAAAGGAGCAGGAGAATTGTTGGATGAGATTGGTTGGATGATGGAATACGGTGTAGTTTCCCCTGCCGATAGTTGGTTTGCACCTTGAGCCTGCTCCCACTTTATTGAGATAGCTATGCACATTGTGTGCTGGAGACAGAGGCTGCCATCAGAGAGGAGGAGAGCTATCACAGGAGAAGCAAAAATGATGTCTCTGCCTCCCATGTGGGTCACTTAAGGGAAAACTCTCCTTTTATCCTCAGGTAGTTTAGGGGAAATTCTAGAGACATGAGATTGAAAGTTTATCTGATAAGGATATGTTTTATTATCTGCTTATCAGGAACAAATGAGATTACTAATACTTATATTGGTATGTAAGAATCCCAGGCCCCAAACACAATAAATATTGTTTTATTTTCTGTCATTCATCTTACTATTTCCTTTCATAGGTGCCATCTTCCAGAATTGGTAGGGCTTTAGTTGGCGCAGCTAAAAATAATCTTTCTCTCTCCTGCAACTGTTTAGTTTTTGTTTTTGTTTTATAAATTCAAAAAGCGAAGTAGGGACCCATAATCCACCATTTCTAGGTATTTCATGGGAATTGGAAAGAATTCAGTGTTGCCAACCATCTCTAAGATTATCCTTGTTCTCTCCTTCTTCTACTGACAGCTCTGTCCCCAACCAAGATTAAGATTATGGGTGGGGGATATGCAGTATGAGAAGAAATACTAAAACATTCTGAAATTATTATTAACTATTTTCTCATTAAAATTTACCATTATTCTCAAAATAAATAATGCTATCTTACTTTCTATTCTACCTCTGCATTCTAGGTTTTCAATGAGCTTATACCTATTTCTGCCTGCTAAATAAAAAACTAATTGTCAAAGTTGCCATTAGCCTTCAGGGTATTTATGTTCAGCTAGAAGAGTCTTAGCATCAAATAGTTGGCATGACACTTAGTGCATAGAAACAATATGCAGGAAAGATCTTTTTACCCCTTCAATCCTAAATCCTGCCCAATTAATCCAGAAAAGTGGCCAGTTACCCTTTCTGAGATTACTGTTTTCTTCTCTACTACATTCTACTTCTATAACATGTAAAATCAGATCTAAGTACTTGCTTTAAATGTTGGCAAAGGAGAAGAGAAAAATGTAGACAGGAAAAAATTAACCTCTTAAAAATAATATTTAGGAGATCGAGACCATCTTGGCTAACACGGTGAAACCCCGTCTCTACTAAAAATACAAAAAATTAGCCGGGCGCAGTGGCGGGCGCCTGTAGTCCCAGCTACTCGGGAGGCTGAGGCAGGAGAATGGCGTGAACCTGGGAGGCGGAGCTTGCAGTGAGCCGAGATTGTGCCACTGCAATCCGGCCTAGGCTAAAGAGCGGGACTCCATCTCAAAAAAAAAAAAAAAAAATAATAATAATAATAATAATAATAATAATAATATTTAACTATATGCTATAGACTAATTCTAAAACATTCTCAGTAGAAGCATGTGCTAGATAAAGATAATGTGCAGAACTTCAGAACCAAATAATGTTATATTACTCTTGCCTGTTTTTTTAATCAAGATTGTACAGTTTCCTCAAAACTAGTGATATTGACAATTGAGAGAAGACTTGAAGCTTGGAATATCCAGAGAGTTGTGTTATAGAATGCTAGCAAAGAAGCCCCATGTTCTGTCGGAAGCCTAGTTAACAGGTTTAGCTGACATATTTAGAGTAAATTTGTCTCCTTGCTAACTGTCTGTTACGTTGATTTGGTCATTGAGGAATTCCCAAAAAAAGGAAAACAGCTTATAGCATTTGAGCAGAGCTAATGACTGGTACCATTTAGTAGAGAATGACCAGGAGCATCGTGATTGCAGGACTGTGTTCTTTAACACCCTCCCCAGCTGCTCTATCCTAACTCGTGTAACAGTGGAGTTTTGAAATTTTGGGGTGAGGGGGTTCAGTTTAGCTAGAGTTGAAGTCCTTGGGCCTTTCTGGCCAAGCTCTGGCTAGGCTCTTCCTGCTACCCAATCTCATTTCCTCTTCTCTTTCCTCTTTCACCTTCTCCTTCCTCAATCACCTTCTTTTCCTCTTTTCATTTTTCTCCCTCTCTACTTCTTCCTTATTTCTCTCTCCATCTCTTCAGGAAGAAAATGGTTTAATCAATTATTCTCCACATAGGGGAATTTAAACAAGGTTTCTTAAGTTGAGATTTCTTTACTAAAATGCACACACTCAACTATGTAGATCTTTCCAAACAGGACCTCCCTATACCTAATCCCAACTTTTAAGCCAATAATATTTAACTCCCTACCCCAAACCCCAGATGACACAGTCCATCACAAACACACCATCAGCAGCACATTCTCATGGATCTGGCCCATGGCCTAAAAGCCTCTAGGATGATGTAGTTTGATATAGAACAGAGATCACAACTGCCAAGACAGTTTAGCATACAATCCTTGTGAACAGAATTTAACAGAATCTGAAGAAGAGTGGTGGTTTCTCAAAAGGAAGCCACTTTGTCTAATAACAATGTTGGTGTAAAGAGTGCTTTGCAACAACAAAAAACAGAGTGCTTTGCAGCATGGTGTAATAGATGATGTTGGTGCTATATCCCCTCAGAGCACTTTATGATTTGCATGTACCTCCCGCCAGCTCCCACTTTGTTCGAAACCCTTAACCAGCGACGAGTGAGTGCATGCACCTATGAACACCCCAGCTCCCAGCCTCATGATCAGAATAATTTTGAAGTGGGACATGAGCTGTCCTCAGGCCTCCCTGAAAGACTGAGCCACAGTTGCTCTCTGTGGGACTTAGCTTGGCATTGCACCCTTGCTTGGCTTCTTTGTCTTCCAAGTTCCATTTTCCCATTTTCTTTCTGGTTTTTCCTGAGAGTATTTTCTACTCAATCACTTTCATAAGATTTTTGTCTTGAGGTCTGCTTCTGTGGAATCTGATGTCAGACAAAGTACATTTTCAAATCATTGAAAAGAAATGTGGATTTATGGCTTTTAAAAAGAATAATGAGAGGATCTACTGCCTATTTCAGACTTTAAAAAAGAATCATGAAAACCTCTGTTTTTCAGGAAGGGAATTTGAAGGAGAAGAAGAATATCTGGAGATCCTTGGCATCACCAGGGAGCAGTCAGGCAAATATGAGTGCAAAGCTGCCAACGAGGTCTCCTCGGCGGATGTCAAACAAGTCAAGGTCACTGTGAACTGTGAGTACGGCAGGAGCCAGCAGGTGCTAGGTGCCCAGGGTGCACCTCTACCTCCAGTGAGCTCTAAAGATTCCATTAGCAAAAGAACATTGTATTTCAAGCAGATGCTCCTCTGGCCAGGAATGCACATTTATACATTGAACACATCCAAGGGCAGGACTTGGTCTTTGAATTTGGTAAATCAACTCTAAATGTAATCCATAATACATTTAACAGTACCCTTTTCTACTCAGACTAAAGAATTAAGAAAACATGATCAGACAGCACTAACATTGCTGGCGGTCACTATGCTGGTCTTCGTGGAAATCAAGGTCATACTACTTTAGAAAAAACAACAATTTGTATCTGGTTTAACTGGAATGTCCATCTTAATGCATTGTTTGTCAGGAGGGAATGCCTCAAGATTATATTTTATCCTCTGCTATTTAAATAATTGGCCTTGGGAACAAATTAGAGCCACTCTGGTCAGACACCATGTGTCCCTGATGGCTAACAGGAATGTCTGATAAGTTAATTTCAGTTACCTATTTGTCCCAAAGTATGGGCATTAGAAAGGAAGATTTCACTAAGATGCATAGGTAAGTGGGCATACTTTGAACTTCTCGGATGAAAGGATTCTTAGATGTAGTTCAAAAGAGGGTGGGCGGGGGGAGGATCTATATGATGTGTGTCACCCAGCAAAGGAATAAAGAGAATTCGTTTACCCTGTTCAGTTAGCACTGACTCTGCATCATTCAAATTCAAGTTCCCACATCACACAGCTGTGGCTAGTGTCAGGGACAAAGGGAAGCTTTGACAGTTCTTCTCTTCTATGCATTGAATGCACACACATCCTACATACACACATATAGGCACACAGGCATACATGTACAAACATCTTAATCCATATTTGAAAGTATCCTTTAGGCTATGACGAGTACTTTCTGTCATCTCATGTCTTCCTATGTGCCAGAGATTTTATATAAATTCTCTCTTTTCTACTCAACAACCCCAGCAAGGTAGATATAATTGAGATCATTTTAGAGTTTGAAAAACCACAACCCAAGGAGGTAAAACTGCTCATTCAAAGTGACACAGAAAGTAAATGTAAGAAAAGGGATTCAGACTCAGGTCCATTTGATTCTAAAGCCCACACTCTCAGGAGGAAGATAAGGACTTTGCAATTCCACATACCTACTATGTGCAGCATTGAGTTAAGAGATTTATATTGGCCAGGTATGGTGGCTCACCCCTGTAATCCCAGCACTTGGGGAGGCTGAGACAGGCGGATCACCTGAGGTCAGGAGTTCGAGACAAGCCTGGCCAACATGATGATACCCTGTCTCTACTAAAAATACAAAAATTAGCTGGGTGTGGTGGCGGGTGCCTGTAGTCCCAGTTACTCAGGAGGCTGAGGCAGAAGAATCACTTGAACCCAGAAGGTGGAGGTTGCAGTGAGCCGAGATCGCGCCACTGCACTTCAGCATGGGCAACAAGAGTGAAACTCTGTCTCAAAATAAAAAAGAGAGAGAGAGAGAGAGATTTATATTTGTTGTTTAATCCCCACAGCCATTTTAAACCTATGAGATAAGCATCATTAGTCTTACTTTAGAAATATGGAAACTGAGGCTTGGAGAGCTGAGGAAACTCGCTAAAGTTTACGCAGCCTATGCTGGGATGCACCATTACCTGTGACCTTCTCCAGCCTTGCAGACCTCTGAAACAAGCAGCAAAATCTCTTTCACATCAAACCTAGAGGAATCTAATAGAAACAAATGACTCTGCTATAGTTTATGGCACTCATTTCCAAGAAGCAAGGGGTTGCATTTCATGAGTTCTGAAGTGCTTCTATCCCTAGCTATCTTCCAATTTTTTAGTAATAGAGTTTTGAAATGCCAGTTATTACTATTATTTTCTAGTGTTGGGTGTGTTTCAAAGACACATTAATGATCGCAATGTTATAGAATGCTTTAGGACCTTTTTGTCACATGAAAGGCAACTTCTCTGGCTGTTTGTGTAAGTTTATAATTAGGTTAGCTTCTTTTATGTACACACAACCATGCCATCATCTTCCATCTCTTCCCTGACTTTTGGAGTTAAGGTTTCATTTTCTCTTAATTGACCTTCATCTTAATTAGATTTCTGAAAGTCCAATCGTGGTATACATAGAAAATATTTATGCTTCCATTGTGTGAAACATCAAAGTGGTCTGGATTGCAGATGGTTCCCAAGATCAAAGCTAGCCACCTGGGTCCTATTATTATTAGTGCAATTAGTCTGACATTGCTTCTTCTTGACTGTCCCCAAAGTGTAATTTAAAGCAGAAGAAAATACTTATAATTTTCAAGAAAAGACTTTTATGAAAATGTGAGCTTTTGCTAGTGATGAGTGAACCACAGAATATGGACAGAAATTTGAGATTCTAAAAAGATACCTCATAACAAATTATATGGAAAACTATAATGAGTTTAGTCACATATCCAGTATGTCCTAACAAGCAGGACCTAGCATGTGCCTGATCTTATAAAAATTGCTCAGTAAATGTGTATTGAATAAGTAGGTGAAAAATTCACAGATAAACTCTGCCCTCAACATTTCTCCAAATTTTGCAAATAATATGGTCACAAATCTTGAAACATATTTTATCAATTTCCTTTGGAATCACCTTTTACCAAAACCTCATGAGCTGTGTTTATATTAAAACTAGTCATCACAGAGTTATCCTGTTCAAACAATTAATCCAACTTAAATATAGTTGTATTAAGTAGATGAAGCCTCTCAGATTGAATTATGGAACCAAGTCTGCCTAGCAACACTCTTACATGCAAAGAAATGCCCAGGATCACCTCTGTCACTTCATCTAATCCTACCGGCCATGAAATCCATTATTTAAACTGATTCTGCTTCCTTTTCAAAACACAGGCTTTGGAATTAGGTCAGGGGATCAGGATGGTTGAGATAACTACTGGCCAAATAGATTATTGTAATGAACAGACCCTGAGTACCACTACAAGAAAAAAAAAAAATCTCAGGGCTATTAACTTTCTCCCATCAGCACTTCCTTGACTCATTTACTCAGTTGCCAACAGATGTTTGTTGCAGGGCACTGAGAGACTAGAGCAGTAAAGAAGAGAGACATAACAGTCTCTCCTGTTGAGCTCACAAGCTGGACTCTATGGTCTCTCCTTTTTACTTCTTTTGGATAGCACTTCTCTGCAGTAGGCATATAGCATTACACATAGCCACTTTTACATGCAAAATCTGTTTTCTAAGTGGTAGGAGGTCCTGGAATTTACGGAAAGCTAAAATATTGGCTCAAAATCTCTTCAATTAAATAAGCTTAGTATAATTTAGACAATAGACAGGACTTTCAGCTTTCTGTATCTTACCCACAATGTAGCTGTTAATTTCTTTCAGATACCAGTCCTAGGGACACTCTGTTCTTTCATTGCAGGTTCTAGGTGCAGTTCCTCAATTTCAGTTCACAGTGCATTAAATGTAACTACTTTTGAGCTTGACTCATCCTAGTGCCCAGTACACCTAGAATAATATCTAGCACCTAGTAAATGTTTAACAAATACAAACTGTTAATTTTATCTAGACTCTTTCAATATTGGACTCTTTTCCTATTCCTGGAGAAATTTCTCTTAAAAGCTGCTCCCAGCTCTCAAGCCTGTCCCCGCCCCATTGAACAGCTGACATTCCCACCTTCCACTTTCCCACAGGTCTCTCTCCAAATAGGTTCACATTGTCACTTCTCACAACTCCTTTTCCCTTTATTTGTCTGTCTCTTTGAATTCAGTTCTGCCTCCACCCTGGTGTCTAGAGCTAATCAACCCAACCAACACCCATGCTGGGGCACTTGGGGAGCTGACATTTCTAAATGTGAGCTTGCCTTACATTTGATAGCCATGTATTTAGAGGAAGCAGAGGTTGCCACAGAATACCCAATTGGGACTGGAGACACCTGTTGCCTCCAGATAATGTATGTGTATTTTAACTGGTATCTTCAGTGATTTGATTCAAAAATCACCTAATGAGAAAACATTAGGAAAATAACTTTTTTGTTTGTTTGTTTTTGAGACAGGGTCTCACCCTGTTGCCCAGGCTGGAGTGCGGTGGCCCAATCTCAGCTAACTGCAACGTCTGCCTCCTGGGTTCAAGCAATTCTCATGCCTCAGCCTCCCAAGTAGCTGGGATTACAGGCGCGTGCCACCATACCCGACTAATTTTTGTATTTTTAGTAGAGACATGGATTCACTGTGTTGACCAGGCTGATCTCAAACTCTTGACCTTAAGAGATCTGCCTGCCTTGGCCAGGAAAATAACTGTTTAATATGGAACCAGACTGGCCAGCTTCTCTAGCTTTTCATAGTTACACCTATTCAGTCTCCATGCTCATCTTTAGTTTATTCTTGCCTGTGGGTAGGTAATGGTAAAGACATATCCTAATATGAATCTATTATGAGGTCTTCAGAGGAAATATTCAGTAACAACCCAGAGTACTACAATGTTTCATTATAATTTTGCAATATGGACAAGAACCATAATTTTCTAAGTACCTTCAGAGTACCAAGACTCTCCTAGAGATTTCATATCAATTCACTGTAATCATCACACCAACAGTGGCCAACTATATTAATCCATTTTCACACTGCTGTAAAGAACTGCCCAAGACTGGGTAATTTAGAAAGGAAAGAGGTTTAATTGACTCACAGTTCCACATGGCTGGGGAGGCCTCAGGAAACTTACAATCATGGTAGAAAGCAAAGGGGAAACAAGGCACATTCTTCACAAGGCGGCAGGAAAGGGAATGAGTGCAGGAGGAACTACCAAACTCTTATAAAACCATCAGATCTCATGAGAACTCATTCACTATCACGAGAACAGCACGGGGGAACTGCCCCCATGATTCAATTACCTCCACCTGGTCTTTTCTTTGACACGTGGGGATTATGGAGATCACAATTTGAGATGAGATTTTGGGTGGGAACACAGCCAAACCATATCACCAACCAAATTGGAAGGTGTATTGGGCCTGGTCTGCCCCAGTGAGAAGTATTTACTTTATCACTGGCATTATTTAATATACATTGTTTAATATTGCTGGCACATGGTAACTTACAAAAAAGCAATTCTAAATCAGTTTTATTATCATTTCTAAATTCTATACAGACAATGTGTTTCTTATGGCCTACATCCTCTGCCTCTGCTGCTTTTTATACCACTGCACACTACCCATGGGAGACCAACTATATCATCCCCACGTAGAGAGGACAAAAATAAAGCTCAGTGAGTGTAAGCATGCTGTGACACAAAATCAAACAGCTTTGGTGAGTGGTAGACTTGGAACTCAAACCCAGGTCTAACTCCAAAGTCCTTTCTTTATCCATGATACCAAGTGAATAATAATACTATAAAATAATATGTGCAATCACTTTAGGCGTTAAAAGTGCTCTCATATTACTGATTTCATTTGATCTTTACTTCAAACCTGTGAGATAGACAGGCAGGCATCATTGTCTATATTCCTAGGTGAGGGGCTGCAAGGGAGCATTGTGTCCCATGGTAACAATCCAAGTGGCAATAGCAGAGATTGAGTCTGCATTTCCTGATTCCTAATACAGGTTTATATCCACTGTGTCGCCGCATGTTGTGCCATTGTTTGTACCCTGTAAATAATAGAAATATGCAACATTTACCTTTCCATCTACCAGCATGCTCCCTCCCCTGAATGGTATTTTTTCCTATTAGCAATTCATTGTTCTCCAAAAGAATTCATTCAAATAGACATACCAGAGCAGAGAGGTTCAGAGCATGAGTTTCAGAGCATGATAAACCTGGGGTTAAATCCATGGTCTGTCAAGTACTGACCATGTGAATTTGGACAACTTACTAACCCTCTATAAACTTGTCTTCTCTTTCATAAAATGGGGTTAATCATATTTACTTCCTAGGGCTAATTATTTGGATAAAGAGGATATCTAAAACCTATTAGAGTGCCGACATGCAGTAAATGACTATACATTAAATTTTCTATTCAGAATATTATTCTTTTATACTAATATTCCCAATATTAGTAAGATTAAATGAATGATATTTTATTTCCTAGTCCTCTGTTTTGTTACCCTATTTATTCTGATTGAAAGAGTCTTGTTATTGGTGATGTCAGAAGAAGAAAGGCCCTATTAATATTTTCAGAACGTGGAATTTTGAATTAATATAAACTGGAAGAGTCCTTTGACAATTGTAAGCTATTCCAAAGTCACATAAAGAATAACAATGGACCTCTCTGTGCAGCATTTTTATGATGCCACATTTTTATTATAACCATATTTTGAATAAGGACATCTATTATTTTAACTACACAAAGCATGCTGCAGTATGATTTGTAATAGTCTTTCTTAGCCTCACCTATGCAGAATTCATTACAAATGAATTTTGAAATGTTCATTTCAATAAGCCATGAAAAAATAAACTTGCACCATGGTGTCATTTGAAAAATATTAGAAACAATGAGCTCTTTGTATATTTATCAGTATTCATATATTTACCCTGGTACAAGAAAATTCCTAAGTTTTCAAAGAGAGAAGCAAGTAGTTGGTCTTTGTAACTGACTAGATTAATGCACTTGTAAGTGCTCAATCCTAGTTTGCTGCCAGCTTCCCCATGCTGGGGTCTCTGAGGGGCTAATAAATAGCTTGCTGCTTAGTAATTCAGGTTCCAAACAAATTGAGAAGTAAGGAAAAGAGTGGTCAGGGAGACCTAAATGTTCCCATTTTTAGAGATCAAGGTGGCTAGAGATAGTAGCTTAGTGTGGCCGACTTACCTCCCCAGTCATGCATGGCAACCCTGGGGTGGGACGGGCCTGCCCACATGAAAGCAGAAAGGAGAGAGCCCAAATAAGCCTTCTGACATGGAGAAAAGAGGAGAACCTCTGCTACCGGCCAGAAGCTTGGTCCCAAAAGGAAGAAAGGAAAGATATGAGCCAAACAGGCCCAGTTTCTTCTTCCCAAATTTTTCAATCAGAAAAATCATTTATTTCCTTCCCCGGGTCCCAAAGTGGTAGGGGACCAAGGGTAAATAGTCACTATTTGGCAGTTATAACCATGTGGCTCCAGAAACTCACAAACAGTAGTTAAAATTTATTTTACAAATTGGGAAATTGAACAAACAAAATTCATAAGCAAAATTATCTTCAGCCAACATCAATGGGCCAATGTGCTACAGATTATGGAGTCACTGGCAGCTTAAGAACACAATACAGTGAGAAGAAATGAGGACTGGAAACTAATATTTATTGAGTATTCTACTGCTGGTCGTCTTACTTCTTTACTTATGAATCTTATCTCAGTGGATGGCATTACCCAGATGCCCAAGCCAGAAATCACAGTGTTACCTTTTCAACACTCCTTCTTTTCCTCACCCTTATGAAATCCATTTCTAGTCTCATCAGTTCTGAAGCCTAATATCTCTCAGCCTTCAAATGCACTTCCCTGCCTTGGGTTCCAACATTTTTTTATTTTTGAGACAGGGTCTTGCTGTGTTGCCCAGGCTGGAGTGCAGTGGCTCGATCTCGGCTCACTGCAACCTCCATCTCCTGGGTTCAGGCAATTCTTGTGCCGCAGGTTCCCGAGTAGCTGGGACTACAGGTACACACCACCACACCCGGCTAGTTTTTTGTATTTTAGTAGAGATGGGGTTTTGCTGTGTTGGCCAGGCTGGTCTCAAACTCCTGACCTCAAGTGATCCACCCACTTGGGCCTCCCAAAGTGCTAGGATTAGAGGCATGAGCCATCATGCCCAGCCCCAACATTTTATAGATAAGGAAATGGAAGCAATGTGACTATTGGCAAAGTATTAAACTCTCAAACGAGGAAGGACAATGAGGAACAGAGCCTGGATTTGAGCTCATGTCTGCCAAATTTTAAATCCAAGCCCAGAACCTCTATTCTGTGTCCCATCCCTTTATTAATATCTCCCCCACAGCACCACTATTACCAACTATTGCATTATCCTTTGAACTGATGTGCTCTAATGATCTATATAACCAATTTTAGAAGCTAGCTTCTTTTTTAAAAAGATAAAAAAGAAAAAGGCTCAAACTGGTACAGATGTTTTCCCAGACCACAGCTCTGGTTAGAAGTAGAGTCAAAATCAGACCTCAAATTTCCTCTTCTTGACTGCTAATCCTGGTTCTTAAGCCATGGAATAGATAAATGAGTTATAATTTGGAAAGTTAGCAATTTAAGAGTTAAATTAGTTAAGGGTTTGAAAATACACTTGGATCATAATTATGCCAACCACTCATTTGAAAAGAATGAGCAGTTTTAACTAGAATTGGGATAGTTTACAGTTGGAAAGGATGCTATAAATCATTAAAATAGGATTCCCTCATTTTATAGGTAATAAAACCAAGGCCCAGAAAGAAAACGTATGATGAGAAGTCCAAACAGCCAAACTCAAACTAAGTCCCAGGACTCCTAGTTTCCAATCCAGGGTTCGTTTTATGACAGCATCTTCCCATTTAGTGCTTATACGGAAATAAGGCAGTAAGTCTAAAGCAAAACAACAATACCAACAGCAGTACAACAACAAAACTCCATTTAGCACGCCTGTTTACATACAAGTGTTTATTCAAATGTGCTGTAACTCTGACAGTGATTTAAAAATGTCTAAGCTTATGGGAAGATAAAATCAGGAAGGAAATTGCAGACAAATCAGATGCTTTCTCGTACATTCTTTTAAACTCAGAGAATTGCAGTCTTCTATAGGTAGAAAACTTAGGCAATAGTTTTTTAATACAAAAAAAAAATATCAGAAACAAGGAATATAGACCAGGTGCTGAAGGGCAGGGTTTAAATGAATTTACCCACTAACGTTCACTTTACTAATTTTCCTAAATGAGCTTTTTCCTCTACAGAGTCTAAACAGAGTGTCTGGGTCTGTTTTCCCCATGTGTACATAGCCAAGTTGCCATTTTCTGGCAAACAACCTTTGGACAGGAAAGGCCTTCTCTCCTTGAAGGCCCATAACCTGCACAAACACAGCATCATCCAGTTCAGGAGCTTGAGTCTATAATCCTAACAAAGTCAAGTGGACATGCAAACACTCTTTCCATCCTCATATGAATGTTTGAATGAGTCATGGAAAATTAGAGCGTCAAATGTGTTTCCCAGCTGATTTCAAGCCTGTGATAGTTTTGTAGGCCCATTCCTGGGCATAAAAATCAAGGGCCCAACTGCCAGAGAGAATAGAAGGCTGATATACCAGTAAGTCTTCTATGCACCAGGATAGACTTTAAACCGTACCCCCACACATAAAAGCTAAATTTACCTGGGTTGTGGTGATAAGGGAACACATAAAATAAAAGAAGGTAGTCACCTAATCCTAGTTTTGTTTGTTTGTTTGTTTCTGAATCCTGCAACAATATCAGACCAAACTTGGGTTGGAAAGGCTTTAGCTGGCTATTATTTTCATCAGACTCCTCAAGGCCATCTCAAACTATAATGACAAGAAGAAAAAGAAAAATGGTCAAATTATATGTTGAGATTCCTAAATCCTTTGGTATCATTGCTTCATTTATAAAAAGAAAAAACTATACAAATATTTATAATCTGTAATTGTAATACCATGACCTACTGGAGGAGGGATAAAGAAATTCTAGATTCCATTTCCATAAAACCCTGCTAAGTGTCTCATTTAAGTAAACCAAGTCTATGTTTTCATTAATTATCTCTTATTTTTATTTACTTTTTTGGTGATCAACCCCATTGAGCTGATCACATAATTCATACAAATGGAGCTTTAAGATGGCTCCCTTCCTGCCTCTCTCTAATCAGATTGTCCTTCTTCATTCCTTCCTGAATAGAAATTCTAAGCACCCCGACCCTCATGTAAACTTGTGTGCCTGTCCTTCCTACAGATCCTCCCACTATCACAGAATCCAAGAGCAATGAAGCCACCACAGGACGACAAGCTTCACTCAAATGTGAGGCCTCGGCAGTGCCTGCACCTGACTTTGAGTGGTACCGGGATGACACTAGGTATGTGCCAAACCTACCATCCCCCATGACTCCACTGCATGGGCCTGGGGACACCAGAATCCCCACAACAAAGCCAAAGCCAAGCCAGTTGTAATTATGTAGAACTATATTCTCACACTCTTCCTTTTTAGTATCTCTTATCAAATTCTTTGGGGCCTGTAGCTCTTAAGCTGAAGCCCAAAAGCAGTCAGGTAAAATATAAAAACGGTTCAATGGGTAGCTTTCACCTGCATGTCTTTCTTGCCTATAACAGAAACTCAAACCCATTCCCTAGTTTTCTCTGTTGATGGACATTGATTCTGATAATATGGCATTGCACAGTTAAAATAGGAATTGGGCATGGAACAACAAACTCTAGCTACTTCCTTTCTCTCCTTTTCCTCCAGTGTCAGGATGGGGAAAGAATTCCTAAGCTAAAATCTTCACCAGTGATCCTTTCTATTCTTCTGTTTTTGAACTCTTAGGATAAATAGTGCCAATGGCCTTGAGATTAAGAGCACGGAGGGCCAGTCTTCCCTGACGGTGACCAACGTCACTGAGGAGCACTACGGCAACTACACCTGTGTGGCTGCCAACAAGCTGGGGGTCACCAATGCCAGCCTAGTCCTTTTCAGTAAGTATGCCAAAGCAGGGCCCAACTTGATGGAATTAAATTGACTTTTCACATGAAAAACGTGAAAACCATTCCCTTAGCTATTAAAAGTTCACTTAAAAACAAATAAGGATATATGCACTGAAACAAAAATACAGGGTTCTCAACTCCTGTGCATAGCAGAGATTTATAAATGGAACAACTTCTCTCTATAGTCTTTCTTACTTCTGATAACTGCCTTGTTGTTTGTTTTTCTTCGTTTTTGTTTTTTGTTTTTTCCTGGTTAGTTAAATGAAATAATATGCAGAGAACACAAGTCTCTTTGGCAGTGGTCCTTTAAGAAGCAGAGGTGATGTAAAAGCCTGGAAATGGATAACAGTGTTTTTTGTTTTTTGTTTTGAAGGCAGTGATAAGAGTGATTGAGGAAGAAATATTCAGTGAGAATAGATAAGGTGCTGAGAGAAGGGAGAGGCTGGAAAAAGAAAGTATATTTTTAACAACACAAGAGGAAGGGTGGAATAAATGATAAAAACATAATGTAAAATCTAAAGGAGGAAAAATGGTTGCAGAAAGCTTTCTGTATGACAGTAAGAGACATTACTTTTCTGATATATTTTTGGAACAGAGATGGAATGGTAGGAAAGAGGAACATTTCTGAAGACCAGAGAAGATCCTGAAAGTAGAACAAGGGGAGAATGGTCATTCTAAAGACACTGATGTTAATAGGAGACCCCATCTTGGAGTCCTGCTCTTTAGCAGCAAGTTAGAGTCAAGTCTCTAACACCCTGCCTTGTTGGGCAGGTGACTATGAGCACAGAAGCAGATGCCGATGCCCTCTGAGAAACAGAAGGATGCTAAATGGAGTCACAGGAAAATGATAACATCTGGAATAGAGACACATTTGTCAGAATAAGCAAAACAAACCGAAAAGTTAGCCCATGCTGAATCAGAAAGTTCATTTGGACTAAAGGGAAAAGTCTAAAAAAAGTACTGTTATTATTTTGGAATAACAAACCACTAAGTTTTTTTTTTCTGCACAGATTCTATTGGAAAAACTGGAAATACTATGACCAGAAGAAATGTTTCTATCTTGCTATATTCCATTTAGATGAGCCTTCAAGAAAAAAATATTTTTAGAAAAAAAATCAATTTAAGTGAGAGTTCTCTTGAAATGTAGTGTTAAAGCCATTTTAAAACTCTTTAAGATCCAACTCCGTTTATAAAAACAACCACAAATGACTCTAACTTCGGCCTTTAGTTTCTCATTTGTAACTCTCATTGACTTCAGTCTGTGACAGTTTGATGAGATACAGTTATACAAATGCTGCCTCCATATGAAGTTTAAAATTCACAACATGTTTACTTGTCTCCAAAGACCAAACATAAGTATTCTTTGCCTCAACTAGAGACATCAATATCCCTAAGACGCTTGAGAATATACTTCTTAAGAACTGTAGTTACTTGATTCATTCCTAACATTAAGGATTCCATAAATGGCAGCGGGAGAGGGGGGGTGCGGGGGGAACCAGCCTCAACTGGGAATTTAAGATTTACCAAATCTGAGTTGACCTGGTTAAGCAGAACAACATTCACTTAAAAACTTAAAAAGAAGGTTGTATAGAGATTAGTAAAGAGAAGATAGAACAATTGGATGAGTTACAGAAAGCAAGCAATTACATATTTGCATTAAAGTATATTTTCTTTCTATTTAACCTAGACTAAGAACTATGCTAATGATATATTTCAAATAATAAATAAAATATCATCTATAGCCTGAGAGAGAGGAAAAAGAAAGAGGTTAGAAGGATGGAATACTTGAGGGAGAAGGGAAAGTGAGCATAGAGTTGGTCAAAGGCAATGAGATACTGCTCGTGGTCATGGAAGGTAACATCACGCCCTACAATACCAATGCCCTATAACAGAAGTCCATTTAAAGGACTTAACCCAGAAAAATTGAGAAATGTCAAGAATCTTACAGAGCTTCTGTTTGTATACTGAGAATCAGGGAATGATCAGACAAGTGTATCCTATCACACTGCCCTTTATGATTTAGTAGAAGTCACCCTCCATTATACATTTGAGGATTGTGTGGTGCAGTGATTAATGATGTACTTCCTGGTGGTCCCACATAGGCACTACCATAGTTGTGTCTTTGGCAGCATGCAGAGGCACCACATGCATCAGCATTTGGTTTAGAATAGATGTCCCACTTTTATGGGAAAGTTAGGAGGTATAACACTTACTGAAAAAATAGAATATGAAAGATCATTAAGCTTTGAGGCAAAAAGGAACTATTCAAATTGCAGAATATTGGTGAATCTATTGCACTATTTCTTAGATCCAAGGCCTAAGAACAAACATTTTGGGGGAGAAGCTCTCCTTCTGTTGTAGCAGGAATGACACTCCCTCCACCCATCCACCCACCCACCACCAGTTAGTTTTGGGAGGTCTATTGTTACAACCTGCATAGCTAGAACTTTATATTTCACAGAGTTCTAAAAGAAAAGAAAGGAAAAGAGAGGGAGGGAGATAAAAGCAAGGAAAAAAGGAAGGAAGGAAGGAAGGAAGGAAGGAAGGAAGGAAGGAAGGAAGGAAGGAAGGAAAGAAAGAAGGAAGGAAGGAAGGAAAGAAGGAAGGGAGGGAGGGAGGGAAGGAGGGAAAAGATAACAGTACACGTGTGGGTCAATTGTCTATTACTTACATTCAAATAAATGGGATTAATTGGAAAAGGAAGACACTGTGCAAGTGTCAGCAGAGGTAATTTTCCACAGAACAGAGTCAGGAGGGGAGAAATGCTTGGGGGCAGGTGTCTGTGGCCACGGCCCTGACGGAAGCACTGTGTGGGCAGCGGGGTGCTCTGCTGACCAAGCCAATCCAGAGAAGAACAGGCAGCTCGTGAGCCTCTGCCAGCCAGCGGCAGCAGCAGGTAGAGACCCAGAGCCAGAGCCCCTGAAGAGTTGGCGATTATTCATCTTCATTGGTGTGTCAGCGCATTTTCAGCCGTATCCACCACAGTGATGAGCTGACTTTTCACACAGTGTAAACTTGCAGTCACATGCATACATACACTTCCCCACTCTCTATTCAAATACTGATCTCCAGAGGGGTCAAAATCATGGAATGAGGGTGTAAGAATACATTGTATTCATAGTAAATTTTTCCTGAGCTGGTGGAAGCATTCCTTTCTCATTCATCTAGTTCTCCACACATTCTAGCACCGTGTTTGTCAAAGATCCACACTACCTCAGTCGGTATAACCAAGTAATGCCTTGTATATCTTTTTCTTCATCCTTGGGCTAAGCATTACCTTATATTAAAGTTTTGAATACATTAATCCAATGGCACAATGTATGGCCAAGGATTCAGCTCCCTAGTCTTTCTCAGACGGGGATATGCATGACATAGATGAAAACTTGGACTTCGAGTGATACCAAGACAAGTTCCACCATCTGCATAAGTAACATAACAGACTGTGTTTCCAGACTGATAACTAAAATTCACCCACAAAGGTGATAGATAGGTTTATCTTGTTTCATGCTCTTGTTGAGTTAGATTTAAAATAACGGACATGGAGGAAGAAAGGGTGATGGGTGATAATTTAAAGGTTGTCACTTCTTATTAAGTGAGTGCAATGTACTCTGCAGTATGTACTATGCTAAATGTTTCAGATACATGATCTGATTTTTAAAAATTATATTTTTGTGTCAGAAACAGGTCTTGCTATGTTACCCAGGCTGGAGTGCAGTGGCTATTCATAGGCATGATTCCACTGCTGATGAGCATAGGAGTTTTGATCTGCTCCATTTCTGACCTGAGCCAGTTCGACCCTCCTTAGGCAACCTGTTGGTCTCTGACTCCTGGGAGGCCACCATATTAAACTTAGTGCAGACACCCAATCAGCATAGCACACTACAGCCCAGAACTCCTGAGTTAAAGCAATCTTCCCGCTTCAGCCTCCTGAGTAGCTAGGACTACAGGCATGCATCACAACAACCGTACTATGTACTTGTGCTTCTCCATTGCATAGAAAAGTTAAGTGACTAGTGCAACTAAGTAAGGCTGAGCTTGAGATTTAAATTCAGGTAGTCTATTTCAAGAGTCTAGGCCCTAAATCAACACATTATCTGCATCTGTGTATGTGGGCATAAATATTAGGAGATATATCTTGTAAGTTAGGAGGTGAGCAGAATCTATTTTTTTTTCTCCTTTTTTCACTCAACGAGGCCTTTCCACTGTCTTTATACTGCTCCATCCCTTCCCACCCAAGGGCACTGCTTGTGTTGCCTCCCACTTCCATTTTCATTAACTCCCAGTAGCCTGCTACCACCAGGTTAGTTCGATGATTGGCTTCTCTTTGGCATGTTGATGTTCTCAGTGAATATTCCAGCCTAGTAGTCAGCGTTTAGCCTAGTAGTCAGCGTTTGGTCTAGGAGGAGAATAAGGAGGAGAATATTCCCACACATTAAAGAACAATCCCACTGATTGATTACCTTGTACTTTAGAAAAATGTGTGGATTATAAAGGTCTTTTGAGGCTTTTGAGTACAAAAGAATAAAAATACAAAAAAAAAAATCTACACTGGGCTTTGCTGCATCCGTGTGTAGGAGGTGTTTTTAATTTTCTTTTTAAACTTTAAAATATCATTAAGTTGTAAAGCCATAGTTGACTAAATTTCAAGTGCTACCTGAGTAATCCACCACTAGAGGGAGTCTTTATAATGAGGGCCTCCCCATTTTCTTTAAAAAGCATTTTATTATCGGAAAGGCTTGCTGTTTAAACATACAGCACTTGATGATGCTAGTCAAGACTTGGCAAAGCCTAGGCCAAGCACAGTGGCTGAAGCCTGTAATGAGCTCAGGAGTTCGAGACCAGCCTGGGCAACATGGCAAAAACCCATCTCTACCAAAAATACAAAGAATTACCCAGGTATGGTGGCGTGCACCCATGGTCCCACCTACGCAGGAGGCTGAAGTGGGAGGACTGCTTGAGCCTGGGAGGCAGAAGGCAGTGAGCCAAGATCAGGCCACTGCACTCTAACCTGGGTCACAGAATGAAGACTTGGCAAAGCCTTTTAACCAGCTACTTTTAGATGCCACACAATAAAACAGCTTAAGCTGCTATCTACCCACATGTAGTTTGAAGCACTAGATGCAAACTCCTTAAATGGGCTCTGTGGATACATCTCGCCTCCCCTCGCCCACCCACTTAGCAGGTAAGAAACCAAAGCTGAGAGTTAAGAGACCTTGCTAAGAGCCACAGCATATAGCTGTGCATATAGCCACAGCATATATAGGGCCAACCTTATAGTTCTGTTCCCAAAATCTCCCAATCAGCTGCTAAGTGTGTTTTCCTCCTCAAGTAGCAGCTGCCAAAGGAGAAGTGCATAGCACCAAGGGTTCTGCCCTCCCTTAGTTTGAAAATCAAAAGTTGGAAAGTTTCGTTTTCCTTATAAGTGGTATTTACTTCACTTTACACTCTTACAAGATCCTGCAAACCCTAGCATGAAGTGTAAAACAGCAGCAGAATAATGCTCAAAGAATAAGAATAAAAATTGGGATGGAGAAGCATCTAAGGAAAGATACGTGAATAGGATGGAATTAAGAGAATGAGAATAACTAATGGGGCGTGATAGGCCTAAGACGATGATAACAGGGTGGAGCTAAGACGGTAATAACAAGCTGAGAAGCAGTTGAAAGGCACTGAAAGGAGGGTGGGTAAGATGGTTTAGCAATATAAATGGTCATGTGGAAATAAGGGCAGAGTGCATTTACCCAGCTGTGAACAGCATGATGAGAAAATATTAAGCTGAGTCATTTAAACAGTCTAATAATAATAGTAATAATAAAAATAAAATTCAGTAGAAAGAGTATAATATGGAACAGTGGTCTCCAACTGCTACATAAATGCTAAAAGCAGTTTAGCTATTTATTTTCAAAGCTAGAAACTTAATACCAAATAACCAGTGGAGGCTTAAACCATTTTTCTACTTGACACTTGTGTAACTAACACACAATTGTTCACTGGGCTGCTGTTGACCTGCTCCATCTTAATGGACTTAGGAAACTTTCATATTTAAGTGACAACTTCAGCCAAGCTGGAGAAAAGCTGACTCTGCAAGGAGACTGAGTTTTCTCAGTGTCCAGATGTATCCAGTGCCCAAAGTCCAGGTAAAATCTACTCTTTTTAAGCATAAGGCACAAGATGGTAGGCTATCAGATTTGAATATGCACATATGCCTTTCTCATTGTGGTTTTGATTTTTGTTGATTTTCATTTCTCATTGGTCTTTATTTAATCAAGCTGCTAGGAGAAACATAGAAAAGTGTGTGCTAATTATGTTACACTATCATATAATTTGGGAGTTAGCAAATAATACATCCTATCCCTACTATTCCATTCTATATTTCTGAAAAAGCCCCAGAAGAGAATTTAATCTTAGGTCTTTCATGAGATAAATGAAGGCCACCTTAAATTCTGAACTCTGTCAGTACATTCTATCTATGGTCAGTAGCTTATGTATGGGACTGTCAGATACTTTTAAGCTAAGACCTCAGTGTTCAAAAGAAAAGTACTTCTTATTATACTCAACAGGATGTATCACCAAGCAAATTTGATTGGTTGATCAAATTTCGGGTAAGAATGTATTATAAAAAGAGGGGGAATTAAGGAATAGACTAAAAATAAAATTATAACATGCTAAGAATTTATTACCTTGATGTTACTCCTATACTGGTATCAGTAATGTAAAGTAAAAACCTAAGGGAAAAGTTGAGCTAGTATTGTCCACAGTAAATTTTTCAAATGCTTGGCTAAAGCTGATGTGAACTATACGGCTTAGAGAGAGGAAAGAAGTCTGTAGCTGACACACGTTCATCTATCATGAGCTAAAGAGACGAGAACCAAGACCAAGATGTATCACCTGAATTTGATCACGATTATAAATACCCTCAACTTCAACTCTCTAAAAGATCTAAAATCTTGGTGGTGGGTTTTTTCCAGTAGGATTCTGTATGTAGGGTTATCACAATCTGATGTTGTCCTCCTATACTAGCTAAACTTTTTAAAGGCTCTGCATTTTTAATTTTGTTAATAAATTTCTTTGATAGTTTAATGTTAATAGGAAGTACAGACAAATGTTTTATGAGAGATATGATCCTGTAAGCATGGAAATTCATCTGTTGTATAATTGTTTGAATAACTAAACATGAGAAAGATACATATATATAATATTTAAAATCTCCATGATGATTACTATTTTTTCCCCTTTAGAACGTGTTTTACCCACAATCCCCCACCCCATTCAAGGTCAGTATGATTTTTATCACTGTAGCTCTCTTCCTGGGTCATTCTCCATCATCTTTAACATGCAAAACACACAAAGGGGGGAAAACACATTCAAAAAATTCACATACAATATAAATCATTTTTTTCCCTTAAACCTTTTTTAAAAAGCCAATTAGTTGCTTCCAACACCAGTTGAATAGGCATGGAACAAGACTATTATCTGACTCATCTTCAAATTGGTCAGTAGCTGTGAAGGCAATACTAAACTCAGCAAGCAATTTTTTTCTACAGTCAATATTTATTACAAGGAACTAGGAACTCACATATTTGGGACACAGCCAGTTAAATTCTCTAGCCACAAAAATACCAATTCTCTGACTGACTACCCTCACAGTTGGAA
Organism: Homo sapiens; assembly: GCF_000001405.40. NCBI lineage: Eukaryota > Metazoa > Chordata > Mammalia > Primates > Hominidae > Homo > Homo sapiens. The sequence goes on along the minus strand of NC_000003.12, from coordinate 115,834,182 downwards.
GTTTATACAGTCTGAATCTGAAGTCATTGGTATTACTTATAAAAATTAATGTATATATTGCTAAAGGTTAATCAACTCAACCGGATTATAACAAAGATGTTATTTTTTCTTAAAATCTTGGCCAATTCATGGTTTTTTTTTCTTTCCTTTTAAATGTACCTGTCTTAGAAAACATAAATGAAAAAACAAGATAATCATTCAGAATTCCTTTTCATAAACTTTCTATGCACTCAAATTAAATTTTGCCTCCTACATCGTATTTAGACGCAAGGTGCAGCCACAACTTTCTAGCTTAAGGCTATTTAAAGGGAAATTGGCAAATAAAATTAAAACAATATAAAAAATCTGAAATGAAACCAACCTACCATTGAAATTAAATTCCAGAAAAGTGATTTGCAAATAGACTCAAAGACCTGAGAAAAAAACGGAAACTAGGCCATGCGGGACCTGGCGTGGAAAAAATAAATCCAATTAAGCAAGATTATCATACACACCATAAAGGCAATGTGCTCAGAATTAAAGGTAGAAAGCTGCTGTTTTATAAGTTTGAAGATGAATCATGTTTCATTAACATTTGTCCAAACTATAAACTCTTGCAAACTTGTGTGTAGATATTCAGTGTCAATAATGCAATGTTTTGCATGTATATGCATTCACATATGCAAATATATTTTAATTATTTTCGAACTAAGGATTGCAAGGTTTCAAGGATCAACTAGACAGTTTAATAAGAGTTATTATCAAATTTTAAAAAGAGGACAAACTATTTTTAGTATGAAAGCTTAGAATAACTCTGTTGAATAGCAAAAAAAAAAAAAAAAAACTTCCCTAAAACAATGAAATCTGTTTCTAATCCCAGCCACTAAAAATAAGACTGTTAAAATGTGCCTGTTTTTTAGACTTGACATGATACTTACTGTTCATGGAAAATATCCCATTTTGAATTCCTGACATACCACAATTATTTTAACACATTTATGTTCTAGTGTTGCTGCAGAGATTGACATCACTTTATCATGTTGCCCTCTTGCAAATATATTGATATGAAAAACACACACATACGCATTTGTACCATTGGATAGCATTTTCAAAGAGGTCGTGCCCCATCTGAGATGAGCTTTGTACATTATCACTGTGACTCTAGGTATCATTTGTGAGAGCAGTTCTGCAGCCACCAACTCAAGTATTTATCTAATCGTGCATTATGATATAGGTAACTTTCAACAAAGTGAAGCCAGACACCATTCACAAAAGACAGCTGTCGGATACTGAAAAACAGTCTGGACTAGGGATGGAACACGAGGGATTTTCTTGAACTTCATATTTCCCACAAACTGAACTGTTGATTGGAGAATGACCCTAGTTTGATTTTACATTGTAGGTAGACTGTAGTTAGCTTTCTTAGATCCAATAGTTTTTAGAGAATATAGTTTATCTTATACTAATACTTTGGTCTTCGGCTAGTGGAAATTGAAAAGCTGTTCATTAAGACGGATGGCTGGCGTGAGAGTTTGCTATACAAAGATAGTCCCCTCTTAAGTTTTCTGTTCTTTACAAGGACTTTAACTTCTTAGGGATTGAATCACTTTTCTTCTCCTCTTTCCAATCGAGGTTAACCCAAGCGAAATGCAGCTTCCCATTGAAAGAAATACTAACAATAGGATGCTTAAGCATTTTTATGGTGCCAGTTAAGTACCCAAATATCTATGAGAAGCATGCCTCACTGTGGTCATAGCTATAATGCAAGGTATCTTCATTTAATTGAATATCATATATTGTCACCATCTTTATGAACTCTTAAATTTCATTCCTAAAATATCAATTGTCTCTTAGAGATTGGTTGACGTAAAATGGCCTAAAAATTTTAAGGCAATTAATTTTGTTAAGGTGTTTTGAAAGTGGGTGTTTCAAAAGTTACAAAGATTTTTTCTGCCTTCCCATTATAAAAAGGAAAACTTTCTTTCCTAATTTCCAACCTCACAAAGATGTATGTTTCATTTCAGCTGCTTTATTATTAATATCTCTCATTGGAGGATCTTCCCTCCTATCCCCACTCTACATGGCTCATCAAGATGACTGGGGATGCACAGCAGAGTCGCAGCAGGAATGTAGTCCTAACCCCTTCAAGCTGTGATTAAACAAAAACAAGCCTCAATAAATCAAATGCATTTCCCTTGGGTTTCCTTCATCATATTGCTTGATTTTCTGCAGTGATAATAATAATACTGGAATTCCACCAATGGGTAATTTATATTGGCTGTGTCCAATCAGAAATTTTCAAATATCCTTCCCCCATCTGCCAAAAACAAAACAAAATATAAAACCAGCTTGCTTTCCTCCTCCTTAGTTTAAAAGATACAAATAAAATAGTGTTCTATCCTTGATCTGTTTCTGATAGGTGTTTTCTTCCATTAATTTTAATTTAGGTTTATTTATTCTGAAGTGAGTCCTGAATTGCATAAATTTGCATAAATACCTCCTACTATATTGCTGCAGAAAATCCACTGAATTGCAAAATGAGGAAAGAGTCAGCTCTCAATGTCTGGGGGAACTTTTCTCACTTTGTGAGGTTGACATTGTTTCCTGAGGTTTCTGGGTACTGAGCAATGATAACATTTCTCCCCATCAGTTTACTTGTGCCTAGCTCTTCTTCATAATGGAAGTGCACCCAGAGACATTCTCACATTGAGGACCGTAGGTTCAGAATGAAGTGTTGAAACCAGCCTCAGAAAATTAAAAAGACGTGAAACAAGGGGCAAAGACAAGGGCAAACAACCGTTTTGTTTATGTAACTCTCAAGCGAAAAATTCCCTTGAGCGTGGGGCTCTCTGGACTCAATCAGCCTATCCCTTTCTGATCACTGCCACTTTGAAACAAAACAAAACAAATCCTGGAATGTGTCTCACTTGTTTGCCTCCCATCTGATTATTTATCCCAAGTGAACAGCCTTTCCATTCACTAACCCCGTGTGGCAAGTGGGTTTGGGAAATGTTGAGATTATCTTTCAGGTTCAGGCATGGCACCAGGTTTGTTCACAGCTGCTTGCCATTCCATCCCTGTTTTTCCATTGATAAAATGCATTGCACATGGCTGGGTTTGCATGATTAATACAGCTGTCCAAAGCTTTTTCAGAAAACAAAACAAACCCCCACTCCCAAAATTAAAGTTTAGAAAGAAATTAAAATCCAAACCACAAACAAGCGAGGCTTGCAGAAATCTGAAGTCGTCCTGGCATGTTTTCTCCCTAAGGGGGACTCATGTTCCTACAGGCAGGCCTGGCATCAGAACAGCCATATCCTATCTACAGTTAGAGGAGAGGGCGTACCTGCCCTCACCTGGCATTCCCAGTAATACATTCTTGAAATCAAATTCCAAAAGGATGAGAGGTAAAATGGGAGAAAAATTTTGAACATATCCCATGCTGTGAAGATCACTGAATAATTTCCAGTTTCATTTATTTTCTGTAGAATACCATCCTTAGTATTAAAAAGAAAAAGCTTATTTTCAGCTCCTTAATACAACAGTATTTTGCTTTGTTTAATAATGGTAATAATATTAATAATAACAACAGCTAACATACATAACGGCCTTCTCATGTACCATTAGAGTTTAAAGGGCTTTTGCCTGTATTAACTCAACTCCCAAAACCCTAAGAAAGAAACGTGCACCTTTCTCCCACACTTTTTAATGATCAAAGGACACCTACATTTCAACCTACCCCTTATTGCACCCAGGCACATATACAAATCTATAGTATATTAATAATCACCCTTGTGTATACATTCATGTTCATTAGATATGCATCTTTTCAATGGATTTTAAATGTTCATCTAATTTGTTTTATGTATTGCAATGCTTATAACACTCAGTTACTTTAACGTCTGTACATTTTTACAAAATCTATTTTCAAATATGCTTAGCACAGTGAGATGTATGCCCAACTCACACAGATTTATATGAAAGCATTCATTTTTTAAAAACTTGAGCAGAGCTATCTGGCATCGGTACATCTAATTTCACACACTTATTCAGGCTGATTTACATATACACCTCTATTAATCATGGATAATTACTTGCATTGTTCCTGTAATTCAGTTTTTCCAACTGTGAAATGGGAAAGAAATTATATTTTTCATGCCTACAAGCTCAAAGTGGTATTTTAAATAATATACAAAAGAGAGCTTCAAGTTCCTAGAAGGCATATTGAATTTAAAATAATCATATTCAGATACACATGTGTCTTATAATTTTTAAAAGCACTGATATTTGCAGGTATACTGGTATCATGTTGCATGGACATCAGCTAGATATAAGTTCAATGTATTCTTATTATATTTTGATGTATTATGGATTCTAAAGATTTCTGAAATCCCCACACTGCTGAAGTTTTAATGTAGAAGCATCCTAAGGCCAAATAAAAAATATTTTTCATTATTTTCTTACCAATATCATAATATTACATTTAAGAAGAGCTGCAAAATTGCACACAGTTCCTGGTTGTGTGGCACACACATATACACTCACACACTTTCAGCGGATGCCCTTCATACACAGTACCACATGACTGCCAACCCATCAGCCTAAAGGACCTGCCCTTTTTGCTGGTCAAGGGTATAAAGTATGTCCTAGGAAAGATTTCCCTTTTTAAATATGTCTCTCCTTCCCACTGGTTAGCAGAAACAAGGACTTTGTTACTACAAATAGAATTTAGGCAGACATGTCAGCACCAATTTACAACAAAATGATTGGCTCTGATTAATACACATGAAAATTATTGAGTTGACCTTCATACCTAATTCCCTGGCTCGTTTATGGGAACAATAGTCTGATTTCCTTCTGATTTTCTTTAGTGGTTAGAGACTCAAGCGGGATAATTGTACCAATATTTCATGTGGAATCAATGGTTCACTCATCAATCCAATGATTTTGACACAGTGTAATAGGGAGGTTTTCTCCCCATTTCTGTGTCTTATCTCCCCCACCTCTTTACTCTTCCTTCTACTCTGTTTCCTAAACTGTTGTTCTCTCCCCTGCTAAAAGTTGCTAGCAAGAATAAATCCAAAATTTATTCACACCATTATTTAAATGTTCAACAAGGGCTTGGAAGTGTTATTTCTCTCAAAATTTACATTTAGCTTCAAGCTAAATGACTAAAAATCCTACAGAGTCAATTTAAAGATAGGAGAATGTTTAGTCCTTTCTAGTGCCTAGAACTCCTTTCTAATGCCTCTTCCTGGTTTTCGAATCTGGATCTGCCTGCACCAGTCAGCCTTTCCTGGTGAGCTCCCTGTCCTTAATGCCTTGCTGTGCTATTTAGATGTCTAGAGCCAGCAGGGATTTGAAAATGAATATTTTTTTTAACAAAAATCCAAGCTTCCACTAAATTTTAATTTGATAGAAATATTGCTCTTCTATGAGCTTTATAGAAAAAAAAATTTTCAAAGTAACAGTTACATTTGGGGATTAGGTTTAAGTAATTGGCAGTCTTGTCTTTTTAATTAAAAGGAATAAAGCTGCCTAAGAGGAGCTCAATGAAATTTTGCAGCAGAAAATGTTGGCATGCTGCCCCAAAGGGTGAGAAGACCAGGATCTTGATGGACAGAAAACTGACACAGGCTCCTCTGGTCTTTAGAGTGCACGGCAGCACTGCTTGCTCTCGAGTCTGCCTCATGTGCCAGTTAACATGGGCATAGCAGTCGACTGTGAGAAACATTGTTGTGTTTAGACAGGAAGGAAGTCCTTCCTTTGGGAACTTAGTTCTGGGTTCAGAGACTGTATGGAGTGAGAGTCCTTTTTAAAAAGTGGTAGTACATAGAGGAAACAAATAAACAAACAAACAAAAAACAACAGCAAAAAAAACTCTCCCAAGTATTAAATCATCGAGATAGTACCAGCCCCTGACAAATGTCTTATGATAACCCAAAAAGTATGAACCTTAATTTTAACCTGTTCCTTGGCTCCTTTCTCTACATTTTCCACCATATTTACCAGGCATTACGTATGCATGTTCTCTTTGACATCTTTCAGACAAAACCAAAGAAAAGGTTTTGATAGTATTGACATTCACTTCTAAACACTGGTTACTAGCCATGCAAGCACCACCAAGCCCTTATCCCACCTATCTGGAGAAAGCTTTGACTTCTGAAGAGGCAAGATACAAATTAAGCTTAGTTAACAATTTCCCTTATACAGTCATTGCAGCCTCATGATATTCTTTCATCATCACAAGTTATTTGTAGGTATTAAACTAAAAAAGCACCTTGATGGGGAAAAAATCAGTATGAGAGATCCCACCTTACACCTCCCCTTGTATACTGCTGTGAAGAAACACACCTGCCAAGTAAGAACACAGCATGGCATAATGAGTTTGGAATTCCAATTTAAGGTGTTCCTATGTACTGAGATGTATGATGGGAGTAGGCAGACTACTCACTAGGACTCCACGGAGAATGTCAGCTTATATCCACCACAGATCAGTGGGGAAGAGACCTTACAAGTCATTTATCATGCTTCCTAATTGGACCCTGGGGAGCCAAGCACTGCCATAGTTTACTCTATAGTTTCGCTTATCACTGTGCTGATTGTAAAAGAAAATGCTTCCCACATCTCTGTAACACATACCTATGATTAGCACCCAGACATTACCACTGACATAGTCTCTTTACTATCAATCACAGCTAATAGTTCATTCTACTTTTTATCTGCCCCATACTCGCAATAAAGATTCTGACTTAAGCACCCACCTTCTAAACCTCGGAATCTCAGTATGACCTTTTTAACTGCCTAAAAAGCCTAAAAAGACATTTGGAGGCAATAGTAGCATCCTGTAGAAAAAAAAAAAAAAAAGCAGTAGAAAATAACCGTGCCTTGGCCAAGTGTCCATTCTGTTTACCATCCCATGCTCCTTAGCTCACACAGCAGCAAGCATTCCCAGCCATGTTTTATGTTGGAAACTTGCTTGGCCATCCTACAGTGGTTTTTCAACTATACGTGTGGGTTTTGTATGAGTTGGAAGCTGGGGATATTTGGAGAGCAGAAATAGCTAGAAACAAAACAAAGCAAACAAAATGAAACCAAGCAGTAACTTGCACTTCTCTGTTGAATTGCAAGCTAGAGTAACTTGGGAAATTTGTTTTATTTTTCTCCCTTGAAGTTCCAGAACACAGGTAAGTTTATCGCTGACAGCTGTTAAGTGCAGCAGTGCTTAAAAAAAAAAAAAAAAAAAAGACGGAATGATCCCATTAATTGGAGGCTGGTCTTCCGTTGGGAGATCAACCTTCCCATTCTAACTCGTAAATAGTATGATTTTTTTTCTGTATTTAGATGTACTCTCCACTTGCTCTTGCCTTTGCTTTGTAGAGTTTCTTTTAGAGGTCACGTTTTCTTTTCATTATGA